>NC_000014.9:52945046-53248076 GCF_000001405.40 Homo sapiens
CGTGCCATCACGCCTGGCTAATTTTTGTATTTTCTGTTTTTCTGTAGAAACGGGATTTCACCATGTTGCCCGGCTGGTCTCAAACTCCTAGCTCAAGCAAACAACTTCTGAGCCTCGGCCTCCCAAAGTGCTAGGATTACAGGCGTAAGTTACCGCACCCAGCCAATCCTCAATTGTTCTATGTTTTTTTGTTGTTGTTTTTTTTTTGTGGGTTGGGGGCGGGGGGACGGAATCTCGCTCATCACCCAGGCTGGAGTGCAGTGGTGTGATCTCAGCTCATTGCAACATCCGCCTCCCAGGTTCAAGCGATTCTCCTGGCTCAGCCTGAGTAGCTGGGATTACAGGCGCCCGCTACCATGCCTGGCTAATTTTTTTTTTGTAATTTTGGTAGAGACGGGGATTTCACCATGTTGGCCAGGCTGGTCTAGAACTCCTGACCTCAGGTGATCCACCTGCCTCAGACTCCCAAGGTGCTAGTATTACAGGCGTGAGCCACCACTCCCGGCCTAATCCTCAATCTTTCTAAAGCAACTTCATATGTTTCTTTTTAGTTACTCCTGAGTCTTCCAATTTGCATTTTTTTCCCTTGTAGATTGTGTGACTTGATCTAACCCAACTTCTACATTCTCTCTACTCATAGAATCAGAGCTAGAGGAAACTTAGAGATCACCTATTTTTTCCTCTCTGCTCACAGAGCTGGCTGGAGATTTCCATTCAGTGAGCTCCAGATTATAATAAATTCCTTATTCTCCGTTTAAAATGAATTTTTATAGAAAGGTGGAAATTTAATTGTACACATAAGTTTTAAAAAGACATTTTAAAAAGTGATACTAAAACTCAGTGAACAGATCCACTTGGTATTTAGCGTCTGCCAGGCTGGAGTGCAGTGGCACTATCTCGGCTCATTGCAACCTCCGCCTCCTGGGTTCGAGCGATTCTCCTGTCTCAGCCTCCCGAGTAGCTGGGACTACAGGTGCCCATCACCATACCCGGCTAATTTTTGCATTTTTAGTAGAGGCGGGGTTTCACCATATTGGCCAGGCTGGTCTCGAGCTCCTAACCTTCTGATCTGCCCGCCTTGGCCTCCCAAAGTGCTGGGATTAGAGGCATGAGCCACCGTGCCCAGCCAAGGATTTAATACTTCTCAATGACCTCCAGAGGAATCCCATAAAATTGGGCCTCTTCTTGACAAAATTTATTTTTGAAGACAATTTTATTTTGATGTCTTGTTTTTATAATCCTTATCCCTGATATTTCATATTTAAAATTTTTCTTTTAAAAAACACTATACACGTTTGAAATTTGTCTTTGATTAAAAAAAAAAAAACAGGCATGGCAGCTCACATCTGTAATCCCAACACTTTGGGAGGCCAAGGTGGAAGGACTGCTTGAGGCCAGGAGTTCAAGACCAGCCTGGGCAACAAAGCAAGACCCATCTCTACGAAAAATTTTAAAAGTCAGCAAGATGTGGTGGTGCGTGCCTGTAGTTCCAGCTACTCAGGAAGCTAAGGCAAGAGGATTACTTGAGCCCAGAAGTTTGAGGATGCAAAGAGCCATGAACACACACTCACTCCAGCCTGGGTGACAGTGCAAGACCTTGCCTCAAACCAAACCAAACAGTACTAAATTTTCACAATTCTTTTTTTTTTTGAGGCGGAGTCTTGCTCTGTCGCTTAGGCTGGGTGGTGTGATTTTGGCTCACTGCAACCTCCGCCTCCCAGGTTCAAGTGATTCTCCTGCCTCAGCCTCCCAAGCAGCTGAGATTCCAGGCACATGCCACCACATCCAGCTAATTTTTGTATTTTTAGTAGAGATGGGGTTTCTCCATGTTGGTCAGGCTGGTCTCGAAGTCCTGACCTCAGGTGATCCACCTGCCTCAGCCTCCCTGCCTGCTGGGATTACAGATGTGAGCCACCGTACCCAACCTAAACTGGATTTTAGGGTGTTTTTCACTTTCTGGATGAAGTATAAACACTGAGGGGATCAATTATTTATGAAGTATCAGCCTAGACTAAGTCACAAATGCAAAAACTTTGTCACATTACGATATAATTCCCCAAAGCCCACTTCATGACATATGCTTTTGCTTTCTTTTAAAAGATTAATAGCAAATGACAAATGTGTTTTATACTGAGATTTAAAAGAGACCTAGGATGGGCGTGGTGGCTCACGTCTGCAATCTCAACACTTTGGGAGGCCAAGGCAGGCGGATGACGAGGTTAGGAGATCAAGACCATCCCGGTTAACACGGTGAAACCCCGTCTCTACTAAAAACACAAATAATTAGCCAGGCATGGTGGCGGGTGTCTGTAGTCCCAGCTACTCGGGAGGCTGAGGCAGGAGAATGGCGTGAACCCAGGAGGCGGAGCTTGCAGTGAGCCGGGATCGCGCTACTGCACTCCAGTCTGGGCGACAGAGTGAGACTCCCGTCTCAAAAAGTAAAAAATAAATAAATAAATAAATAAATGAGACTTTTCAGATCTTTGAATTAAAGTCAAAATTCTAAAAATTGTGTTTTAATGGCCTTAAGCAAAGTGTACACGTTATTTATAATAAAAGTCTAACTAAACACAAAGATATTACTGACACATATTAAGGAAACATTATTTACACTTATGTCGTGCTTAATTAAAATGCCGCACTCTGGGATGAACCCTAGCTTCAAGATGAACCTGACACACAAGGGCCAAACCATAAAATTGTGTCATGACTTCTTTTGTTACAGACCTCTTTGAGAAATTAAAGTGAAGAAGCCTCTTCCTAGAAACTTCCACATGTGCACACACACAATTTTAATACAATGTTGAGGGAATAGGTCATCCTGAGATCTATCGACTTCAGGGAAATAATTGCTGCTACTGAACATTATCTGGGAAAATCACCTTAAAATATAATGCTTTTGGTATTCATATACCGTCCAACAGATTAAGAAGGATATCAGACAGTCTGGAGTTTGAAAATGTAAGTGAATGCTCTGGTGTCTTCTGTTCATAACTGCTTCAAGGCCACAGTAGCCCAAGTCTGCTAATTTTCCATCACTGCTCTGCAAACCTGAGACAACAGACTTTGTACCATCTCATCCCTACCACCATCTCCACCTTTTATCTAGACTCTGCAAGCTGCTTTGATCCTCTCTAGCCACTGTTGGCAAGTAGTCATCCAGTCTGCCCTTTAATACCTTCAGTGACATAAGTCAGGGCTTCAGAAGGCAGGTCATTCCAGTTTTACGCAACTCTGAAAAATTACAAAGTTCTTTTCTAATTTGACTAGCCTGATTTGTGGATGTTTTAAATGCTGCCCTACCGAATCTCTCCTCTATTTACTTGCTGATAGGCAACGAAATAGCTTACCATTCAAAGCATCTAATCCTAAAAACCAAAAGCATCACTTAGCTCTACTTTTACCAAACAGGAAAGTCAGAGGCACTTTCTATTTGGAATTCAAAATATAAGAGGAATCAGTATGAATTCAGTTCAGAAAAGATGTAAGGTTTCCATACGCACAGCATTTCCTACCTTGTTGGGCTTCTTTTCTCTGCATAAAAAATTAAAAATGTATCAGCATTAAAAGATTAAGATTATAGTCATTTAAATTAACATCATTTCTGTCTGCAGTTTATTCTCTATATTTCTATTTATTACTGTGATTCTATAATAAACAGTCCTAAGCAATGCAAAATAAATATAGAAACCATTATTTATTCATTAGCTACAGCCTGGCTTTCGAGAACTACAAGTTGTCTCAGTCACCTTCAACAGCTCCTTTTTTTGCAATATAAAAAATATCTCCTATTGAGACCAATGTATTAATATGGTCCATTTACCATAAATTAGAAAAGCTCTAACAAAAATGCTTGTTTTCTTTGAAAACAAAATATCCAAATATTTGCTATTTTCCTTCTTAAATAATCTCATACCAGAGCTGGACAAAAAAGGTTCATACATATTTTGCAAACAGTGACTGATTTATTCAAATCAGATAAAAATACTGTTAACTGCCAGTTAAATGGTTAATCAATACAGCAAAATCTAATTTTCACTGGGCTACCTAGGAGGATTTTCTTTCCTGAGCTGTATCTCAGGGAGCCAAACAATGCAGTCTTAAGGAAGAGGCTACCTTGTAAGGAGCTTCACTTTGGTCCTTCAATAATAAAACTTCCTGCAGGGGTACAAAGCAGGTCCACCCAAATGAATCCTGCCTTATTTTGCAAAATGCATCAGAGTGCTATTTCAGTACCTTTACATACAATAATCCTTTGGTAAGAAATAGATTTCCTGACAAATAAGCACTTCTCTACTTTCCCAGTGTAGCTTGAAAACGAATGCTGTGTTTAAAAAAAAAAAGAAAAAAAAAAAGACGAAAAAAACCCCCAGAAAGTCCCCAACCCCCCTTCACCAAAACAAAAAACAATTCCAGCCTAAAAAGACAATGCCACACAGATAATCATCTTATCACAACTGTATTATGTACAAAAGGCTCTTTAAAGCTCAGGAAGATAGTTCTCTGAGCATTTCTCTTATGATCAAATCATCTATTTAGCTGACTCTTCCAGATGAAAATGGTTTCATTCATCACAAAAATGTGTACTGCACACTCTTCACACACTTCATACTGTAAGATACCTTATTATTTTAAATCGGATATCAATCCAATACATATTTGTACTCAAGCAAACACCGTCAACCTCAAATTAGTTTAACAAAGTCTGCTTTTTAACACAAAGTTCTTTCCTTGGCTTGTTATTAATATAAAACCGAACGCTCGAAACGGCTTACATCGAGCATGGACTATGGATACCAAGTTTGTCAAGCACTGCCCCACCCCTAGTAAGAGTGGATGACTGGAACATTTTAATGCACTCCACCACGTAGAACAGCCACAGAAACTTCACACTGGCGCCAGTAGTTGCACATTTTCCAGCACAGATTTTTCTTAAATGGATTTTGCATCATTCTCTATACCAAACGTCACTAACATTCAGGTATGCTGAAGACATAGATAACCACGGACACTGTAATATCACCCTCCCAACACACTTTCCTCATTCTTTTATCGTTCTGTCAGTAAATGTTAAGAATTAACGAGTTCCCCGGCACACATCCCCCGTCCCGCGTAACTACGCAATTAAGGTTATAATTGGGAGGCTCGAATCATTACATATGAAAATTCAGAGAATAGCAAAACAAAATAAGACGCAAAGGGGAACAGGTCTATCTGCTTAAATACTGAAAGATTTTACATCTCCAAAAAGCATTTGCGAGATGCCAAGATTTCTCAAATGGGCCCCTCCCCCGTCGTGAGCCTCTTTCCTCCCCCTACCAATTCTGGGAAGTCATTAGTTGGACGCGGCTGGGATGCTACTCACCGAGTTTCTCCACCAGCTTAAGCATCACGCCTCCAATGTGCACCTCGCCGGTCACTCTCAGGGTGACATCGCGGTTCAGGTCCGTCACATGGACACTCAGTTCCCACGTCCCGTCCGCGTAGCAGCCATCTGGCATCCTTATCCCGTCCAGAGCCATGGCTCCTTCCTGCGAGCGCGGAGGAAATGGCTCTCGTAAGCGTCACTCCCCCAAAGAAAGGCGAATCCCACCGAATTCGCAGCGCCGGCCACGGGCTGGGAGGTGGTGGAGGACCCGGGGCTTTCGGCAGAAACTCGGGAGGGCGGCGGCGGCCGGGGCTGCGGGAGGACCCTACGCCCCGCTCGCCCCGCAGCGTTCCTCGGTCCCGGCGCCGCCCGCCCCACACCGTCCCCGCCTAGCGGACCGCGGAGGGCTTCACCTGCCGGCCGGCCCCGAGACACAGCGCGGGCTGACTCCCCGTTCCCCTCCCCGCCGCGCCCCCTCGGGTCCCGGCGGGGTCCCGCTCCCTCACCGCGCGCTCCTAGCGCTCCGGGCCCGGGACTCGCGCGGCAACAGGCGAGGGGCTGGAGGCTCGCGGGGCGGCGGTGTCCGCGTCCGGTTCCTCGGCTGGCGAAGCGCTGCCTGTGGCCGGAGCGGCTAATGGAGTCCCGTCGTCGCGGCCCCTCGCCTGGCTCCCCGCGCTCCACCCTCTCCCCGCCCCCTCTGTCCGAGCCTGGCTGGGCTGGGCGCGCTGGCTCCCTCCTTCGCCGCCCGCAGAGCTGCCCTGAGCGGGTCCGGCCGGCCTCGCCTCTGCCCCCGCCCTCCCGGCGCCGCGCTCGGGGGAGGGGGCTGCGGGTCCCGGGCGGGGCGGGGCGGCGTGGGGCGGGGCGGCGCGGGGGTGGCGGGGGGCGCGGCGGGGCGGCAATCTCGGCCCCGCGGAGCGCTGCCCTTTTATGGAAATGAAGGACCCGGCTCAGGAATTGAATCCAACATCCGGGCTCTAGGCGGCGGGCCCTGAGGAGGGGGAGCGGGGGAGCGCGGGCGGCCTTTCCCGGGGCGCTGGTGGCCGGCGGGGCGTCTAGAGCTCAGGCTGGACTGGGGCCCCCGCGGCGTGTGTCCGCGCTGGCAGCAGGGAGAGGGGGCTTGTCCGTGAGAAACGGCCCCAGGAAATTCCCAGGGCAAGGTCGTTTTCGGAGAACAAAGTCCTCTCGCCCCCTCCCCACGCCTGCAGCGAGACAAAAAGCCTCAGGGAGGTGAGAGGTGCCGCACCCCGGGAGCTGGAGAGAGGAGTCTGGGACGGAGAAACTTTAAAAAGTAAATGCCCAAACCAACTCCTTGAATGTCCTACAAAAGAATAAGAAAACCCCGAGGGAGGTGAACCACAAAAATTGCTTTGCAAGCAATGTCCGGCACCATCAGCAACTCCTACTGGACTCCCAGGAGTTTGCAAGCGTTCTTAACCCCTTCGGACGCTCCAGCCAGATGCCAGTCAAACAGATGATGCTCTTGCCTGAGGGGAAAGGAAAGACACAACCTAGTGCCACAGGTTTTACTCAGAAACTGTTTCCCCAGCTTCTCCAGCTCTTTGTACTTATTTGTGTGTTTTTATATGCAAGTTAGAACTAACAGTCTATTAAAGCTGTTAGATGGAGATACATGTTCCATCCCACCCTCAGCCACACCTTGGATTTTAATACTTCTGGAACGGTGCCTGCAGGTACCAGGAAGAGCTAAACAACTTCACCTGTTGAAGACTGGCTAGTGATGGGGAACGGTCCTCCTGCTTCCCGCTTTTGTTTCCACTTCCCCCATTAACTGTTGTACTCTGTTGAGGGAACTCCTTTCAGAAACAGCAAACCAGAGAAACTGCCTCGCTAGCAAATTCATGGGCTCAGAAAATAAACGTCAAGAAGGCTCAGATTAAAATACCTTTTAAAGATAAAAGACTCCAGTTCGCAGTCTCATAATCTTGTCGAATTGTCTCAAACGCTTGGAAAAGGAACTCGCTAGGCAGATAACCTTTTGTTCATTAACATTACTGGGAAACAAGATGAGAGGCCTCAAGAAAGGGGTGGAACTCAGAAAGGAGTGAAAGCAGCAAAATTTAGTCAGATGCCAAAGGCTTGGCAGAAAAAAAAATAGGGAAAACCACTACAGTGTTTTTAGCTAGTTATCATGGAGAAATTGATGCCTTCAGTCTCTTATCTGTCTACTCTCCAATATTTCTACTCGTGGACGTTCCAAATAGTTCACTTGAAAGCAATATGAATGTCCGGAGATGAGGGAGTTTATGTAAATTATGGGGTTGAAAATATACAGGAAAATGTTTTTAATAAATTAAGGAATTGCTTGTTAGGGCACAAAACTGCAGAACTGGATATGCAGCTATAAAATTAAGAGCTTATTTACGTTAAATGTTCAGAGAAAAAGACTGTAAGGAAATACAGCAAAATGTTAAGAAGCTCTCTGGGTCTTGAGATCACGGAAGTTTTTTCTTTCTTTTATTCTTTATTTTCTGCCAACTCAAAAACTTTACACCACCACCTAGAATTGCATCCAGCATTTCAGTTTCTCTGTACATGCCATGACATTCACGATGATAGACACTGGATACAGCAGCTACTGACTGAACGATGGACAGGATTTTCAGAGGTTTCCTTTGGTGTTTTTTAAATAGTTCTAAAGAAAACTTGAGTTCTTTAAGAGCAGAGATTTCAAATTATTTTCATTGTCCACAAATTCACAATAGCTTGGTACAGAGAAAATGGAAAACATGCTGGTGTCAAACCAACACAAATGTCAAAGAAACAGTGGGTCTGTTCCATGGAGAAATCTCAGGGGCCAGGTACAGTGGCTCATGCCTATAATCCCAGCACTTTGGGAGGCTGAGGCAGGAGGATCACTTGAGCCCAGGAGGTGGAGGCTGCAGTGAGCTGTATTCACACCACTGCCCTCCAGCCTGGATTGATCGCAGAAAAACAAAAAACAAATCTCAATGGGAAAATCCCCACTTTAAAAATATACTTATTTATTTCCCCCACTTTATCCCCCAAAAGATTTATGGCAACGTATAAGGATGCATAAACTGTGAGATAGTATACATTATAAGTGGCACAAAACAAGAAAAAAAAGGTGGGTGGGGATTGGGAGGCTTAGAGGGGTGGAGTAGAGATTTATTTATTTATTTTGGAGTAGAGATTTAAAATGGAGCTGGGAATGAAGCTAAGAATTGTATCTTATGACATTTGCACATGCTCCAGTAAGCTACAAAAAAATTATGGCTTTCTAAACATGCCTTTCTAGAACCTAAAATATCTATGCCCTTTCTGAATATTCCCTTTCCTTCAGACAAAATTGTTGAAGCCAACTGTCATGGTTTAGAAACTCTTTTAATACAGATGGTCCCTGACTTATGATTTTTTGTTTATGACGGTGTGAAAGCGATAGGCATTCAGTAGAAACCGTACTTTGAATACCCCTAGGACCTTTCTGTTTTTCACATTCAGTACAGTATTCAATAAATTACATGAGATAGTCAACACTTTACTATAACATGGGCTTCATATTGGATCATTTTGCCCAACTGGAGGCTAATGTAAATGTTCTGGATACATTTAAGATAGGCTAGGTTAAGCTGTGATGTTCGTCGGTAGGTTAGGTATATGAAATGCATGTTTGACTTACAATATTTTCAATTTACAGAATGTAACCTCATCATAAGTTGCAGAGCATCTGTACTCGGTTTCCAAATTCTAGTTATTTTCCCACTTTCCAGTAAGAGTTACTTTCTGAACACCCCCACGACAGCACCGACTGCTCTAACTACCGTGCTTTCCTGAATCCACTTCTACGAATGTTCTCTACATTTAGTGACAGAGAGTGGGGGTGGGGAATTTTAATATTGTGAATAACTGCCCTATTTCTTAACATTTGAAATCGCTTGAGTATAGCTTCATAAGACACTTTACTGGCTTTAGAAAGTCAGCAGTATATATTTGAGCAATTAATGCACAGGAAGGCAAGGACCTTCAGTTAAGTACCAGTGGAAGAATAATTAGATTAGGTTGGGTGCAGCTGATCCCTTCAGGCCTTCTTTTTGACTATTTCAAGCTGTCACTTGCTTTGAAGATTAAAGAGGAGTCAGCCTCACCTCTCTGAAACTGGGATTTTTTTTTTCCAGTTTATCAAGTGACGCTTTCAAGTGCATTTCTTAAATATTCACTTCTACCTAAGATTTAGAATGTATTCAAATGTAGACTCTTATCTGAAATCCCCTGCTAGAACCACTAGGACAATGCAATGCTTGTGGTACTTACATCATACTGAAAAGTAGCTGAGTACGCCAGTGTTTGGAAGAACAGCTCAAGCAATGAAAGCAGCAATATCCAAATAAGGTACCAAGCACTGGACTTAGATTTAGACCAAGCAGTGCCTCACAGATCTGCCGTCAAATGCAGCCCTCGGGCTTGGTAATGCTCAGGTTGACTTTAGCTTTTTTTCTGTGCCTACTTGCACTGTGCTTTATATTTCTAGAAGGTCAATTCAAAATATAACCCCTGGGTTTGAAAGAAGGAGAGAGGATGGGGGTAGGAGAAAATAAGAGAGGATTTGTGTGGGTGTGAAATGTGTAAGGGGGGACTTGAAAATGCGACATGAGGCCAGCAAGATGAAATGTAATGAATTATTCTTGTCAAATACCAGGTGGGTAGAATTCTTTCTTTGTCTTGGGGATTGCCAAAAATGGCACACACCAATAACGCTACTAAAGAGGTAGAAATCCAGGGGTGTGGAATGTGATCTAAATGGGAAGGGAGGTTGCAAAAGCCACTTTTTTGACAGAAATGGGCAGTCACTGTAATTAGCAAGAAAAGGACTGGCAAACTGAGAAACAAGATTTGCTAGGAATATGGCTGTTTTCACAGACCAAAGAAGGGCTCCGAGATAACAGTGAAATCTTTAAGGGGAAAGAAATGCACTGCTTACATTTACTGCTTTAGTTACAGAAAGTTTTATGTAGGAAACCATGCTCGGGATACCTTTTCCCCCACCTCCCCCCACCGACTTAAGTTTGAACACCAGGACATCTTGTGAAATATTCTTCACCTCAACAAAAATATCAAATGTTCACACGTACAAACACAGTAACTATGTGTCTAGCACAGTGTAGGACATTGAGACAGGCATGTAAATGTATAACACATGTCACAAATTCTTAAGGAACATCTATCTGATACAGGAGGCTTATATTTAAAACATCAGAAAGGACAGCCACGTACAACATATACAAAAATTAACTAAATACAGCATAGGCTTAAATGTAAGGTCTAAACCTATAAAATTCCTCCAAGAAAATATAGTACTAAACGTTATGACCTTGGATTAGGCAATGGCTTCTTAAATAAGACATCAAGGCATAAGCAACAAAGGAAAATATAGTTAAGTTGGATTTTATCAAAGTTTAAAATAGTTATATTTTAAAGGCAGCAACCAAAATGTGAAAAAGCAATTTATAGAATGGGAAGAATATTTGCAAATCATATATATTTTCAGTGACTTGTATAAAAAATAAATAAAGAGCTATTACAATTCAACAATAACCCCAGACAAATAACCTAACTAAAAATGGGCAAAGAATATGGATATACAGTTGTCCAAAGGAGACATACAAATGGCCACACAGAATATTCTCAACATCATTTATCAGCAGGGAAATACAAATTAAGGTACAATGAGATAACACCTCACATCCTACTAGAAGGACTATAATAAAAAAGATGATAACAAGTGTTGGTTAGGATGTGGAAAAATTGCAACCCTTATACGCTGCTGATGGGAAAGCAAATGGTAAGTTGCTTTGAAAAACAGTTCGGCAGTTCCTCAAAAAGTTAAACATAGAGTTACTATATATATGGTCACCATATATATATAGATATAGTTAGCATATACATAGCTACCATGGTCTGAATGTTTGTGTCCTCCTAAAATTCATATGTTGAAATCCAAACCCCCAATGTGATGATATTAAGAGATGGGGAAGGCCTGGTATAGTGGCTCATGCCTATAACCTCAGCACTTTGGGAGGCCTAGGTGGGAGGATCGCTTGAGCCCAGGCATTTGAGACCAGCCTGGGCAACATGGTGAGATCATGTCTCTGCAAAAATAAAAGTAAAAAAAATTATCTGGGCATCAAGGTGGGCACCTGTAGTCCCAGCTACTCAGGAGGCTGAGGTGGGAGTATTGCTGGAGCCCAGGAATTTTTTTTTCTTTTGTTTTTCAAGACAAGGTCTCACTCTGTCACCTGGACTGGTGTACAGTGGCACGATTTTGGCTCACTGAAGCCTCCATCTCCTGGGCTCAAGTGATTCTCCTACCTCAGCCTCCCAAGTAGCTGGGACTACTTGGCATGCCACCATGCCTGGCTAATTTTTGTATTTTTAGTAAAGACAGGGTTTCACCATGTTGCCCAGGCTGGTCTTGAACTCCTGACCTCAAACTGCCTTCCTCAGCCTCCCAAAGTGCTGAGATTGCAGGCATGAGCCATTGCGCCTGGCCAAGCCTAGGAGTTTGAGGCTGCATTGAGTAGTGGTCATGCCACTGCACTCCAGCCTGGATGACAGAGTGAGGCCCTAAAATCAAATTAAAAAAATTTTTTTTGTTGTTTTCATTTGTCTCTAAAAACAAACTTTAAAATTTTTTTAATTAAAAATAAAGAGGTGGGGCCTTTGATTAGATCATTAATCCCTTTAATAAGGGAGTAGCACACTTATAAAAGAGGCCTAATGGAGCTCATTTGCCCCTTCCACCATGTGAGGACACAGCGAGAAGGTGCCAACTGTTTACTAGAAAGCAGCCCTCATCAGACACAAATCTGCTGGCCTCTTGATCTTGGACTTTCCAGCCTCCATAAGTGTGGGAAGCAGATTTCTATTGTTTATAAGCTACCCAGTTTGTGGTATTTTGTTGCAGCAGCACAGATAGATTCAGACATCCCATAACCCACCATTTCTACTCTTAGGTGTATACCCAAGAGAAGTGAAGACATATGCCCACATAAAAGCTTGAACATACATGAATATTCATAATGTCTAAAAGATGAAAACAACCCAAACGTCTTTCAAGTAATTAATGGATAAACAAAATGTGGTATATTTATACAATGAAATATTGTTCGGCTGGGCATGGTGGCTCACACTTGTAATCCCAGCACTTAGGGAGGCCCAGGTGGGCGGATCACCTGAGATCAGGAGTTGGAGACCAGCCTGACCAACATGGTGAAACCCCCTCTCTACTAAAAATACAAAAATTAGCTGGGCGTGGCAGCATACGTCTGTAATCCCAGCTACTCGGGAGGCTGAGACAGGAGATTCCCTTGAACCCAGGAGGTGGAGGTTGCAGTGAGCCGAGATCGCAACATTGCACTCCAGCTTGGGCAACAAGAGTTAAACTTCGTCTGAAAAAAAGAAAAGAAAAGAAAGAAAGAAAGATTGTTCAGCCTAAGAAAAGAATTAAGTACCAATACATGCCACAAAATGGATAAACTTGAAATCATGCCAAATGAATGATACCAGACACAAAAAGTTAGGTATTGTATGATTCCACTTATGTGAAATATCCAGAATAGGCAAAACAATAGAGATAGAAAGCAGATTAGTGGTTGTTGGGAACTGGGGGCAGCGGGGAGGGTGGTGAGGAAAGAATGGGAAGTACTACTAATACGTGCAATGTTTATTTTGAGGGTGATAAAAATGATCTGAAATTAGATAGTGGTGATGTCTGCACAACTCTATGAATATACTATAAACCAGGGGTCCCCAACTCCTGGGCCACAGACCGGTAGCAGTACGTGGCCTGCTAGGAACTGGGCTGCACAGCAGGAGGTGAGTGGCGGGCGAATGAACATTACTGCCTGAGCTCCACCTCCTGTCAGATCAGCAGCAGCATTAAATTCTTATAGGCATGCAAACCCTATTGTGAACTGCACATGTAAGGGATCTAGGTTGCACGCTTGTTATGAGAATCTAATGCCTGATGATCTGAGATGGAACGGTTTCATCCCCTAACCATTCCCCCACCCCACCCTGCTGCACCTCAGTCTGTGGAAAAATTGTCATCTACGAAACGGTCCCTGGTGCCAAAATGGTTGGGGACTGCTGCTATAAACTACTGACATGTATCCTTGAAAACGTTGAATTTTATGGTATGTGAATTATATAATAATAAAGTAATAAAGAAATCAGAAGGGAAAAAAGGGAGCAAAAATAAAAGGCTAAATTGTGAAGTACAGATCCATTTTGAGGACTGTGATAGTCTAGACTCTGTAAGAAGCTGATTAACGAAGTCATGATATGTTTTCTGAAGACGATAAAGCTAAGCAGACAAAGGAGTAGATGGAGTTAGGCCTATCAAGACAATTAGCATGGGAAAATCACGAGGCAGAAGTGAGTATGGAATGCTCACCAGCCAGGAGAAGAAAGGAATAAATGCTAAGGAGATGCTTGGGGTTGGTGGCCACAGAGTGAAGCCAAACCAGGAAGGACAGAAGTTTAGACTCTGTGGTTTAAAAAAAAAAAAAAAGAGGAGCCATTTAAAAATTGGTTTGTGGGCCAGGCGCGGTGGCTTATGCAATCCCAGCACTTTGGGAGGCTGAGGTGGGTGGATCACAAGGTCAGGAGTTCGAGACCAACCTGGCCAACATGGTGAAACCCCTTCTCTACTAAAAATACAAAAATTAGCCTGGTGTGTTGGCATGCGTCTGTAATCCCAGCTACTGGGGAGGCTGAGGCAGGAGAATCCCTTGAACCTGGGAGGCAGAGGTTGCAGTGAGCCAAGATCGTGCCACTGCACTCCAGCCTGGGTGACAGAGCAAGACGCTATCTCAAAAAAAAAAAAAATGTTGATGTGTGGTAGTAATATTATGAAAGCAATGTTCAAGTAAGATTAATCTGGTAAAAACATGCATGATGGTTTGAAAGAGCTAGGGACTGGAATCTGAAAGGTTGGTTCGGAATCTGTTCATAACTTAGATGTAAGAAAAAAACCTTTGGTTGGTAAGATAAATAATAGGGGGTGGAGGATGCAGGGGATTTCAAAAATAGTATTAACAAAAAGTTTCTGAGCATTTTTGATGTTCCAGGCACTGTCAAGTCACTTTAAATGTTCCTTACAATAACCCTTAGTTTTTATTACTATCCTTATTTAATGTGAGTTCACTGATGGACAGATCGGTTATCTGGTTATACAACTTGTCCTAAATAAGCCACACAGCTGGTATGTGGAAGATCTGGGACTAAAACCTAGGTCTAAAAAAAAGATGGTCATAAATGCTTCAAAGTTTTTATGCTGAGGTGACTGGAATAACAGGGGTACTCCTGGACAGGGAAATGGAAGTTTAAAGGAGATGATTTCAGGGAGCCAGGTAAAGATGAAGAGTTTTTAAAAAGTAATACTGAACTTGGGGTGAAAGCATCACATTCAGTGGAAATGTTTAAAGGACAATTAGATAAAGAAGGCTGGCAGTCTTGTGAGACGATCAGATCACACAGAGAAGTCATTAACACAGAAGTGAGCCCTAATGAATGGCTCAGAGTCCCCAAATGAGGCTGCCCCTTGGGTCGCTGTTCCCCACAGGCAGAAGTAGGAAGAAGAGTTATCTAAGGTAACAGAGAAGAAAGGATCAGAGCTGAGAAAAGAATCAGATTAGTTAGGTGAGCCAAAAAAAAAAAAAAGAAGAAAGAAAAACTATTTGAAGAAAGAAAGGTTGGTCAACAGTATCAAATGACATAGAAAAGTTCAGGAAAATAGTGACTGGCAAAAGTTACTCTTAACCTTGCAGAGGACAATTCTAAAGCTGATGGAAAACAGATTTCCAAGAGTTAAAGAAGATAAAGGGAGGTTTGCCAGGGAAAGAAAAGCAAGAAATAAGATGGTAATTTGGAGGTGCACCAGAAACAAAGACACTTTTCAAAGCAAAGAAGACCTAAGCACGAGTAAAGACTATGAAAAACGTAAGGGGGATTTAGATTGATTTGTGGTTATCAGGAAGAACAAAGGAAAAAAAAAGAAAAAGAGAATATAAGAGGAAATATTTGTTTAAAAGATTCTTCATTGGGATAATTCCAAATATCCAGGAGGAAATAGGAAAAGCCCTGCCAAGCTAGAAGAAATACACATCAATTTTCAAGATTGGGTTGTTGGAAGGCTTTAACCATCTTATAAAAGTAGAAAGGCCCAAGAGGCTAGAGTAAGTTGATCACAAATGTATTTAAACAAATACTGTCAATATTAGTCAACGAGAGGGTGGGGCTGCTTGAGTTATTGTGCTGATCGGATGGAAGCCCTTCCCAGGTCAGATCTGGGCCAGGATGTAAGAAAGGAAGGATGTGATTGAGATTAGTTTCAGTATAACTAGGGCAGAGAGTCAGAGGCCATAGAGAAACCAGCGGTGACAGCACAGAAGTGCATTTGCCAGCCTAGAAGTGCTGCTGCCACCTGTGAGAGTCACTGGAAATCCACAGGCCAAGAATCCAGTCCTCACAGCTGCCTTCATCCTACAATGATGGATCAGTGTTTCCTTGTTAATAAACATGTAGGCTTCTCCCTGATTTTTAGTGTTATTTATTGTCTAGCTGGTTCCTCCTAGTTTTGGGTGGCAGGTAAACTGCTGACTCTCAAACCCATTCTGAGAAATGTTCCCTACCCTTTGTCCTTTGTAACACAATGTCCTCTTTAAATGCATAAACCCTCTGTTCTTTCCCAGGAGTTGCAATTCCACTAAAAGAGCCAAACCAGAAAGTCATCTAAAATTTCAACTGCCCTAGGGCCAACTCAGTCCACCTTGGAAGGACAGAAGTGCATGTTATCTACTAGCTCTTGAGAGGGTGCTCTCAGGTGACAGGGAACAGAACAGCAGCTGAACATTGCCATCTGGTGCCTGGGAGGTGTCACTGTATAAACCTTTCTTCTCTCTTGAACTAAATTCAACAAATAATTCATTAAGAATTTAGGCTCGGTGCAGTGGCTCTTAAGCCTGTAATCCCAGCACTTTGGGAGGCCGGGTGGCTGGGGCGGGGTGAGGGGGTGGACCACTGGCATCCAGGAGTTTGAGATCAGCCTGGCCAACATGGTAAGACCCCGTCTCCACCAAAAATGCAAAAAATTAGCTGGGCATGGTGGTGTTCCCCTGTAGTCCCAGCTACCTGGGAGGCCAAGGTGGGAGGATTGCTTGAGCCCAGGAAGTGAAAGCTGCAGTGAGCTGTGATCGTGTCACTGTACTCTAGCCTGAGTAACAGAGTGAGACTCTGTCTCAAAAAAAAAAAAAAAAAAAAAAAGAAAGAAAGAAAGAAAGAAAGAAAATAAAAGGGAGAATTTAGGCCGGGTGTGATGGCTCATGCCTCTATCCCAGTGCTTTGGCTTGGGAGGCCACGATGCAAGGATCACTTGAGGCCAGGAGTTCAGACCAGCCTGGGCAACAGAGCAAGATGCTATCTCTAAAATAAAGCAAAACAAATACAAGAACTTAGTAAACAAATGAAAATGTGTCCCTACACCTATTAAAAGATACACTCTTGACCAGGGGTGGTGGCTTAGGCCTGTAATCCCAGCACTTTGAGAAGCCAAGTCAGGTGGATTGCTTGAGCCCAGGAGTTCAAAACCAGCCTAGGCAACATGAGGAGACCCCCCCAACCTATAAAAAATTTTTAAAACTTAGCCGGCCATGGTAGCATGCACATGTTGTCCTAGCTACCTGGGATGCTGCAATGGGAGGATCACTTGAGTCTGAGTCTGGGAGGTCGAGGCTGCAGTGAGCCGTAATTGCACCACTGTACTCCAGCCTGGGTGACAGAGTGAGACCCTGTGTCAAAAAAAAAAAAAAGATAACTCTTCATTTTTAGGTTCCATATAATTTCCTTCACCATATAAACAGACTCTACTATCTTCCATTTAGATACATAAAGAAACAAGTCCCTCTCGATCACATATCTCCCTATATTTTTACTTCTGTGTTCCTTTAAACACAAAACCACTCAAATGAAAGGCCTGTATGTAATAGCTTTGCTTTCTCAATTTTCGATTACTTTAAAACTCACCCCCACATTTGCATCTGAAGAAAACATGTCACCTCAAAATATGCTTCTTTTTTTCACATCTGTATGAATCAAAACTGCCTCTTTGACATAAAAATTATTTTTGAGCTAAAGGCAATTAAGATGCAGTAGAGGAAAAGCTCTCTTTATCCAACCTCCTTTTCTGCCTAAAGACAGGCTATAAATTCTCCTTTGCTGGAGACCACTCTAGACTCTTACCAACCCAAACATGGCACCAGAGTGATTTGCAAACAAATTTTATCTGTTAGTTTCCTCCAATATATTTAACTTTCCTTAGAAGTCTAAAATTGCTTTTCTTTGTCTGTTCTCTACAAATGTATTGTTCTTTGTTGAAGATGCTGTATATGCTGTATAAGCCATTGATCTGAGTTACTTTTCATTGAAATTTCTCCCAGATGATGTGTGCTGTATGCATTAATTAAATTGTTTGTTTTTCTTTTGTTAATCTGTCTTTTGTTATAGGCATCCCAGCTAAGAACTACGAGGGGTTGAGGGAAAATTATTTTTCCTCCCCAATACCTCTGTTTCTATCAGTCCACTGAGTCAGTTTTTTAATGTCACCAATAATCCTCATGTGGCATAAGAAATGGTGCCCTTTCCATCCTTTTCTTCGAATTCTCTCAGCCGCTTGCCCACTCTCTCTTTCTGAACACACACTCCTCTTGGAGTCTGGACATTGCCGTCTTTGAGCTTTTCCTCTACCTCTCTTTTCTCATTTTTCAGACTTCCTTGCTTTCTTGCTGGCTCATCCTCTAGCTGATCTCTGAAGTCAGCATGCTATAGTACCTCTTTTCTTCTCTACATACATTCTCTCTCCAGCTGATCTCCTCATACCTTGAGGCTTAAAATACTATCTCTCTGTTGATGATTTCCAAACCTCTAGCCCAGACCTGTGCTTGAAGCTCCAGACCTGTAGATCCATGTGTAGTAGGCACTTCAAACTAAAATGTGCAGTGTGAGACTCTGGACTTTTCCTCCAATATCTACTTCTGCCCCAGTATTTTTCATCCCATCAGATAATATCACCATTCAACCCATTTGCTCAACTTACAAACTAGGAGTCAACCTTGATTTTCCACTTTCCTTTACTGCCAGTCTGCAATGACTAGTTTAACACTACATCCTGTTGGTCTGTCTCTAAAACAGATCCCAAATTGTTCCACTTTTCTCCACCTCCACCACCCCACCCTAATCTTAGCTACTGTCTTCTCACTTATATTATTTATTCAGTAGCCTCCTAAGTGGCCTCTCTGATCTTTCCCCTTCCAATCCATTTCACTACACAGCAGCCAGAGTGATCCTTTAAATCTGTAAATCACAACATTTACTCTTCTCTTAATAACATCAGTAGCTTTCCATCACACTTAGAATAGAATCCAAACTCCTTATCATGGCTTGAAAGGCCTCACAGGATCTGGACCGTCTACCTTGCTGACCTCTTGCTCACTGTATCCAGTCATTCAGGACTCCTTACTTTTCTATCTTAGCACATACCATTCCCTTGGCCCCCAGGCTTTTCCCTGCCTCTTCTTGTGGCTCTATGTTTCTCAGCCCCAGTATCATCCCTCAGCAAGGCTTTTCCTGGCCAGGCAGTCTGTAGTAGCCTTTACCACACTGCATCCCCACCACCCCATTACTTTCTATTTCCTCATTTGCTTTTGTTCTCCTATAAAACTTACCAAGAATTCAAAATTATCACATTTGTTTGTTAGCTTATGATATTGTTTGGCTCTGTGTCCCCACCCAAATCTCATCTGAAATTGTAATCCCCATGTGTCCAGGGAGGGAAGTGATTGGATCAAGGGGGCAGTTTTCCCCATGCTGTTCTCGTGATGGGGAATGAGTTTTCATGAGATCTGATGGTATTATAAGTGCCTGGCATTTCCCCTGCTTGCACTCACTCTCTCTCCTGACACCATGTGAAGAAGGATGTATTTGCTTCCCCTTCTGCCATGATTTTAAGTTTCCTGAGGCTTCCCAGCCATGTGGAACTATGAATTAATTGAAGCTCTTTTCTTTATAAATTACCCAGTCTCAAGTATTTCTTTATAGCAGTGTGAAAACGGACTAATACAGCATATTTGTCTTCATCCCAGCCAGCCTTCTTTTCTACCATTATAAGAGCCCCTTGAAGGGAGAGACTTTCCAATTCCATGCACTGGCACCATTCCAGCTCCGTGGGCACAATTCATGTCATGATCATGTGAATAGAGGTCCCTAAGGCTCCCAGCCTTGTTCTACTTTGTTCACAGCCATATCTCCCAAGCACCTAGCATAGTACCTGGCACATGACTGGTGCTCAACAAGAATTTGATGAATGAATGAAAGAATGAAAGGGTGCATATCTTGGATTCTGTGCCACTAAGAAACTTAAACTCGTAAAGACTATTAGAACCAAGAGCATCAGCACGACATATAAATATTGATGAGTTTCTCAGCCCCACATGCTTTTTTAGTAGTGTGCTCTGATCTTTGAGCTGTAACCAAATATATCAATATGCATAGATCCTGTCCTTATCTTTGTCATAGACACTGTCCTTCAATCTTGTCTACTATCTTTGATTAGTCAACCCTGGCCCTTTGCAACCTAGCCTCACTCCTCATTCTCCTATGACTTCATCTCCTATTTCCCATTGAAATTGGAGCCAAGGGAATAACTCCCTTGATTTACTCTACCAAACCTTCCGGACTGTCAAAATCTACACAAGATGGTCTCTCTTCCTTCCCTGCCATTAGGCAGAAGAGGTGTTCATGTTCTTATCAAAGATTAATCCATCTGTGCCCACATCCCATTTCCTCCTATTCTCAATAGATTCTCCAGTGTTTTCTCCTGCATCTTTAAACTCTCTCCTTGACCCAGAGGCTTCTTATCTGCACTTAAATGTGCTCAAGTCTTTCCCATCATTTGAGAGGCTAGAGAAGAAGTCAGAAAGCCCTCCTCAGACTTTACTGTCTCCTTTGCTGTTGTCCTTCCCTTCACAGTCAAACTTCTCCAAAAAATTTTAAGCATTGTCTATACTTACTGTCTCCATTTCCTCTTACTGTTTTACTATATTTAATTTTTTTATTTTTAATTTTTGTGGGTACATAGTAGGTGTATATATTTATGGGGTACATGAGATATTTTGATACAGGCATGAAGTATGTAATGATAACATGGAAAATGAGGTATCCATCTCCTCAAGCATTTATCCTTCGTGTTACAAACCATCCAATTATACTCTTTTAGCTATTTTTAAAATGTACAATTTAGTCATTATTGACTTTAGTCATGCTGTTGTGCTGTCAAATAGTAGGTCTCATTCATTCATCCTTTTTTTTTTTTTTTTTTTTTTTTTGAGATGTAGTCTCACTCTGTTGCCCAGGCTGGAGAGCAGTGGAACAACTCTGGCTCACTGCAACCTCAGCCTCCTGGGCTCAAGCCATGCTGCCACCTAAGCTTCTTGAGTAGCTGGGACCACGGTGCACACCATCATGCCTGGCTAATTTTTTGTAGAGATGGGGTTTCACCATGTTGCCCAGGTTTGTCTTGAACCCCTGAGCTCAAGTAATCCACCCATCTTGGCCTCCCAAAGTGCTGAGATTATAGGCGTGAGCCACCGCTCCTGGCCTTCTCCATTCTTTCTATTTTTTTGTGTGTCCATTAACTATCTCCGCCTCCCCTCTCACCACGCCCCCAACCCCAGCCACTACCCTTCCCAGTCTCTCGTAACAAACCTTCTATTCATGGACTCTGTGTCCATGAGTTCAATTGTTTTGATTTTTGTATCCCACAAGTAAGTGAGAACATGCAATGTTTGTCTTTCTATGCCTGGCTTATTTCACTTAAGATAATGACCTCCAGTTCCATCCACATTATTGCAAATGACAGGATTTCATTCTTTTTTTTTTATGGTTGAATAATACTCCATTGTGCGTATGTACCACATTTTCTTTATCCATGCATCTGTTGATGGACACTTAGGTTGCTTCCAAATCTTGGCTTTTGTGAACAGTGCTGCAACAAACACAGGATTCTGCAGACATCTATTCAATATACTGATTGCCTTTCTTTTGGGTATATACCCAGCAGTGGGATTACTGGATCATATGGTAGCTCTATTTTTAGTTTTTTGAGGAACCTCCAAACTGTTCTCCATAGTGGTTGTACTAATTTACATTCCCACCCAGAGTGTATGAGGGTTCCCTTTTCTCCACATTTCACCAGCATTTGTTTTTGCTTGTCTTTTGGATATAAGCCATTTTAACTGGGGTGAGATGATATCTCATCATAGTTTTGATTTGTATTTCTCTGATGCTCAGTGATATTGAGCACCTTTTCATATGCCTGTTTGACATTTGTATATCTTCTTTTGAGAAATGTCTATTCAAATTTTTTGCCCGTTTTTTGATTGGGTTATTAGTTTTTTCCTATGGAGTTGTTTGAGCTGATTTTATATTCTAGTTATTAATCCCTTGTCAGAAGGGTAGTTTGCAAATATTTTCTCCCATTCAGTGAGTTGTCTTTTCACTTTGTTGATTGTTTCCTTTGCTGTGCAGAAGCTTTTGAACTTGATGTGATACCATTTGTCCATTTTTGCTCTGGTTGCTTGTGCCTGTGGGGTATTTCTCAAAAAATTTTTGCCCAGACAATTGTCCTGGAGAGTTTACACAATGTTTTCTTGTCATAGTTTCATAGTATGAGGCCTTATATGTAAGTCTTTTTTTTTTTTTTTTTTGAGACAGAGTCTTGCTCTGTCACCCAAGCTGGAGTACAGTGGTATAGTCTTGGCTCACTGTAACATCTGCCTCCTGGGTTCAAGTGATTCTTGTGTCTCAGCCTCCTGAGTAGCTGAGATTACAGGTGTGCACCACCACAATTGGCTAATTTTTGTATTTTTGATAGAGATGGGGTTTTGCTATTTTGGCCAGCCTGGTCTCAAACTTCTGGCCTCAAGCACACCTCCTGCCTTGGCCTCCCAAAGTGCTGGGATTACTGGTGTGAGCCACCATGCCTGACCAGATTTAAGTCTTTAATCCATTTTGATATGATTTTTGTATATGGTGAGAGACAGAGGTCTAGTTTTTCTGCATATGGATATTCACTTTTCCAAGGATTATTGAAGAGACTATCTTTTCCCCAATGTATGTTCTTGGCACCTTTGTCAAAAATGAGTTCACTGTAATGTGTGAATTTGTTTCTGGGTTCTCTATTCTGTTCCATTGGTCTATGTGTCTGTTTTTATGCCAGTACCATGCTATTTTGGTTACTATAGCTCTGTATAATAATTTGAAGTCAGGTAATGTGACTCCTCCAGTTTTGTTCTTTTTGCTTAGGATAGATTTGGCTATTCTGTGTCTGTTGTGGTTCCACATAAGTTTTAGGATTTTTTTCTATTTCTGTGAAGAATGTCATTGGTATTTTGATAGGGATTGCATTAAATCTGTAGGTGGCTTTGGGTAGTATGGACATTTTATTTTATTTATTTTTTTGAGATGGAGTCTTGCTCTGTCACCCAGGCTGAAGTGTAGTGGCATGATCTTGGCTCACTGCAACCTCCGCCTCCCGGGTTCAAGCAATTCTCCTGTCTCAGCCTCCCAAGTAGTTGGGACTACAGGCACCTGCCACCACGCCCAGCTACTTTTTGTATTTTCAGTAGAGACGAGGTTTCATCATATTGGTCAGGCTGGTCTCGAATTCCTGACCTTAGGTGATCCACCTGCCTTGGCCTCCCAAAGTGTTGGGATTACAGGCGTGAGCCACCGTGCCCGGCCAGACATTTTAACGCCTTTTTTTTTTTCCAATCCATGAACATGAACACCATTTTTTGGTGTCCTCTTCAATTTCTTTCATTCAATGTTTTATAGTTTTCATTATAGAGATCTTTCACTTCTTTGGTCAAGTTAATTTCTAGGTATTTGATTTCATTTGTGGCTATTGTAAATGAGATTTCTTGATTTCTTCTTCAGATTATTCACTGTTGGCATATAGAAGTGCTCCTGATTTTTGTGTGTTGATTTTATATCCTATAACTTTACTGAATTTATCATTTCTAATAGTTTTTTGGTAGAGTCTTTAGGTTTTTCTAAATATAAGATTATATCATCTGCAAACAAGGATAATTTGACTTCTCCGATGCCAATTTGGATGCCTTTTATTTCTTCTCTTATTGGGTTGCTCTAGCTAGGACTTCCAGTATGATGTTGAATAACAGTGGTAACAGTGGGCATTCTTGTTGTGTTCCACATCTTACAGGAAAGGCTTTCAGTTGTTCCCCATTCAGTGTGATACTAGCTGTGGGTCTATTGTATATGGCTTTTATTATGTTGAGGTATGTTTCTTCTATATATAGCTTTTTAAGGGTTTTTTTAATCAGGAAAGAATGTTAAATTGTATCAAATGCTTTTTCAGCATCAATTGAAATGATCATATAGTTTTTATCCTTCGTTCTGTTGATGTGGTGAGTCACATTTATTGATCGGTATATGATGAATCATCTTTGCATCCCATGGATAAATTCTAGTTAGTCATGATGAATGATTTTTAAAATGTATTGTTGAATTCTCTTTGCTAGTATTTTGCTGAGGATTTTTGCATCAATGTCTGTCAGAGATACTGGCCTGTAGTTTTCTTTTTCTTGTTGCGTCTTTGTCTGGTTTTGGTCTCAGGGTAACACCGGCCTCATAGAATGAGTCTGGCAGTATTCCCTCCTCTTCTATTTTTCAGAATACTTAGATTAGGATTGATATTAGTTTTTCTTTAAATGTTTGGTAGAATTCAGCTGTGAAGTCATTGGGTCCCAGGCTTTTCTTTACTGAGATACTTTTTGTTATGGCTTTGATCTCGTTACTTGTTATTTGTCTGTTCAGGTTTTAGATTTCTTTATGGTTCAATCCTGGTAGGTTGTGTGTATCTACATATGTGTCCATTTCTTCTAGCTTTTTCAATTTATTTGCATATAGTTGCTCAAAATAGCCACTCATGATCCTTTGAAATTCTGTACTATCAGTTGTAATGTCTCCTTTTTCGCCTCTGATTTTGTTTGTTTGGGTCTTCTCCCTGTTTTTCTTAGTCTGTCAATTTACTTTAACTTTTCAAAGATCAGCTTTTTGTTTCATTGATCCTTTGCAGTGTTTTCTTCATTTAAAAATTATTTATTTCTGCTCTGATCTTTATTTATTTTCTTCTACTAGTTTTGGGTTTGTTTTGCTCTTGCTTTCCTAATTCTTTGAGGTGCATTGCTAGATTGTTTATCTGAAGTTTTTCTTTTTTTTATGTATGCATTAATAGGTATAAACTTCCCTCTTAGTACTGCTTTTGCTATATTCCATAGGTTTTGGTATGTTGTGTTTCCATTATCATTTGTTTCAAGAAAATGTTCAATTTTCTTAATTTCTTCATTGACCCACTGGTAATTCTGGAGCATATTGTTTAATTTTCATGTGTTTGCATAGTTTCCAAAATTCTTCTTGTTATTGATTTCTAGTTTTATTCCTTTGTGGTCAGAGAATATGCTTGATATTATTTTAATGTTTTGAATGTTTTAAGACTTGTTTTTGTTTTTGAGACAGAGTTTCGCTCTGTCGCCCATGCTGGAGTGCAGTGGCATGATCTTGGCTCACTGCAACCTCTGCTTCCTGGGTTCAAGTGATTCTCCTGCCTCAGCCTCCCAAGTAGCTGGGATTACAGGCATGCACCACCATGCCCAGCT
This sequence comes from Homo sapiens, assembly GCF_000001405.40. Taxonomy (NCBI): domain Eukaryota; kingdom Metazoa; phylum Chordata; class Mammalia; order Primates; family Hominidae; genus Homo; species Homo sapiens. Next base: position 52,970,184 of record NC_000014.9, read on the forward strand.
AATTTTTTGTATTTTTAGTAGAGATGGGGTTTCACCATGTTGGGCAGACTGGCCTTGAACTCCTGGCCTCAAGTAATCTGCCTGCCTCGGACTCCCAAAGTGCTGGGATTACAGGCATGAGCCACCGCACCCAGCCCAAGACTTGTTTTTTTGATCTAATGTATGGTCTATCCTTAAGAATGATTAATGTGCTGAGGAAAACAATGTGTATTCTGCAGCCATTGGATGAAATGCTCTGTAAATATCTATTTGATCCATTTGGTCTATAGTGCAGATTAAGTCTGATGTTTTCCTTGTTGATTTTCTGCTGGGATGATCTAGCCAATGCTGAAGGCGGGGTATTGAAGTCCAGCTATTATTGTATTGGGGTCTATCTCTCTTTTTAGCTCTGATAATATTTCCTTTATATATATGAGTACTCTAGTGTTGGGTGCATAGATATTTACATTTGTTATATTCTCTTGCTGAATTGACCTCTTTATTATTACATAGTGACCTCATTTGTCTCTTCATATAGTTTTTATCTTGAAATCTATTTTGTCTGTTGTAACTATAGGTACTCCTGCTCTTTTTGGTTTCCATTGGCATGGAATATCTTTTTCCCTTTCTTCATCAGTCTATGTGTGCCTTTATAGGTAAAGTGTGTTTCTTGTAGGCAACACATCAATGAGTCTCATTTTTTTATTTATTTAGCTATTCTGTGTCTTCTGATTGGAGAGTTTAGTCCATTTATATTCCCTGTTATTACTGATAAGTAAGACTTACTCCTGCCATTTTGTTATTTGTTTTCTGGTTGTTTTGTGGTCTTCTGTCCTTCTTTCTTTCCTTCTTGTCTTTCTTTAGTGAAAGTAATTTTCTCTGGAGATATGATTTAGTTTCTTGCTTTTTATTTTTTGTGTATTTGTTGTATCCTTTTTTGTTTGAGGTTACCATGAGGCTTGCAAATACTATCTGATAACCCATTATTTTCAGCTGATAACAACCTAACACTGTTAGCATAAGCAAACAAACAAGCAAAAAGAAAACTAATAAAAACTCTATCCATTAATTGCATCCCCCCACTTTTTAATTTTTGTTGTTTCTATTTATAACTTATTGTACTGTCTATGCCTTGAAACATTGTTGTAGTTCTTGTTTTTAACTAGTTCATTATTTGGTCTTTCTACTTACGATAAGAATAGTTTATGTATCACAGTTGCAGTGTTATAACTTTCTGTATTTTTCTTTTTTTTTTTTTTTGAGCCGGAGTCTTGCTCTGTCGCCCAGGCTGGAGTGCAGTGGCGTGATCTTGGCTCACTGCAAGCTCTGCCTCCCGGGTTCACACCATTCTCCTGCCTCAGCCTCTGGAGTAGCTGGGACTACAGGTGGCCGCTACCACGCCTGGCTAATTTTTTGTAATTTTTAGTAGAGATGGGGTTTCACCGTGTTAGCCAGGATGGTCTCGATCTCCTGACCTCATGATCCACCTGCCTCGGCCTCCCAAAGTGCTGGGATTACAGGCGTGAGCCACCACGCCCGGCGTCTTTCTGTGTTTTTCTATGTGCTTATTATTACCAGTGAGTTTTGTACCTTCCGGTGATTTCATATTGCTCATTAATGTCCTTTTCTTTTCGATTGAAGAACTCCCTTTAACATTTCTTGTAGAACAGGTTTAGTGTTGATGAAATCCCTCAGCTTTGTTTGTCTGGGAAAGTCTTTATTTCTCCTTCATGCTCGAAGGATATTTTTACTGGATATACTATTCTAAGGTAAAGTTTTATTCCTTCAGCACTTTAAATATGTCTTGCCACTCTATCCTGGCCTGTAATGTTTCCACTGAAAAGTCTGCTGCCAGATGTATTGGAATTCCATTGTATGTTATTTATTTCTCTTCTCTTGTTGCTTTTGGAATACTTTCTCTATCCTTGATCTTTGGAAGTTTGATTATTAAATGATTTGAAGTAATCTTCTTTAGGGTAAATCTGCTTGGTGTTCTAGAACCTCTTATACTTAGATATTGATATCTTTCCCTAGGTTTTGGAAATTCTCTGTTATTATCCCTTTGAATAAACTTTCTACCTCTATCTCTTTCTCTTCCTCCTCTTTAAGGCCCATAACTCTTAGATTTGCCCCTTTGAGGCTATTTTCTAGATCCTGTGGATGGGCTTCATTGTTCTTTATTCTTTTTTCTTTTGTCTCCTCTGGCCGTATATTTTCAAATAGTCTGTCTTCAGGCTCACTAATTCTTTCTTCTGTTTGAACAATTCTACTATTAAAAGACTCTGATGCATTCTTCAGTATGCCAATTGCATTTTTCAGCTCCAGAATTTCTGCTTGATTCTTTTTAATTATTTCAATCTCTGTAAATTTATTTGATAGAATTCTGAATTGCTTCTCTGTGTTGTCTTGAATTTATTTGAGTTTCCTCAAAACAGCTATTTTGAATTTTCTGTCTGAAATGCCATATATTTATTTCTGTTTCTCCAGGATCAGTCCCTGGCGCCTTATTTAGTTCACTTGGTAAGGTCATGTTTCCCTGGAATATCTTGATCCTTGTAGATATTCATCTGTGCCTAGGCATTGAAGAATTAGGTATTTATTGTAGTCTTCACTGTCTGGGCTTGTTTGTACCCATCCTTCTTGGGAAAGGTTTCCAGATATTTCAAAAGACTTGAGTGTTGTGATCTAAGCTGTATCTGCTTTAGGGGGCACCTCAAGGTCAGCAAAGCTGTGGTTCTTGCAGACTTGTACACGTACCACGTTGATGGTCTTTGATAAGATCTGGGAGAATTATTTGGATTTCCAGGCGTAGACTCTTGTTCTCTTCCCTTATTTTCTCCCAAACAAATGGAGTCTCTATCTCTCTGTCCTGAGCCACCTGATGCTGGAGGTGGAGTTACACAAGCACCCCTGTGGCCACCATCACTCTGACTGTTTGGGTCAGATCTAAAGCCTGCAATGCACTTGGTCTTACCCAAGGCCTGCTGTAATCACTCCCTGACCACTGACTATGTTTGCTCAAGAACTTGGGGCTCTACAATAAGCAGGTGGCAAATCTAACTAGGCCTGTGTCCTTCCCTTTATGGTGGTGAGTTAGCCCAGTCTCAGGGCAGGTCCAGTGGTGCCATCTAGGAACCAGAGATTAGAGTCAAAAACCTCGGAAGTCTACCTGGTGTTCTATTATACTGTAGCTGAGCTGACACTCAAACCACAGATGCAGTCTTCCCACTCTTCCCTCTCTTCCCTCCCCTTTTCCAAAGGCACAGGAGCCTCACCCTGTGGCCATCACCACCACAGGCCCACGAGGAGTACTGCCAGACTACTGCGGGTATTCTCTTATGGTACAAGGGCTCTTCAGTCATCTTGTGGTGAAAACTACCTGGCCTGGGGCTCATCATTCAGAGCAGTGAGCTCCCCTCTGGCCCAGGGCAGGTCCAGAAATGATTTCAAAGAGCCAAGTTTTAGAATCAGGGACTCCAAGAACCTACTTGGTACCCTACTATACTGTGGCCGAGCTGGTACCTAAGATGCAAGACCAAGTCCCCTTTACTTTTCCCTCTGCTTTTGTCAAGAAGAAGGAGTCTCGCCCATAACCACCACAGCCAGGAATGTCCTGAGTCTCACCTGAAGCCAGCAAATCTCAGAGGCTCACCCAAGGCTCTCGACATAGTACTTGGGTAGTGCTGCTGGTTATTCAGGGATCAAGGGCTCTTCAGTTAGCAGGTGATGAATTCTGTCAGGACTGGGTCCTTTTCTTCAAGGCAGCAGGTTCTCTTCTGGCCCAAGACATGTCTAGAAATGTCATCTGGGAACTAAGTCCTAGGAAGAGGTCTTCACAACTCTGACTGGTTCCCTCTCCTGCTGTGGCTGAGCTGGTATTCAAGATGCAAGACAAAATCCTCAACACTCTTCCCTCTCCTCTCCTCAAGTGGAAGGAAGGTGTCTCTTTTGGAGCTGTGAACCGTGCAGCCTGGTGTGAGGGGAGGGGTGATGCCAGCATTCCATTAGATGCTCAGGCTGGTGTCTCAGTAGGTTGCATCACCCCATCCAGTGGTTCTGGGCCCAGTTTAGCACTAGCACTCACGTAAAAGTTGCAGTTCTTGTGGCCTAGACTGCATTTCCAGATTATTAAGAGCCCCAGAACACTAGCTTCTGATGGTGTTTGCAGGGATTGGCAATTCCCCTTCGGCTAAGGCTGATTTAAATGCTCCCTCTGTAGGTGGGCATCAGCTGAGTTTGGTCCAGTTTTCCTTTCTGAATTTTAGTTTTTATAAAGGTGTTTTATTGTATAAATAGTTGTTAAATTTGTGTCCTTGTGGAGTTGAAGGGGGCAGGGAGGATGATCAGTGGAGACATTTATTCCACCATCTTGCTCCACTGTCTTATGATTGAACTCATTTCTTCATTGTTTGTTTATACCTCCTTACTCCACTGAAATGACTCATGTTGTGGTTTAAATTATCTCCATGTCACTAAATTGAAAGGACATTTTAAATCCTCATCTTTCTTGATTTCTTGGCAGTTTTTGACACTGGTAACCACTTCTTCCTTGCAACATTTCTCTTGCCTTCTGTGTCACCATATTTTCCTGGTTCTACTTTGCTTCTCCTCAGACTCCTTTGCTGGGTTATCTTTATCATCATGATCATGATTAGGTAGAGTCTTTGAGGCTCTATCTGAACATCCTTCTTTTATTCAAGGATCTCCTTCTAGGAGTTTCATCCACCACAAAATCCTGTTGTTACACTGAAGAAACAGTGTCTGTCCCACCCACTCTCCTTCTCTTGTTTTTTATTTGTTTGTTTGTTTTTGTCTTGAGGCAGGGTCTCACTCTATTGCCCAGGCTAGAGTGCAATGGTGTGATCACAACTCACTGCAGCCTCAACCTCCTGAGCCCAAGCAATCCTTCTACCTCAGCCTCCAAAGTATCTGGGACCACAGGCCTATGCTACCATACCCAGCTAATTTTTAAATTTTTTGTAGAGATGGGGTCTCCTATGTTGTCCAGAGTTGTCTCAAACTCCTGGGCTCAAGCAATCCTCCCCAGTCAGCCTCCCAAAGTATTGGGATTATAGATGTGAGCCACTGTGCCCAGTGGCTTGTTTTATCCTTAACACTTACCAGTGTGTGGCACAAAATTAGACGCCTGATAAATGTGTGTTGAATGAGTGACTGAATGAATGGCTAGTACCCTTTCATTTATGACTTGCTCAAGGATTATCTGATAAATTCTCATGTTTTCAATCATCTTTGTGCCATCTACTTTTGACATTTTTATTTTACATTTCTTCTAGTCTTCTCCTTCCTTTCATAAAGTTTACTTTTTTCATTTCATCTTTGGGACAGTGGCATTCTCCATGTAATACCACAGACTACTCTCCCTTAATTTTATCTGAGTTTAGCTTTTAAAGTATATCCCTTCCTACCAAAACATTAATCTTAATATTCTAACTATAGGAAAGTCTCCTTTTATAACAGGACTTTGTATTTTCAAGCCACAATATTCCTTGACATCCATCCTTGAAGCCTATAAAGGCCTTTAATTGCAGGCTTCTATTGCCCTTTTCACTTTTGAAGCAGGTGAACATATGAAAACATACTCAATAACTGCATCTCTGAGATTTAATCGCTCCTCATAAATGTTTTTTTAGTGTGTGAGAAAATGGAAAAGAAGGCACTTCCTCCCTTTCCCCATAACTTTAAGTCTCTGTCCATTCATTGCCTGCAACAATGGAGGAGTTACTAATTTTATTGTTTAGAGCCCAGATTATCAGTTGGGATAGCATTGTTAATCGGCAGGATTACTGTACCCTAAAGTTTGTGCCTATAGACAGTCTGTTGTCTTGTGGTAAGTATCCTATACCTGGGGCAGGCTCAACACCTTCCTCCCTTCCATTCCATTTGGCTTCCAGGGTCTCAGGACCCTTTTATTTGGGCAAAAGAAATGAGATCTTGCCTGCACTTTCAGCAGAAACTACATTCTCCAATCCAGGTAGGGGCCACTTCCCTCTCTGTGGGAGTATCAAGTGCTTGCTCAGCTATTAATGAAGTAGAATGTTGTTTTGCATTTTGGGTTTTCTTTTCACGTGGCTAGAGCCAATTGAGTAGGAAGGATGCTTGGCAGTGCAGGATCTGGGCATTTCTGGGTCTCTTGTTTTAATATGCTCAAAATAAGAGTATAAACTTTAACCTCCAACCTCTAATAACACACTTGTTTCTTTAGGAACTCTGAATCGTAATTTCAGAGCTTATGCCATAAGGGTTTCGCTTCTTGGCAGAATCTTTAAAATAAATAATAGAAAAGTCTCAATAAGTCTCCCAGTCTGTCTCCTCCAAACCAGAACAGGATCATTTCCTACATTAGGTCCAGCTAATGTTTTATCTGATTTAATTTTTAATATTTTGGATGATGACTTTCACAATTTCCCTGAGGAGGCCCTTTCATAATTTAATATTTATCTTCCAGACAGGGAGTGTTTCCAGTAATCAACCTAAATTTTTAAATTTCATTTTGTTCTCTTGGAGATTAAATATTTCCTCTCTGTGAAAAGTTAAAATTTTCAAATATGGCATTAATATACCAAACAATTCCCCAGTATGCAATCTATTTCTTTAGTCTCCTCAAAGAAATTAATAGTTCTAACCATTTGTTATTGTTCTTCAGAGATGGGGTCTTGTGATTTTGCCCAGGCTGGTCTTGAACCTTTGGGCTCAAACTCAAGCAATCACCTAACCTTGGCCTCCTGAGTATCTGAGGTTGCAGGTGTGAATCACCATGCCCGATCCTAGCCATTTATTTCTATTGCTTTTCTGAATACAGATCATTTTCTTCTATCCTTTTATCATCTATATGAACTAAATTTTCTACTTGTGGTCTCCTTTTTAAAACAAAACTGTCTATTTTTTACTTTTTTGTGACAAAATGCACACAACATAAAATTTACCGTTTTAACTTTTTTGTTGTTCTAGCTTTTTATAATTAAAATTTTTAAACATTTACAAAAGCTGAAAAAATACTATATTATTCAACTTGAACAATTATTAATATATGGCCAGTCTTTTTAACTTATTTTAACTTTCTTTCTTTTATTTTTTTGAGACAGGGTCTTGCTCTGTTGCCTAGGATGGAGTGCAGTAGCCCAATTACAGCTCACTGCAGCCTCAACCTCCCTGAGCTCAAGCGATTCTCCTGCCTTAGCCTCCCAAGTAGCTGAAACTACAGGCCCATGCCACCACGCCTGGTTGATTTTTGTACTTTCTATAGAGGGAGGATTTTGCCATGTTACCCAGGCTGGTCTCAAACTCCTGAGATTAAACAAACCACCTGCCTCGGCCTCCCAAAGTGCTGGGATTACAGGTGTGAGCCACCACACCCAGCCAATAAGCATTTTAACCATTTTTGAATGTACATTTCAGTGGCATTAAGTACATTCACATTGTTGTGCCATCATCACCAGTCTCCAACTCCAGAGTCTTTCATCTTCCCAAACTGAAACTCTATTCTATTAAACTCTATTCTAGTAAAGTCCTCATTCTCCCAACCCCAGTTCCAGTGGTAAGTAGAACCACTATTCTATTTTCTGCTGCAATGAATTTGACTATTTTAAGTACTTTGTCTAAGTTCATTCTTGTTTTTTCAAAAGAAATAACACTTCGGAACTGTAACATGTAGTAATTTTAGATGACAAAAATAACAATAACCTTATTACAGCTGTATTGATTCAAGGATGATATGAAAAATATTGAACAACTGGCATGACAGGGGCACTGGGCAATTGGAACGAAGCCCAGCCCAGTCAGAGTGGATGATTGATGGACCAGACCAGAGCGCACAGCTGCACAGCAATGCTTTATCTATTACATAACTCACCCTAATGCTGCTATTTGCTTTGTGGCATTTTTAGATATTTTCTTTTCATTTAATAGTTGTGCAGCTGGCTTTATTGGCTCACTGGATTTTTTGCAGACCTAGTGAAATTATAAATTCCTTAAAGCACTTGGGGGAGAGAAATACAATATATATATATCTATATATGTCTACATATATCTCAAGGAGAATGCTGTCAGTGGCAAGCCACAGAAAACTCCATTGAAGTAGTCCCATGGATGACAGAATTGAAAACTTGGCATAAAAAGCATTTCGATCTATAAATTCTAACAGGAGTTAAAAGTTAGAATTTATGGTGATAAGCAAAAGAAACACATTTTTACAAAAGCTCCTAAGAGATAGTAGCCTGGGGGAAAGTCAGAGTACAATTTTCAAAGCGTGACTTTCATATAAATATATAGTGAACACATGTTAAAAATTTATTTAACTCATTAATGAGTAAAGCAGCAGAATGGTTCAGTTGATTTGAAGAGAATCTAGAAAGCTGATCTATAGGATTGGTGAAAAAGAAAAGACTCCTGGAAGAAGATGGCAAAATTAGATATAAAACTGGTAAATGTCCTACAGGGCAATAAAGTCATAACCTTTGAGGTTATCTTATTAACTGGACAAAAATCATTATCAGTTTTTTACAAGGTAATATTGAACTTTACAGAGTCCAGGCTCTAATCATCAGTAAATGGTAAATCAAACAAGATTATATTTTCTAGAGAATCTAGAGTCTTAGGCAGGTGTGTTAGATAATGATCTATTATGATATTGAAAGGCCATACAGTACTTTCTATTTGCAAGTTTTGGACTTTTTTTTAAAAAGAAAGTGTATAGCGGCTGGGCGCAGTGGCTTACACCTGTAATCCCAGCACTTTGGGAGGCCGAGGTGGGCGGATCACCTGAGGTCAGGAGTTCGAGACCAGCCTGGCCAACATGGTGAAACCCCGTCTCTACTAAAAATACAAAAATTAGCTGGCCGTGGTGATAGGCGCCTGTAATCCCAGCTACTTGGGAGGCTGAGACAGGAGAATCGCTTGAAACCGAGAGGCGGTGGTTGCAGTGAGCCGGGATCGTGCCATTGCACTCCAGCCTGGGGGACAAGAGCGAGACTTAGTCTCAAAAAAAAAAAAGGTGTATAGAAAACATGGTTCCTCAAATGTCCCCACTATTATTACTGAAGACATGTTGCCTTGGTGGAAAATTCTTCCTCCCAGAATGAAGTCCCTATAGGTTGGGAGAAGACCTGAATGAAGGCTGACCAAATTTTTTGTACCTCTAATCATGTTGGCCAGAAACTCCAGCATTAGACAGTTACAAAATCTAACCTTAGACAGTTATATTATCTGCCTTTAACGAGTCATGGCATCTAGATCTAACATTCGGGTACCAGATATAATTTCTTGCTATGCTACCAGTGCCATGGAAATACCACAAAAACAGTGCTACAAACACCCACGTATCCTTGGCTTAGATTCACTAATCGTTAACATTTTATACATTTGTTTTTATCTCTTTTTTCACACTCCCATAAATATATTTTCCTGAATCATTTGAACATTAGAGTATATATCATGAAATTTCACTTCTAAACACTATACTGTGTACTAAAAACAAGGACTTTGTTTTGTAGTGGATGCTACAAAACTCTACCCAGATCCCCTTTCAGGAATGAAGAGCTCATTCTCCCGTATTTTTTGGAGTATCACCAGCAGACTGCCCTTAGCTTCTTTGGAAATTGTCTTGGCTGAAGAGACTCTGAGCCCAAGCTCACACCCCACCTCCCCATCAGGGCCATCTGCATCCAATGACTGACGTGCAGGTCTAAAGGCCTGGGTTGCTTTCTTACTCCAGAAACCTGAAGGCCCAGACCAGCTTCAGCTCCCCAAGGTGCCGGCTGAGGCCTTTCTTGAGTCTGCTTTGCAGCCCAGACTTTCTCTCTGCCCAATTCTGCCTGGCTTTCTTCCAGTCTCTTTCACAGGTGTGTTGATCCCAAGAGCATTTCCTCATAAAATTCATGTACAACAATCTCCATTTTACAGTCTGCTTCTCAGGAATCCCACCTGTGCATTTGGTGCCAGAAGGAGCTTGAGATAGCTGAAACTATTATTGGTTTTAGTGAGTCATTCCAGAATCTTAGCATCATGACAATTAAAAAGATTTTCTCATGCTAGACCCAAAACTCTCCTGTTTCAACAGACTCTAAGATATATTAAATGAAAAAAGCAAGATACAGAATGTTGTATATCATGAGGTTCCATTTTCAAAAAACAAAATGGAGAAATACATTTACATATATGTTTACTTTTAATAGAATATCTTTGTAAGGAAATAAAAGAAGCATGTGACAGAGATTGCCTCTGGGAGAGAAGACTAGGGGCTTGGGAATAGAGGAAATAGAGGACTTTTTTTTATTGTAAGCTCTTCAATAATATTGTAATTTCTATCATGTACTGTATGACTGCCTTTTTTTTTTTAAGGAATGTAGGAAACACAGTAAAACAAAATGGTAGTGGTTGCTAATTCTGGATGGTAGAAATGTAGGTTTTGTTGTATTTTTTGTAGTTTATAAAATTAAAATTTCAAACACCAAAAGGCTACTTAAAAAAATTTTTTTTAGAGGCAGGGTCTTGCTCTGCTACCCAGGCTGAAGTGCAGTGGTGCAATCATAGCTCACTGCAGCCTCAAACTCCTGGGCTCAAGCAATCCTCCTGCTTCAGCCTCCCAAGTAGCTAGATCTACAGGTGCGTACCACTATACCTGGCTAATTTTTAATTTTTTTTGTAGAGACAGGGTTCTCGATACATTGCCCAAGCTGGTCTCAAGTGATCCTCCCATCTTGTCCTCCCAAAGTGCTGGGATTACAGGCATAAGCCACCAGCCCCAGCCCCATCTGTTTAAACTTAATTTATTTCTTATTGTGAATGAACAGCCATCCTACTTATTAAAACACTTCATTTATTTGAAAATAATAATCAAATAATTTCTTGGTTTTTTTTTTTTTTTTTTTTTTTAATTTGAGATGGAGTCTCACTCTGTCGTCCAGACTGGAGTACAGTGGCACAATCTTGGCTCACTGCAACCTCTGCCTCCCAGGTTCAAGTGATTCTCCTGCCTCTGCCTCCTGAGCAGCTGGGATTATAGGCACCTGCCACCATGCCCGGCTAATTTTTGTATTTTTAATAGAGACGGAGTTTCACCAGGTTGGCCAGGCTGGTCTCGAACTCCTGACCTCAAGTGATCCGCCTGCCTCAGCCTCCTACAGTGCTGGGATTACAGGTGTGAGCCACCGCACCTGGCCTTGAAAATAGTAATCAAATAATTTCTTAGCCTTTTCTTCTATAAGCTTAGAGAATGAGGATCAAATCAATAGATAATAAAGTATTACAACAAAAGTTTTAAGTATCTTAATTCCTTAATTTAAAGCAATAATTTATTGATCTGATCATCGTTGTCATTTTTTTTAGAACCTTAAGTACATTCATTATATCATTTTTCAGAGTACTTTTAGGTTCACAGCAAAATTTAGAGGAAAGTACAAAGATATCCCATATACCCTCCACCCCCACATATGCATACATTTCCCCATTAGCACATCCTCCACCAGAGTGCTACTTTTTTTTACAACTGATGAATCTACATTGATACACAATTATCACCCAATGTTTCTTGTTTACATTAGGGTTCATTCTTGGTGTTTTATATTCTATGGGTTCTGACAGATATATAATGACACGTATCCACCATTATAGTATCATCCAGGGTATTTTCACTGCCCTAAAAATCCTCTGCGTTCTGCCTGTTCATTACTCCCTCCCAGCTCCTCCCCACTAACCTTTGGCAACCACTGATCTTTTTATTGTCTCCATAGTTTTGCCCTTTCCAGAATGTCATGCAGTTGAAATCATAATATGTAACCTTTTCAGATTAGCTTCTTTGCATCTTAGCCTCCTGAGTAGCTGGGACTACAGGTGTGCACCACTACATCTTGCTAATTGTTTTTTTATTATTTGTAGAGATGAGGTCTCACTATGTTGCCCAGGGTGGTCTCAGACTTCTAGGTTCAAGCAATCCACTTGCCTCAGCCTCCCAAAGTGCTGGGATTACAGGCATCAGTCACCACACCTGGCTTCCACGTGTTTTCACGGCATGATAGCTCATTTCTTTTTAGCACTGAATAATATGCCATTGTCTGGATATACCACAGTTTATCTATTCACCTACTGAAGGACATCTTGGATGCTTCCAAGTTTTGGCAATTATGAATAAAGGTACTATAAGCAACTGTGTTCAGGTTTTTGTGTGGACGTAGTTTTCAGCTCCCTTGGGTAAATACCAAGGAGCTTGATTGTTGGATTGCATGGTAAGAGCATGTTTTGTTTTGTGAGACAACACCAAACTATCTTCCAGAGTCACCATTTTGCATTCCCACCAGCAGTGAATGAGAGTCCCTGTTGTTTCACACATGATATCTTTCCAAAGTATAATTATCGAAACTAGATATAATGCTGTCTACCAAAACCAAAATCTAAATAATGCACAGGACGGAGCTGATTTTTTATTAATTTTCCACCTTGTAGGATCATGTTTGGCTAATGCTCAGTAACATTTTTATTTAATGTCAGCATAATCTGAAATTTTGATTCATCTGTTGGGATTTTCTTGATTAAGAAAGTAAACAAAGTCTTCAAAACCATAGGCCTACTCTTAGCTTATTGCACAAGGCAGAGCAAAGAAAAGTACATCATCTGTGTGGGCAGGCAGAGGCATACGGAGAGAAAGTTCTGAGACAGGTAGACACATTCCTTTTTCAGAACTCAGCATCACATCAGCCAGGCCTCTTCTCAAGGCCAAAATGTGAGGGTGGAGGAGAGCTGTTATAGGGAGTAAATATATTAATACAGTAAAATATTAATAAGTATTAAATTGTGTTCTATTATATGTTATACTATAGTATATATTATTTTATATAATAGTTGTATGTTATAATTACGTTGCATATTATATTTAATATGTTAAATTACAGTATAAATTATATTAATAAAATCAATTTGTATTTATATATGTATAATTATCAACATATTAACAATTATACATTTATATTAATTACTAATATATTAAATGAATTTATACAGAGAAAGCACTTAAAAGAGAGCTAGAAGCTGGGTATGGTGGCTCATGCCTGTAATTCCAACACTTTGGGAAGCCAAGGTGGGAAGATTGCTTGAGCCCAGGGGTTCGAGACCAGCCTGGGCAAAATAGGGAGGCCCTTATCTCTACAAAAAATTTAAAAATTACCTGGGCATGGTGGTACATGCCTGTAGTCCCAGACACTCAGGAGGCCGAGGTGAGAGGATTGCTGGAGCCCAGGAGATTGAAGCTGAAGTGAGCTGTAATCACACCACTGCACTCCAGCCTGGGCAATAGAGCGAGACCCTGTCTCAAAAAAAAAAAAAAAAAAAAAAACAACAAAAAACAGAGTGCAAGAGCTAGGCATGTAGTATGCATTCAATAAATGTTGGGTATTCTTAATTATCTTTGTATCTCCAACACTTAGTGATATGGTTTGTCTCTGTGTCCCCACCCAAATCTCCTCTTGAATTGTACTCCCATAATTCCCATGAGTTATGGGAGGGACTTGGTGGGAGATAATTGAATCACGGGAGTGATTTCGTCCATACTGTTCTTGTGATAGTAAATAAGTCTTACAAGATCTGATGGTTTTATAAGGGATTTCTGCTTTTGCTTCTCTCTCATTCTCTTTTGCTGCTGCCATGTAAGAAGTGCATTTCACCTTCTGTCATGATTATGACACCTCCCCAGCCACATGGAACCGTGAGTCCGTTAAACCTATTTTTCTTCCCAGTCTTGGGTATGTCTTTATCAGCAGCATGAAAACAGACGAATACACTCATCATTGTGTAGCCATCATTTAACTATTTATTTGCTAGGGGTAGATTGTTTCTTTTTTCTTTTTTGCTTTTCTTTTTTTTTTTGAGATGGAGTCTCACTCTGTTGCCCAGGCTGGAGTGCAGTGGCGCGACCTCAGCTCACTGCAAGCTCCACCTCCTGGGTTCACGCCATTCTCCTGCCTCAGCCTCCCGAGTAGCTAGGACTACAGGTGCCCGCCACCATGCCCAGCTAATTTTTTGTAATTTTACTGGAGACGGGGTTTCATCGTGTTAGCCAGGATGGTCTCGATCTCCTGACCTTGTGATCCACCTGCCTCGGCCTCCCAAAGTGCTGGGATTACAGGCGTGAGCCACTGCGCCCGGCCAGAGGGTAAATTGTTTCTTATCCACTCCTCTGGTTTCTATGAGAAAGGATTTCCCCAACAAACTCAACCTCTGTTGCTGCCTCTTATTCCTCCCTATGGAGCTGGAGTAGGCCACTCAGCTAGTGAATATGGGAAAGGATCTTGAGGCTGGTGATGGTAGAAGCATAGCCTGGCCCCATTGTTTTCTCCTCCCTTGGACACACATTCTGTTCTTCCTCTTGGGGTGACTTCTATGGGAGCCCATCCAGTGGGCATGTATGTACAATTTCCAGCACAGTGGAGATTGGGTGAATGAGGCTGCCTGATTTGGGTTTTTATTGGGGATACGCGTGTTGCTGCACATCTAAGCCTCATTTTTCAAAAACTGTGTTGATTGTAAAACTGATATTTTGATCTTCATCTGATTCCTTCTGACATATCTTAACTCTCAATTGGTTCTAAACCCAGTCAGGGAAAAGAGAAGTCTTACTTATGGGTCCCCCACCTCAAACCTGAACATCATTTAACAAATATTTTTGTGGTAAGTGTTGTGGAAAAGACAGTTGAGATCTGAAGCATGAAGCAGAGTAAATGCTAAGAAGATATGGTAAGAATTTCCAGGTTGAAGGAGGAAGGCCCTGTGGTAGGGGGACATGCACATGTGAGATCTTGAAGGCAGGTTGGGGAGCTGGATGCAGAAGCGGGAGGATATGTGTCCACTGGGGGCTGATGTAGGCAGAGGGGCCACGTTTATCCTAAGGGCAGTGGAAAAGCCATGGGAGAACTTTGCATTGTGAATGATCACTTCGGCTGTTCTGAAGGAGACCAAAATGAATGTGGATAGACAAGTCAAATCTAGAGGATTTATGATCTCTTTGTGGCTTGAATTGACAGCAGTAGATGTGAAGAGGACAGATTTGAGAGATATTTAGGAGGCCAACTGAACCAAACTTTGTGATGGATTGGATGTGGGCAATAAAAAAGATGGAAATGTTACAGTAAGTCTTGGGCTTTCAGCTTGCATAACTGAGAGTATGGGAAGCACCGTTCAATGATATCAGGAGCAAAGGAAGACCAGGTGTTGAGAGAGAAAGAGCATGTGTTCAGTTCAGATATGTTGAGTCTGTGGTGCCTTTGAAACATCCAAGTGGAGAGACAGAGAGAGAGAGAGATGATATATATATGATATGATATATAGTAATATATATGATATATTGAGGCTGGTGGTGGTAGAAGGTGGTGAAATACGTATATGATATATTACTATATATAGTGTAAACTATTATATATATGCTAATTACACTATATTATTTACCCTATATATAATATATAATATACTATATATAATATATATAAACATATACATATATATATATTATATATAGTGTAAATTAAAGACCAGGATGTAGTGAGATGACCTTGGGAGAAAATGTAGCTAGATGGAGATGAGAAGGTGACCCAAGACTGAGCCACGGAGTTCTCTAACAAGTAGAGGTCAGATAGGGAGGAGTAACCCATAAGACAGACTTAATAGAAGCAGCCAGAGAGGTGAGAAGAAAGCAGGAGAGTGTGAAAGGCAAAACAAAGGATGTTTCCAGAGAATGTCTGTTGTACTGAATTGGATATCTAACAAATGGCTCTGCACCATCCATCCTAATCATTATCCCTGTTTATGCAGATTCTCAGAAATTGCTTTACTTTTTGCTTCCTACCTGCTTTAGTCTGTTTAGACTGCCATAGCAAAACCCCTTAGACTGGGTAATTTAAAAACTACAGAAATTTATTGCTCACAGTTCTAGAGGCTGGGAAGTCCAGGATCAAGGTGCCAGCAGATTTGGTGTCTGGTGAGGACCCATTTCTCATGGATGGTGCCTTCTTGTTGTGTCCTCAAGATGACAGAAGGGGCAATCTCCCTTGGGCCTCTTTTCTAAGGACACTGATCTCATTTGAGGAGGCAGATCCCTCATGACCTTATCACCTCCCAAAAGCCCCACCTCTTAGTACTATCACATTGGGGATTAAATTTCAACATGTGGATTTGGGAAGGACACAAACATTCAGACCACAGCACTATCTATGCTAGAAAATAACTTGCTTCACATTCTGTGTGCTCAGTGCTCACTAATGACAACTCCATCCAAATATCCTGGAAGTTTTTAGCATTACTTCCTCCACTTTGGGAAAGAGAATGAACTTCTGAGGCTTGTAGGCAGGGCCTCTCAGGGGCAAATAATAGGTGGAAAGCAATGCAAGCTCCAAAGCTTGGAAACCTGGTGGGCTGTACTAACTGACAGGCTAGAAATGGTAAAAGAAAATGGTTTGCAAACACTTTGTTTTGCATGTAAGAGTCTGAATTTTGTGAGCTGATGCAGCCCTAATATGATTTGGCTCTGTGTCCCCACCCAAATCTCATGTTGAATTGTAATCCCCAGCGTTGAAGGTGGGGCCTGGTCGGAAGTTATTGGATTATGGAGGTGGATTTCTTACGAATGGTTTGGCACCATCCCCTGGTGCTGTTCTCATGATAGTGAGTGAGTGAGTCCTCGAAAGATCTGGTTGTTTAAAAGTGTGTAGCACCTCCCCCAAGCCTTGCTCCTACTCCTCCTGCCATGTAAGACGTTCCTGCTTCCCCTTCATCTTCTGCTACCATTGTATGTTTCCCGAGGCCTCTCCAGATGCCAAGCAGATCCCAGCATCAGGCTTCCTTCACAGCCTGTGGAACTGTGAGCCAATTAAACCTCTTTTCTTTATAAATTACTCAGTCTCAGGTATTTCTTTATAGCAATGCTAAATGGACTAATACATGTCCCAAATGCTATAATAATTACAACCCTGAGTACTTATTGTGGATTTCCCATTACCAACGGTTTATGACTCAGAACAACAGGTTGTCATCATTTGAGGGAAGGCATGTAACATGAGGGGTTGTTATGGTGTGACAGGGGCCTGGAGTGACAGGGCAGGTACAGTGACATCTGCTCACCATTCTCGGTATGTCTGGATGACACTTACTGGGAATATGAATGAGAATTAGTAGAGCCCTGTTTTCTCCCTTTTGCTCATTTTTGGTTCAGGGCTTTTTGGGGGTGGAAAAAGTGTCAGCCATCAATACTCTTTTGTATTTATTTGTAGTTATTAGAGCAAGAATTGTACAAACTGGGTGGCACAATCAGTTGTAAACTTCCCGAGTTTTGGAACTTTTGTTTTGTTCACTGCTATAACTCAGTAAGTATGTATTCTGTAAATGAATGAATAAAGGATACTCTTCATCAATTACATAAATAGGGAAATATGCTATCAACTGAAACAGAACCACTGAAATTATGCCCCCTGCCAAGGAGGCAAAGTGAACTAAAATGAAGAGCTTGCTATAGCCAGTTGGATCCTTGCCATTCTGCCTGCTGTGCAAATGGCAGAGCTTGATTAGATTAACTCCTCAGTTGATGTCACGCATACTAATAAGGCAGAAAACCACAGAGAGGGAACAACTAGCACAGGCTTTGTACTCAGCTGACCCTCGGCAAATTTTACTTTTTCTCTTTTTAGAGACAGGGTCTAACTCTGTCACCCTGGCTGGAGTGCAGTGGCATGATCATAGCTCACCACAGCCTCGAACTCCTGGGCTCAAGTGATCCTTTGGCCTCAGCCTCTCTAGCAGCTGGGACTGCAGGAGTGTGCCATTGGCTAATTTTTCTTTTATTTTTTTAAGAGATAGGGTCTTGCTATATTGTTCAGGGTGGTCTCAAACTCTTGGCCTCATGTGATTCTCCTGCCTCAGCCTGCCAAAATGCTGGGATTACAGGTGTGAACCACCATATTTGACCCTCAGTTTTGGCTCACTGATGACTATTTGAACCCTTACCAAGGTATTTAAATCTACAATGCCTGATGTTTTATCTTCTGGGATACATCATGAATTAGCCTTGCTTGCAGCAGCTTCTGAGGACTAATATATTCTTGAAAACTGGAAAAAGGCCAACTTAATGTCTTACTGAATGAAGGATGAAAGGGATGACCTTGAAAATTATTAAGCTTGCAGCAATACCTTGAAAAGTAGTGCAGTAAATCAGCAGATATCAATTTAGAAATGCTGAGAAGGGAACAAAGCATAAGGCATGGCTTTGTAATAAATGATCCTTGTCTGACTTATCCAATTTCCTTCTGGGCAGATGTTTAAGACTGGTTGAAGGAAAGGGAGCAATAAATAAAACAATTTTTTAAACCTATCAAGAATGTTCATTTTGTCTCGTATAGCAATTTTAAATGAGAAAAACATATTCTAGGCAGATATATTGGTAGGAGAATTAAATTCCAAGAAAAATCATTGTCAACCGCATAGAAATGGGTTGACAATGGGACTTCAAATGGATTGAGTTCTACTGACTCTACCTTCAATTATGCAAAACATATTCATTGAAAACTTACTTTTTTGCAGGCACTATTCTAGATGCTGGGGACATAACACTGAACAAAACAGATTACAATCTTTGCTCCCATGGAGCTTACATTCTAGAGGGAGAATGGAAAATATACATATGATATATTAGATAATGTTAAGTGTTAAGAAGGGGAAAATAGGCAGGTAAGTGAGATAGAAAATGTAGGCACAACAACGGGCGCAGTGGCTCACGCCTGTAATCCCAGCACTTTGGGAGGCAGAGGTGGGTGGATCACTTGAGGCCAGGAGTTCAACACCAGCCTGGCCAACATCATGAAACCCTGTCTCTACTAAAAATACAAAAATCAGCCAGGTGTGGTGGCAGGCGCCTGTAATCCTAGCTACTTGGGAGGCTGAGGCACAAGAATTGCTTGAGCTGGGGAGGTGGAGGTTGCAGTGAGCTGAGATCACACCACTGCACTCCAGCCTGGGCGACAGAGTGAGACTGTGTCTCGAAACAAAGAGAGAGAGAGAGAGAGACAGACAGAAAGAAAAAATGTGGGCACAAAGTGGGTGTATATATTTATGGGGTACATGAGCTATTTTAATACAGGCATACGATGCATAATAACCGCATCAGGGTAAATGGGGTATCCAACACCTCAAGCATTTATACTTTCTTTGTGTTACAAACAATCCAATTATACTCTTTTAGTTATTTTAAAATGTACTGTAAATTATTGTTGACTGTAGTCACCCTATTGTGCTATCAAATACTAGATCTTATTTGTTCTATCTAACTATATTTTTTATATTCATTAACCATCCCCACTCCCCTCCAACAACCCTTCCCAGACTGTGGTAACCATCCTTCTACTCTCTATCTCCATAAGTTTATTGTTTTAATTTTTAGATCCCTCAAATAAGTGAGAGCATGTGAAGTTTGTCTTCTTGTGCCTGGATTATTTCATTCAATATAATGTCCTTCAATTCCATCAATATTGTTGCAAATGACTGATCTTATTCTTTTTATGGTGGAATAGTACTCCATTGTGTATAGGTACTACCTTTTTTTAATCCATTTGTCTGTTGACAGACAGTTTGGTTGCTTCCAAATCTTGGCTATATTTGTCAACAGTGCTGCAATAAACATGGGAGTGCAGATATCTCTTTGATATACTAATTTCCTTTATTTCAGGTATATACATAGCCATGGGATTACTGGATCATATGGTAGCTCTATTTTTAGCTTTTTGAGGAATCTCCAAACTGTTCTCCACAGTGGTTGTGTTAATTTACATTCCCACCAACAATGCACAAGGGTTCCCTTTTCTCCACATCTTTGCCAACATTCATTGTTGCCTGTCTTTTGGATAAAAGCCATTTTAACTGGAATGAGGTGATATCTTATCGTGGTTTTGATTTACATTTTTCTGATGATCTGAGCACTGTTTCATATACCTGTTTGCCATTTGTACATTTTCTTTTGAGAAACATCTGTTCAGATCTCTTGTACATTTATTTATTTATTTTTACTTTTTTTAAACGGATAAAGTAGGATGCAGTTTTGCACATTTAAAAACTGGATTATTGGCTGGGCATGGTGGCTCACCCCTGTAATCCCAAAACTTTGGGAGGCTGAGATGGGTGGATCGCTTGAGCTCAGGAGTTCAAGACCAGCCTGGGCCACATGATGAAACCCCATTTCTACAAAAAATACAAAAATTAGCCAGGCGTGGTGTCGCGTGCCTGTAGTCCCGCTACTTAAGAGGCTGAGATGGGAGAATGGCTTGCAAGATTGGCTTGCAAGGATGGCTTGCATATCTGGCTAAAGATTTGTCTATTTTCTTTAACTTTTCAAAAGCCCAACATTTCTTTCATTGATTGTTCATATTTTTTAAAATTTCAAATTCTTTTATTTCTGCTCTGTTCTTTATTATTTCTTCTATTAATTTTGGGTTTGGTTTGCTCTTTCTTTTCTAGTTGTTTATTTGAAGTTTTTCTAGTTTTTTGCTGTAGGCATTTATTGCTATAAACTTACCCCTTTGTACTACTTTCACTGTATCCCATAGACTTAGGTACGTTGTGTTTCCATTATCATTTGTTTCAAGAAATTTTTCAATTTCCTTCTTAATTTCTTCACTGACACACTGATCATTCAGGAGTATATTGTTTAATTTCCATGTGTTTGTATAGTTTCCAAAATTCCTCTTGTTGATTTCTAATTTTATTCCATTGTGGTCAGACAAGATGCTTGATATGATTTCAATTTTTTTTTATTTTTTTAAGACTTGTTTTGTGGCCTAACATAGGATCTATCCTTGAGAATGATCCATGTGCTTGCTCAGGAAAGCAGTATGTATTCCATAGTCATTGGTTGAAATGTTCTATATTTAAATATTTGTTAGGTCCATTTGGTCTATAATGCAAATTAAATCTGATGTTTCTTTGTTGATTTTCTGCCTGTATGACCTGTCCAATGCTGAAAGTGGGGCATTGAAATCTCCAGCTGTTATTTTATTGGGGTCTTTCTTTTTAGCTCTAATAATATTGCTTTATATATGTGAGTTGTCTGGTGTTGGGTGCGTAGATATTTACAATTGTGATATCCTTTTGCTGAACTGATCCCTTTATCATTACATAGTGATCTTCTTTGTCTCTTCTTAGCATTTTTGTCTTGATATCTATTTTGTCTGATGTAAGTATAGGTACTCCTGTTCTTTTTTGGTTTTCATTAACATGGAATATCTTTTTCTATTCCCTTATTTTCAGTCTATATGTGTTTAATAGGTGAGGTGTGTTTTTTTAACAGGCAACAGATCAATGGGTTTCGTTTCATTTTAAAGCCATTCAGCCACTCTATGTCTTTTGACTGGAGAGTTTAGTCCACTTATATTCAATGTTATTATTGATAAGTAAGGACTCACTACTGTCATTTTAAAAATGTGTTTTCTGGTTGTTTTGTGGTCTTCTCTTCCTTCTTTCTTTCCTTCCTGTCTTTCTTTTAGTGATGATGATTTTCTCTGGTGGTATGTTTTAATTTCTTGCTTTTTATTTTTAGTGTATCTGTTGTATGTTTTTTTATTTGTGGTTACAGTGAGGCTTGCAAATGACATCTTATAACACATTATTTTAAACTTATGACTTATTTATTTATTTTTTTGAAGATAGAGTCTCACTCTGTTGCTCAGGCTGGAGTGCCGTGGCATGATCTCGGCTCACTGCAACCTCCACCTCCCAGGTTCAAGCAATTCTCGTGCCTTAGCCTCCCGAGTGGCTGGAATTACAGGTGTGTGCCACCATGCCCAGCTAATTTTTGTATTTCTAGTAGAGATGGGGTTTTGCCATATTGCCCAGGCTGGTTTCAAACTCCTGGGCCCAGGTGATCCACCTGCCTTGGCCTTTCAAAGCGCTGGGATTACAGGCGTCAGCCCCTGCGCCCAGCCACTTGTGATTGCATAAACAAACTAACAAACAAACAAAGAGAAAACTAATAAAAACTCTACATCTCTACATTTTAACTTCATCCCCTACTTTTTAACTTTTGTTTTCATTTATATCTTATTATACTATCTATGCCTTGAAATGTTGCTGTAGTTATTATTTTTGATAGGCTTATCTTTTAGTCTTTCTACTTAAGACATGAGTAGTTTACACACCACAATTACAGTGTTATAATTTTCTGTTGTTTTTTGGTGTACTTACTGTTACCAGTGAGTTTATACTTCCGGTGATTTCATATTGCTCAATGATGTCCTTTTTTTCAGACTGAAGAACTCCCTTTAGCATTTTTGTAGCACATGTCTAGGGTTGATAAAATCCCTCAGCTTTTGTTGTTCTGGGAAAGTCTTTATTTCTCCTTCATGTTTGAGGAATATTTTCACCAGATATACTATTCTAGGGTAAAAGTTTTTTTCCTTCCACACTTTAAATATGTCCTGCCTTTCTCTCTGGGACTGTAAAGTTTCCACTGAGAAGTCTGCTGCCAGATGTACTGGAGTTCCTTAGTATGTTATTTGTTTCTTTTCTGTTGCTGCTTTTAGGATCCCTTCTTTATCCTCAAGCTTTGGGAGTTTGACTATTAAATGCTGGAGGTAGTCTTCTTTGGGTTAAATCTGCTTAGTGCTCTATAACCTTCTTGTACTTGAATATTGATATCTTTTTGGGGAAGTTTTCTGTTATTATTCCTTTGATTAAACTTTCTACCCCAATCTCTTTCTTTTGAGGCTATTTTCTAGATCTTGTAGGCATGCTTCGTTCTTCTTTATTCTTTTTTCTCCTCTGACTGTGCATTTTCAAATAGTTTGTCTTCAAGCTCACTAATTGTTTCTTCTGCTTGATCAATTCTACTATTAGAAGACTCTGATGCATTCATCAGTACGCCAATTGCATTTTTCAGCTCCAGAATTTCTGCTTGATTCTTTTTAATTATTTCCATCTCTTTGTTAAATTTATCTGGTTGGGTCTGAACTCCTTCTCAATGTTATTTTGAATTGTTTTGAGCTTCCTCAAAACAGTTGTTTTGAATTCTCTGTCTGAAAGGTCACATATCTTGGTCTCTCTGGGACTGGTCACTAGTGTCTTATTTAGTTTGTTTGGTGAGGTCATATTTTCCTGAATGGTCTTAATGCTTGTAGATATTTGTCACTGTCTGGGCATTGAAGGGTTAGGAACTTATTGTATTCTTCCCAATCTGGGCTTGTTTGTACTTTTGCTTCTTGGGAAGGCTTTCCAAGGGACTTGGGTGTTGTGACCTGTCTTTGGTCACTGTGGCCATACCTGTATTAGGGGGTACCCCCAAGCCCAGTAATGCCATGGTTCTTGTAGACTCATAGAGGTACCACCTTGGTAGTCTTGAATAAGATCTGGGAGAATTCCTGGGATTACCAGGCAGAGACTCTTGTTCTCTTCCCTTACTTTCCCCCAAACAAACAGAGTCTCTCTCTCTCTCTGTGCTGAGCTGTGAGACTGAGGCTGTGAGACCCAGTGCTGTTCTGCTTTGAGTGACCACTGCCTGGCTACTGCCTGTGTTCACTCAAGGCCAAGGGCTCTATAATCAGCAGGTGGTGAATCCATCCAGGCTTGTGTTTTTCCCTTCAGGGAGAAGGGAGGTAACTTCTTCTGCCTTGGACAGGTCCAGATATACTGCCTGGGAGCCAGGGCCTGGAGTCAGGAACACTGGGAATTTACCTGGTGCTGTATTCTATTGTGGCTGAGCTGGCATCCAAGCCAGAAGATAAAGTTCTTCTCACTCTTCCTTCCCCTTTCCTAAAGCAAATGAGTCTTTCCCCATGGCTACCATTGTTCCAGGCCCACAGTACTGTCTGGCTCCTGCCAATGTTCACTGAAGGCCCAAGGTCTCTTCAGTCAGCTTGTTGAATGTTGCCAGACCTCAGTTTCCCCTTCAGGGTAGTGGTCTCCTCCTCAGACCTAGGGTGGGTCTAGAAATGTCTTCCAGTAGCCAAGGCCTTGAATTGAGGATCCCAGCAGCTAGCTTGGTATTCTATTCCACTGTGGCTGAGCTGGTACCCAAGCTGCAAGACAAAGTCCCCTTTACTCTTCCTTCATTTTTTTTCAAGCAGGAGGAACATCTCCCCATAGCCACAGCTGGGAATGTGCTGGGTCACACCTGAAGCTAGCATGGCTCTGAGTTCCACCCAAGGCCCACAGCAAGTTCTGCCTGGCTACCACTGCTGATTATTTGGGGCCCAAGGCCTCTTTAGTCAGCGAGTGATGAATCCTGCCACGATCGGGTCCTTCCCTTTACGTCAGTGGGTTCCCTTTCAGCCCAGGTGTGTCTAGAAATCTCATGTGGTAACTAGGGCTTAGAATAGGGACCTCAGGACTCTGCCTGTTCCCCTGTCCTGCTGTTGCTGAGCTGGTATCCAAGTTGTAAGACAAAGTCCTCTTTACTCTTCCCTCTTCTCTGCTCATATGGAAGTAAGGAGTTTCTCCTGGAGCTGGGAGCTGCATTGCCTGGGGTTGGGGGAGGGGTGATGCAAGCACTCCTTAAGCCCCCAAGCTGTGTCTCACTAGGTTGTGTGCACCCCAAGTCCACTGGCTCTGAGCCTAGCACAACACCAATACTTGCCTAGGAATTACAGTCCTTGTGGCCTAAACCAGCAGTCCCCACTCTTTTTGGTACCAGGGACTGGTTTCATGGAAGACATTTTTTCCATGGACCAGAGGTGGGAGAAGGCTTTGGGATAAAACTGTTCCACCTCAGATCGTCAGGCATTAGTTAGATTCTCATAAAAAGCGTGCAGCTAGATCCCTTGCGTGTACAGTTTACAACAGGGTTCATGTTGCTATGAGAATCTAATGGTGACGCTGATCTGACATGAGGTGGAGCTCAGGCGGTAATGCTCACTCGGCCACTGCTCACCTCCTCCTGTGCGGCTGGGTTCCTAACACACCATGGACTGGTACTGGTCCGTGGCCCAGGGATTAAGGACCCCTGGCCTAGACTGCCTTTCAAGTTTATTTAGGACCCCAGAGCACATTAGCCTGCTGCGGCAGGGCTTGGCAGAAGTCAGGTTCCAACCACTGGGATGAATGATTCCCCTCTGGCTAGGGCTGGTCTAAATGCTCCCTCCTGGGTGCTGGCTGACTTCTGCCCTGTGTTGCTTTCTGCTGTGACCAGACAGCACTGAGTTCCAATGCAAAGTCCCATAGTCACTGTGCTCTCCCTCCCCTGAGCACACCGATTCTCTCTCTGCACCATGTGGCCACTGCCAGGGGATGGGAATGGGTGGTGGAGGCAATTCAAGATAGTCTTCTGTACCCTCTTCCGTGCCTCTTTCAGGGATATGAAGTTAAAACCAGGTACTGTGATTGCTCACCTGATTTTTGGTTCTTATGAAAGTGCTTTTTTGTGTGTGTGTGGATAATTGTTCAATTTGATGTTTTTGTGGGGCAGGGGGGTGATCACTGGAGGCATCTATTCAGCCATCTTGCCCTGCCTCCCTCTCAGGTTTACAATTTTAAATAGAATGGCAGCAGTAAGGTGTTATAAGAAGGTAATATTTGTGTAGAGACTTGAATAAGATGAGAAAGAGAGTCATACAGATATATGGGGAAGAGTATTTCCGAGATGAAAATAGCATATGCAAAGGTCCCAAGGCAGGAACATGTTTGGTGTTTTGCATTGAGACTAGAACAGAGTGAGTAGAAGTTGAGGTCAGAGAGGTAGCAGGGGCCAGATCATGACAGTTTACTGTTTTTGGCAATGACTACTGAACGTATACGACTAGATAGCTCTTTGTATTTGGGGACAATACTCCATAATGTAAGTCTTGGTAGGAGGTAGAATACCCTCAGCCCCAACCTTTCAAGTTGAAAGGATCCTCTCTTCACTTCCTGGTTGATAAAGGAGCAAATAGAATTGGTTATTCCTATCCAGGACTTGGAGCCATCAAGGAGAAAAAATATCAACCCCCCAGGCACAGGAATGGTGGTGCTGACAGCCATGCAGAAACAGTGTCTATTGCACAGTGTGTACAGCACCAGCAGCAGTGCCCTGTCCAGTCTCACTGTGATATCACTGTGGCTATGACTTCCTGCCCAGCCTTCCTTAGAGTCTGCCCATATTCCGAGTTTAGTAGTTTAACCTTCATACCTTCTGTAAGCTACTTGATAAACCACCACTACCACCACCACCACCACCACCACCACCACCAACAAAACCTTTCTGCTTAAGTTAGCTAGAATTGCTTCATATGCCTTGGAGCCAAAAATATTGACTGATACACACAGAACTCAGGATTATAACTCAAGACATTCTTTACCAGGTAATGTACTAATGAGGAGACGGACATACAGGGAGAAAACAAACTAATGCTAGATTCATTACTACTGCCTAGAACTGGGATTTATATTAAATTACCAACTAACATAAAATAAGTCTATATAGTGTGGTAGCTCATGTTTCCAAATAGGGCTGCAACACCATCTCCCATCTTGCACAATCTATTACGCTGTGACCCTGCCACTCCCCCAACAGGATGGGAATATGTTTCCTCTCCCCTGGAATCTGGGCTGGCCCTGGGACCTGTTTTGACAAATAAAATGTAGCAGAAGTGGTGTTGTATAATTTCCAAGGCTGGGTCTCCATCTTGGAAGCCGGCTGCCATGTGAAATGTCCCATTCTGTGGGAGACAGACAACTGGAGAGAAGACTGAAGACACTTGGAACATTCCAGTCCTGGCCAAACTCAGAGCTGAATGCAGCTCAATGAGTGAGCCCAGCCAATGTTACATGAAGCAAAAGGACCAGCCAGCTCAGCCCAGTCCAAATTTCTGATCCACAGAATCTTGAGCTAACAAATCATTGTTGTTTTAAGCTACTAAGTGTTGGGGTTTTTTGTTACACAGCAATAGATAACTGAAACATACAGATATTGTCACAATAAAAATTTTTAAGCACTTAATTGCATATAGCTTCAGTGTGTGTGTGTGTATGTGTGTGTAACATCTGCCTACCAGGGCCTTTACTTTGTAGTAGATAGAACTCTCCCAAGCACAAAAGTAAAATACATAGACTATGGGAGAAAATCACAGAATTGAGATATAAATAGTTATTACTGTATTTAGATTAAATATAGGACAAAGACAAGTGGTGTGTGTCTGTCTGTGTGTTGGGGAAAGTCAAGGAGATTTCTGGGAAAATTGAAGGGGAAGAAAGGAGAAAAGGAAAAGCAGTCAACAGAAAGGTTCACTTTTCTTTCAGGCCCATATGCCAAGCTCAGGGCTTTGAACCTGAGAAGCACTAGAATTAAGTTTATTAGACTACCCTATGTTCAATTATTGATCATATAAAATGCCATTCATCTACCACTACATCCTTCAGTAGAAATTGTCAGGAACATGATTTTGCCAGTTTTGCTCGCTGATCCATCCCCAAGTGACTGAAACTGGGCCTACCTCACAGGTAGTCACTGAAAACGTATGGCAGAAAATAAACACAAAGGGAAACAGCAATATACTTAAAAATGTTTACCTAATAAATATCAGAAGTGTAATAGAGTTCATCCAGCTTAGGGTTTCCAAACTGACGACTGGTAAGATCGGAAGAGGTGGAGTGAGTTGATGGAAGAGCATTCCAGAAATCTGTAAAATAGATATATACCATTACCAGAAACTCAAAAAGGGTTAGGAAGGCTAACACTCCAAATAAAGCCAACGTTTGTGAAAACTATACATAAAAGCATTTTTAAACCTATGTTTCTTAGCAACAGTTTCCTCTAACTTAGACCTCTAATTTTATCTGCAACTTTTTCTTTTCTCCTATTTCCTTTACTCAGAAAATAATCTTCATATGGGTAAGTATAAGATATACATGTAAAGAGCTCAGGCAAGTAGAGCATCTCACGTCTCTTGGCTTTAAATGAGTTTATGCCTCTGGACCCTGCAAGAAAGCTTTGGTCGAGGGTAGCATGACCTCATTGAGTGTCCGCAGTTGGATCTTCTTCTGTGGGTCTGGAGGTCCAGTTGCCCTGATAGGAGGTGAGTCTGTGTCTTACAGGTTTGTTCTTGAGCCCAGGTACTATTTGGGCTAAGCAGCTTCATAATGAGCCCTATTAGCCCCCTTTGAGGAAATGTGCTTTTATAAGCTGGTGGTAAGTCTCAGTAGTATTCGACTGGTCCTTTCCAACCCATCACTCTGTCCTCTGGCAGAGGTAGCACGCACCATGCCTGAGGGCTCTCCTCACTAGACAGCCTTGACAACCAGGCCCTGCAAAACAGGCTGCATAGGAGGGGCAGCTGGATGGAATTTCTCCTTTGGTCAAATGGGACGCCAGCCTCCACAGCAGCATGTATGCACAAGATGAACATAGAGAATCCCGTACTTGTGTGTTCTGTACTGGGGAACAGTCAGAAAACCAACAAGTGACCTCTCAGCCTCTGGAATGAAGCAAGTTTTGAAACTGATGCATTATACCTTCCTCATAAGGCCAGTGGTACACTGGTTGTGGATAGACATGCCGAGCCTTTCTCCTTTTTATAAACCTCTGCTGCATTAGCATCTCCAATACAATTTAAAATATTACCGATCATCAAAAATACCAAAATGAGTGAGCTTTTTTCCCAAGAACTCTGGAATGCTGCTTTGTTTAAATGACCTTGGCAGAAGCTACGAAGTTTACACATACGCTGCCTGCTCCATTGAAATGAACTCATACTCTGCTGTATCTTCCAACATTCTTATGGACAAATGCCCAGAAATGAACTCATTGAGTTGAATAATTTTTCAGGCTATTGATCTATTCTCTAACCTTAATTTATCCTTTAGCAAATGTCACATACTGGTTGGCCCACTGATTAAAAGAAACACTTTTTGAAATGTATGAAGTCAAAATGTTAAAAGATTTATACATTGAATCATATGGCATCATATCAAAATTAAATGTGTCATTTAAGCATTATTTTCAGAAAATATTAGAAGTAATTCAAATGTATATTAATAAAGTTCTTGTTAAATAAAGTATGATACATCCAGATGATGGAATACTATGCAGCTGTTCAAAAGAATTAGGAAGCAACAGGTAAGGAAAGGTTTCCAAAACATACTAAAAAAAAATTCAGTTAATGCAGCACAAGAGATGTAAAACAAAAAAACAAAAAAAACACAGAGGAAAGACGCTCTTTAGTTTTTTTTTGTTTTGTTTTTGTTTTTTTTTTTTACTCCAGGGAAAACACTGACGAATGGTCAGAGCTCCTATCCTGATCTTTTCATCAAGGCACCTTTCCTAATAATATGGTTCAACTGTGAATGTAGAAGGTGGGGGGCGGGGCAGGGGGAGAAAAAGAAAACTCTGGCCTTAGAGGATATATAAGTACAATTGTTACAAATAATGCAGACTTCAAAAACAAAAAAGTCACAACCCAAACAAACCAAAATTTAAATGATCAGAATTGGCAGCACAAAGAAAACGCCCTCTCTTGACTTGCATTGTGGCAGTCTGAACGCCCCCAGAAAATTGTGCCAAAGAGTTTAGAAAAATAAGTACACAATAAAAGTAAACACACACATACACACAAAACAGCAAACTTCAGGTAACTATTTTGGATTGCAAACAGGATAAATTAAATGTTCAAACAATCTGATAAAATAACCATTTGGAAACTGAAAAAAAAAAAAATCAGTTAAAAAAAGCAAAGCCCAGAAAAGTATGTCATGCTTTGATAAAGAAGGGAGAAATGTAAGAATGGGCTGGGTGTGGTGGCGTATGCCTATAATTCCAACACTTTGGGAGGTTTAGGTGGGTGGATCAATTGAGCCCAGGAGCTGGAGACCGGCCTGGGCAACATGGCGAAACCCTGTCTCTACAAAAAATAAAAAAATTAGTCAGGTGTGGTGGTGTGCACCTGTGGTCCCAGCTACTTGGGAGGCTGAGCTGGGAGGATCACCTGAGCCTGGGAAGTGAAGGTTGCAGTGGACCATGATTGAACCACTGCGCTCCAGCCTGGGCAATAGAGCAAGACCCTTTATCAAAAAAAAAAAAAAGACGTTTAAGAATACATATTTATAATTTGCTTCTATGTGTATTAAACAACTCTGGAACTAAGTATATGTAAGAAATTAAGAAGAATGGTTACCTACGGAGTGAAGGAACTAGGAAAATGGGAGCCACGGGTTAGGGTGGGTTTCACTGTATAATTTTTTATATATTTTGGTTTTGACCCATGACAACATATTACCTATTTAAGAAACTAAATTAGGCCAGGCACGGTGGCTCATGCCTGTAATCCCAGCACTTTGGGATGCTGAGGCAGGTGGATCACCTGAGGTCAGGAGTTCGACACCAGCCTGGCCAACGTAGTGAAACCCCATCTCTACCAAAAATACAAAAAACTAGCCGGGCGTGGTGGCGCATGCCTGTAGTCCCAGCTACTCAGGAGGGTGAGGCAGGAGAATTGCTTGAACCCAGGAGGTGGAGGTTGCAGTGAGCCAAGATCACGCCACGGCACTCCAGCTTGGGCAACAGAGTGAGACTCTGCCTCAAAAAAAAAAAAAATTAGCTGGGCGTGGTTGTGGGCACCTGTAACCTAACCTCAGCTACTCAGGAGGTTGAGGGAGGAGAATCACTGGAACCCAGGAGGCAGAGGTTGCAATGAGCTGAGATTACACCACTGCACTCCAGCCTGGGCAACAGAGCAAGACTCTGTCTCAAAACATCAACAACAACAACAACAACAACAAAGAACACAAAAACAAAAAAAAACTGAATTAAAAAAATACATGTGTATGAGACAAACTTCAGCAATTCAGTTTCTAGTCAATGGGCATCTGTGGTGAGTGGATCACATTAAAGGCAGAGGTGATGGTTTATTTCTTCATTCCATGGAGAAGACAGAGGCTCAGAAACTCCAGAAGAGAAGCAGGGCTCTTCTCCCGAGTCTCCAGCTCATGTAGAGAAGTGAATGGGAGAAAAGGGACATGCCCCTCTCCTTATCCTTGCTTTATCCACGTCCTCCACAGGAATTGCAGTGTTCTTGCAAGTTTTTAACAAAAACCTAAAACCACTGCAGACATGTGCATTCAGCAAACATTTATCGAGTACCTAGTATGAAGATTCAAACATAACTAGTAGTCCATCCCAGTCCTTTAGAGAAACACAGTCCAGGAGTCAGGAAAGCAGGCAGTGGTGTGGCACAGGTAAGCCCGTCACGGGAGAGCAGAGAAGCAGCTACTGCAGCCTTTGAAGGTGAATAGGTGTGTGGGTGGGGAGGGGCGTGTCGGGGGTGTAGGCAATGGGGAAAGTGTTTTTCAGCAGGACAGGTGAGCTGAGTTTTCTGAGACTACCAGGAGTAAAGTGAAAAGGAAGGCGGGAGGGGATTCCAGAGACAGGGTCACAGAGTCACCATCCTCCTGCCTTGTGGGGTAGGGGAGAAGTAAGGGGAGGGCAAGGAAATGGCCATTGGAGGACAGGAGAGGGAGAGCAGATTATGAAGGGCATTGAATGCCAGGCTAAGGTATTTGGATTCTGATCTAGACACTAAGGGGACTTACATATTAGGTTTGGATTGTGAAGCTAGGTGAACCTGGAGATGCTGAAAATTCAAGGTACCACTGAAAGAGGGAGATGTAATAATTTGCCTGTGACTTATTGCTTGTGATTGTGACTGATTGCCTTAAAATGTACAACAGCCTTGCTAGGTTCTGGAAATATAATATGTGCAATATTTGGTATTATTATTTTTGAGAATGAAGACAGAGAACGATTGTCTTGGTCAGAGTGCTAACAGAAAGCAGAGCACACTCAGAGTAGGACAATTCTAGGAAGGTTTATTTACAGAGGGACATGACAAAGTTGGGCATAGGGCAAAGTCCCTGCAAGGGATGCTGTAGTAACCTGGGTTTGCAGCAGCCTGGCCGACAACACAGCCCTAGGCCCAAAGGGACAAGGGCCGGGAAGCCATCCCTGAACCCAGGAGCAAGAGAGCTGTGTAAAACAGGCCAGTGGGGAGGAGCAGTGAACTTCTGTTAGGAGACGTAGCCAGCCCGAGGGATCTCGCAGGGAGCAAACCAGGGCAAGAAATATTCTGACCTCACCCCTCCTCCCTCCTTCTCATCTCCCAGCAGTCAGAGGGCTCAGAGGCCCAGAGATGTGGGTCAGTCTTCAGGATACAGAAGGAGGGAGCTCGGTTCTAGAGGGGCAAATGAAAGGTATCTGGCATACATATTATAAGTACATTTCCCTCAACTTATCCTTTCTTGTGTCCACCCCCCCTGCAAAGAAAAACAAAGGAGAAAAATTTTGCTAGGCAAGTATGTAAGTTAGGAAAAGCCAGCCACTGTAACAAACTGACCTTAAAATGTATTATGGCTCAAATACCATAGAGTTTATTTCTTGTTCATGTAACAGTACTGGGTACATCTCACAGGCCCCCACAGTGCCTCCTTCATGTAGTCGTTTGGGCACCCGGGCTGACGGAGGCTCTGCTGTTTATAACTGGTGGCTTTCAAGCTTTCAGGGTTGCCCTGGGGGTCATCTTCATTCCAACCAGCTGCAAAGAGCAAAGAAGATGAAGCATGGGAAGTTGTAATGGGGCAGACCTGAAAGTGGCACACGTCACTCCAGCTCATTCCATTGGCTGGACTCAGCCACGTGGCCACTCCTCCCTGCCAGAGGGGCTGGGACATGTGGTCTAGCCATGAGCTCAGGAAGAAGAGAACATGGTAAGGAAGCAGCTAGTATCTCTGCCACAGCATGCAAGTAATGTCCTTCAGCAAGATCAGTTTGTACTAAGTAATAGACTAAACTCTTGAAAGACCCACACTACTCTGAATGGTTCCAGCTCTTAACAGTGAAAATTGTCAAGTGTACTGCAGTGCATGGACCAAATCACTAAATAGCTGAATTGGCTGAGAACGTAAAATTTTAATTTCAAAATGTATAGCTTCTTTATTTTACTTTCCTTACAGTGAAACCTCTCTCTGCTTCCAATTTATTCCTCTTATTTGATGTTGTCATCCTCCCATAATGTATGTGAATGAACGCAGTCAGGTCTTTGAAAATTGCCAAGAGCACATCAGAAATAGACACTGGCTGGGCACCGTGGCTCACGTCCGTAATCCCAGCACTTTGGGAGGCCGAGGTGGGCAGATCACTTGAGGTTGGGAGTTCGAGACCAGCCTGGCCAACATGGTGAAACCCCATCTCTACTAAAAATACAAAAATTAGCTGGGCGTGGTGGCACACGCCTGTAATCTCAGTGACTCAGGAGGCTGAGGCAGGAGAATCGCTTGAACCAGGGAGGCAGAGGTTGCAGTGAGCCAAGATCATGCCACAGCACCCCAGCCTGGGCAACAGAGTGAGACTCTGTCTTCAAAAAAAAAAAAAAAAAAGAAATAGACACTACCAATAATCAAAGAAGTTGACAGCATAAGAGGAAAAATCTTGTCTGTTTAGATGTCCTGGAAGTATGGTTATGGAATTGTGATAGAGTCCATCATGGATCCATTAACAACGTTAATCATCTCTGTGACTTTTACCACATAAGCTGTCCTCTTGAAGCTCCTGAACACAGCAATTCACCCCTTTCACGGGGGTTGCTGTGTGCTCCTATTGCACCCATCAGAGTGAATCGTACATATATACCCAGTTACAGGTTCGTCGCTGTCTTGAGAGCAGTTTCCCACCTTATGTAGCTTTTATAAATCCTTAGCCTCTAACACATTACAAAGCACATGCAGGCAATACATTTGAATGAAAGAATGAATGAGCATTAATGAGTGCCGTTTTATTTTGGGTCTCCAGAAGTACTGACAGATGTTGTAATAATCATTACCTTTAAACTTCACATTCACAGGTAAGCCTATCTCAGCTTTCCATATGGCAAAAAACATAAGCAACCCAAAATGGCCTGTGTCCTGGGATCCCTGTCTTTTTTTTTTTTTAAGGAGACTAGTAACAATCATTACAGCCTGCCTTCACTTTTATTCAACCATATTACAGAAGGTACAAACGTACCCTAACAATTCAAACAAAGTTATAACAAAGAAATTAAACAAGTGAAGAAAGAATATATTTGATTTGCAAACAGGTTTCGGGCAGTAGCAACATAACAAAGCACCAACATTTCATATGTGTTTGCCAAACTGTAAGTAGTAATACCACCGTTCTTTATATAAACAAATTAATAGTTTGATTTTGATTAAGCAATTGGTGGTTAAAAGATACTTTTATGTAACTCTGTGACAACTACATCACAGTTTATACAAGCAATAGGAATGCCATGCTATTTTTTTCTTTAACGTGTGTTTGCGTGTTTTTAAGTAAAGAAAGGCACAAGATAAAAAAACTTAAACAGCATGAGGGTATATATTTTAAAATGCTTCTGTCCTATCTTTGTTCCTCTAATCTAGTCCCTATCACCAGAGGCATCAAATGATACTCCTTCTTGTATACCCTGAATTTAGAGAGAATTTTAAGCATTTATAAGCAGGGTTGTGTTTATTTTTTAATTTTTTTTTTTGAGACAGGGTCTTACTGTGTAGCATAGGCTGGAGTGCAGTGTCACTATCATGGCTCACTGCAGCCTGTAACTCCCAGGTTCAAGCAATCCTTCTACCTCAGCCTCCTGAGTAGCTGGGACCACAGGTGCACACCACCATGCCGAGCTCATTTTTTTTTTTTTTTTTGAGACAGAATTTCGCTCTGTCGCTCAGGCTGGAGTGCAGTGGTGCGATCTTGGCTCACCGCAACCTCTGCCTCCCAGGTTCAAGCGATTCTCCTGCCTCAGCCTCCCAAGTAGCTGGGATTACAGGCCTGAGCCACCATGACTGGCTAATTTTTGTATTTTTAGTAGAAATGGGGTTTTGCCCTGTTGGCCAGGCTGGTCTTGAACTCCTGACCTCAAGCAGTCCTCCTGCCTGGGAAAGCATTGGGATTACAGGCATAAGCCACCGTGCCAGGCCTAAAGGTTATTTTTAAAAAGTTACACATGCAGTTAGCAATATGAAAAAATGGTCTGAGTCATCAACTGTTAGATAAGTAATGGAAATGATCCTTCTTAATCACTTATAATCAGAGGCCCAAGGGATGGGGGTCTCTGATACGGATGTATCCCGCATTAGTTTGCTAAGAGTGCCTTAACAAATTGCCACGAACTGGGTGATTTAAAACCACAGAAATGTCTTCTTTCATGGTTCTGGAGGCCAGAAGTGTGAAATGAAGGTGTTGGCAGGGCCTCGCTCTCTCTAAGGCCTGACAGGAGGATCCTTCCTTGCCTCTTTCAGCTTCTGCTGGCTTCGGGTGTTCGTTGGTTGGTGGCAGCAAAACTCCAATTGCTGCCTCCACCTTCACACAGACTGCTCTTTATGTGTCTCTGTGTTTCAAATCTCCCTCTCCTCTTAGAAGGGTACCAGTTATTGGATTTGGGGCTCACTCAAAATCCAGCATCATTTCATCCGTGTGCAAATGGAGTCCCATCTTCGTCACTTCCAGAAAGCCTGTGAAAGCTACCCCTTCCCAGCTACCCTGCCATGTGGAAAATGCCTTGTTCCAAGTCCCAGCCACTCTGCCATCCTCCTTAAGGCTCACTTAAATGAATCCTCTGTGCTGGGCCTGAAGCACAAAAATTTCTTTACTTTTCACTGTGGGAAGAAGAGTACTAAGGACCACTCAGACTTTTAGAAACAACCAACATACAACAAATTTAGCACACACAACACAAGTAATTAAGCTGGGAGTGGGGGGACTCTGGTAACATTTCCTTCTGCCCTCCACAGGAGCAATGGGCTTTGAATATAGAGAGAAGTCTCTACTCCATCCAGCCTTCATTTATTTACTCAGGATGCCACTTTGATTTCAGTTTTTATCCCTAGGGCATCCTAAGGGCCTTTGGAATCACTGTGAAATTTGGAAAGAAACATTGGGTGTTTCACACCTGGTATTCATCTGTTCATTCTTAAGTGACAGGCAGGCACTATAGTAAGATGTTGGATGGGGAGAAGCCAATTTCCACCCCAAAGCACTCCATACACTCCAGTGGTGGATGACAGACATGTAAACAGACAAATAGGACAGGAGGTGGGGAGTCTAAGGATGGGTATCTGAAAGCAATATCGGGGGTTGTCCCTGCTTCTGGAGTATGACAATTACTACAAGGGTGGCTTTCCCCGGGCAATGCTGTTGCTGTCTGTTTTGAAGCTAATCACACCTTTTGATAGTTTAAGGTCCTGGATGAACCAATAGAGTTCATAAAGATAATGAGACCTAGTTTTGAACATCCTCAAAAATAAGTGATTGTAATTAATCCAATGTAGAAGTTACAACAAAAAAGCTAAAATAAGAAAAACACAGAAACTGACTCAGAATGGTTTCTAAAGATTAACTCATATAATAAGAAGTCCAAAGATTGACAGGCTCAACAATATCACCCATCACCCCCAGTTTTCCTGCCTCTCTTTGCTATTGTCCGTAGGCTTCATCTGAA
Source organism: Homo sapiens (assembly GCF_000001405.40). Classification (NCBI taxonomy): domain Eukaryota; kingdom Metazoa; phylum Chordata; class Mammalia; order Primates; family Hominidae; genus Homo; species Homo sapiens. The sequence continues at coordinate 53,006,615 of NC_000014.9, forward strand.
TGCTGGTTCCCTTTGTCTTCCTATCATGACCCATAGCAATTTTGGCTGCATAATTCCTTGTCTGTATCCACTAGGTGAGAGAGCAAGTAAACATCCTGGTAAACCAATTTAGTTCACATGCATGCCCCTGGATCCGTAACTCTCACCGAAGGGAATACCATGTGCTGTTTTGTTCAAATCTAGATGACTGAACACTCGCAAAAGAGGGGAGAAGGAATTACTGAAATTAGTTTAGGCCAATCAGAGCTCATGCCTTGAGTGGGAATCGGGGATACAGCCTTCTTCCCCTGAATCTCCTGGGCTGCTGAAGATGCATGCAGGACTGCTGGATGCATTAATGAAGCTGAGGTTCTATTAGGAAGGAGGGAAAGGAGAACCATAAAGAGCTGCAAACCCTGATCTACAATAATGAGGAAGGGCTTGCAGTAAACGTTAGTGAGGGCTGGTGAAGGCCCCAGGATGGAACCTGCAGCCTGAGTCTCACACACACTCTCCCACATGGTGCACCATAAGGGGGCACTCAACACTCCCCGGTTAGAACCGATGGGCACAGGATGCTTAGGCTGGCTGCAGGAATTTCCAGGGGACACTGAGGAGTGGTAGGGGGAAGTGAGATTAAATGAAGAAGCACACAATCTTGCTCTAGTTGTAGGAAACAGTCTGTCAGGGAAGCAAAGTAGGAAAAAATTCCCTGTGACTTGTGAACAGTCTCACAGTTGTTGATTGCTGCTGACTAGGGAACAGAAAGGGCATCACACATATACCACACACACCCACACACTCATGTTACAAGGAACCAAAAAGAATTTTTGCCAGTGGAGAACACCAGTTTAGTCCCTCCTTCACTGAAACCTCCTACCCGTTGCTCTTCTGGGAATACCCATCTCATGTCTGGTTCTGCCCTTACTAGTTGTATGTTCTTGGAAAGCTGTTTAACCTCTATTTCAGTCTGCTCTTATGTAAAAACGGGATAATAATAGTACCTACACTCATACGGTTGTTGTGAGGGTTAAATAAGTTAATAAATGTTAACAGTTAGAAAGTTACCTAGGACGTAGTAAGCATAAAGTGATGATAATGGTGATTGGCTGGGCATGGTGACTCACACTTGTAATCTCAGCTCTTTGCGAGGCAGAGGTGGGAGGATCACTTGAGCCCAGGAGTTGGAGACCAGCCTGGGAAACATAATCAGATCCCATCTCTCCAAAAGAAAAAAAAAAAAGAAGAAGAAGAAGGAAAAGGATGATACTGGTTAAAAGAGTAATACAAAAGGAACTCTGTGTGTGTGTGTGTGTGTGTGTGTGTGTGTGTGTGTGTGTAAAAAGAGAGGAGCAAGAAAAAACGAATGGACAAAATAGAGTAATACCGCAACTGGGCTATGGACATTTTGAACAAACCTAAATCTGTGTGATACCATGGACCAGTGACTCCTGTGTACCTCCCATTTTCTTCCTTTTTGAATAGGAATGCCTCTAGCTGCTATCCTTCTCCTGTCCCACCATTGTACATTGTGTGTGTGAGGCAGACAACTTGTTTCATTTTTTTTTTCCATTTCATAGTTTTGCAAGTCCGCAGATGAAGGGGAATTGTGCTCCAGGAGCTGGACTTAATGAGTTACACCTGAGGAGCCTCATCTGTACACCTGGGCCTGATTTAGATAATGAGATTTTGGCCTTCAAAGTGACTCTGTAATGGAATGAGACTTTTGGAGGACTTGAGATGGGGTAGATGTATTTTGCACATGGGAAGGACATGGATCACTGGGGGCCAGAGTGTGGATTATGGCAGACAGGCTACATGGCTCCCAGTGAGCCCCACTGATATGGTTAGGCTCGGTGTCCCCACCCAAATCTCATCTCGAATTGTAATCCCCAGGTGTTGAGGGAAGGACTGGGTGGAAGGTGATTGGATCATGGGGGTGGTTTCCCCCATGCTGTTCTCGTGATAGTGAGTGAGTTCTCATGAGATCTGATGGTTTTATAAGGGGCTTTCCCCCCTTCTCTCTCTCCTGCCACCTTGTGAAGAAGGTGCTTGCTTGCCTTTTGCCTTCCATCACGATTGTAAGTTTCCTGAGGCCTCCTCAGCCATATGGAACTGTGAGCCAATTAAACCTCTTTCCTTTATAAATTACCCAGTCTCAGGGAAGTTCTTTACAGCAGTGTGAGAATAGACTGATATACCCCTCTCCTAGCATTCTCACCTTGTATAATCTCCTCTCCTTGAGGAGCTTGCTGTGGCTTGCTTCTACCAATAGAATATGGTATAGGAGATGGAATGTCACTTCTGTGATTACTTTAGGTAAGACCGTAACTTCCATCTTGCCAGTAGACTCAATTGATTTTGCCCCTGCTGGCTTTGATGAAGTAAACTGCCAATGTGGAGAGGCCCATGTGGCAAGAAACTTAAGGTGCCCTCTGAGAGAAGGCTAGGAAGGAGCTGAGCTCCTCCACCTGACAAGCAACAATGAACTGAATCCTGCCAACAACCATGTGAACTTGAAGGCAAGTCCTTCTCCAGTTGAGCCTTCAGTGAAACCCCAGGCTTGGCTGACACTGTCATTGCAGTTTTGTGAAAGACCCTAAAACAGAGGATCCTGCTCACCTGTGCCTGAATTCCTGGCCCAATAAATGGTGTTGAATCTACCAGAGAGCCAGCTGGAAAAAGATATCAGTGGAGCCCTACTTATCTCATCACTACAATAAATTCTGGCTGGATCACAGATATAAATGCTGAGCACAAAATAATAAATCTTTGAGTTGAATATATCGCGAGAATTTTTCATAATTTCAAGGGAAATACTATCTAAATGATAAACTTTCTAGAGGCCAAAAATGAAAAGGTAAGTTCAAAAACATAAAACTAGAATTCTGTATAAAACAAACAGTAGAAGTATGGAGGGAAGAAGAAACAAACTGGGGAAAAACCGTCCTACATGTACATTGACAAAACGTGATTTCCCCTGATATGTAGAGTTCAACAAGTCAAAACAAACAGCAATGTGATAGAAAACAGGCAGAGAACATGGTTCACAGAACAGAACATGCAAGTGGCTCTCAAACATAGGCAAAGATGCTTGACATTGGATAAAGATGAAACCAAATTAAAATGATAAGGTATTATTTTTTAACCTATCAATTGGGATTGGTAAAAAAGTTGGAATATTCTGTGCTAAGGGATGGGGAAACAGGCCCTCTCTTTTTCTTTTTTTTGAGACACAGTCTCACTCTCTCACCTAGGTTGGAGTGCAGTGGTGTGATCTCGGCTCACTGCAACCTCCACCTCCCAGGTTCAAGTGATTCTCCTGCCTCAGCCTCCAGAGTAGCTGGCACTACAGGTGCATGCCACCACACCCGGCTAATTTTTTTTTTTTTGTATTAGTAGAGACAAGTTTTCACCATAGCCAGATTGGTTTCGAACCTGACTTCAGGCGATCTGCCTGCCTCAGCCTCCCAAAGTGCTGGGATGACAGGCGTGAGCCGCCACACTGGACCGGAAACAGGTACTCTCATACCTGTGCGTATAAATTGGTACAATCTCCATGAAGGGCAATTTGACGAAATATCTATCAAAGTATCCAAATTTGACATAGAAATCTCACCTCTAGAAATTTTACCCACACATGATATATTTTAAAAGATTGTCACTGAAGCACAGTTTGTAATAGGGAAAGATGGAAAATAACCAACATGTATATAAACAGGGTACTGTTTATCTAGTGAAAATGAACAAATAAGGCAGTTCTGTTTGTACTGACATGAAGCAGTTTTCAAGGTTGTTTAGAAAAACAAAGAGAATATTGTGTAATGTATGCCATTTGTACAAAAACAATTACATATACCAGACGTGCTTATATATGCAAAGAATATTTCTGGGAAAATACACAAGAAACTTGCTTCCAGGAAGAACTAGGTGGCTGGGGAAAACAGAAGTTAGACACTTCTTATTTTATAGTTTTTTGAATATTTTGGGTGAATATTATGAATATATTCTCTATTCACTATTGTTAATACAAAAATGAAAAGGAAGCAATGTTTTGACACCCAAAGGCTCTCTCCAGGACTTAAAAGGGAGGCGTGTTTTTTAGGCAAGAAAGAGCCAGTGAATGCCCCTCTGTGGGAGCAAAAGAAGAGAACGCCCACTGCATTTTTAAAGTACAGCTTAAAATAGTGTGTTGCAAAGCTCAGTGGGCTCAGCCCTTTATGATTGTTGGTTAGAAGACTGTCAGGGATCATTTTCCAAATGCCAACTTACACTCCTCTGTCATCCAGAAAGTTCTTATTCCTGTGAGAATTTTTAGAATTTAGAGAATGGCTGGTAGGGCTGACAGCCCCATGTAAAGCAGGTGGGGAAACTTCAGAGGAGTGGTCCCCATGCATCTATTTCTCATTGTTTTCTTTCCTTGTTCCAGCCAGTGCTGCTGCTCCTCTTTCCTGGGTCCAGCCTTTGACGTAAACTCTGCAGCTGAGAACCCTGACCTCTCTCCCCGCTTCCCTGTCTTACTTAAGCCTGGAACAGCTCTTAAGCCTGGCACCTCTGCAGCTGTGACTCATTGCAAATGCTTTGCATTCCGGGATGTTCTTCAGGGTTTTGGGTCTCCCTTGTGGCTCAAAGAACCATGCAAGTTGAAAGGGAGGAGAAAAAGAGGCCCTGCAGCTGCCAAAACATTGCAGACATGAGGCGGGAAATTGTTAGGAAAACTGAAAAGGTTTTGTGCTGGAAGAACCCCAGCCAGCCACTCCCTCGCTTGGGCCTGCTTGTAACTGGAGCAGAGCTAGGGGACGCCTCCGTGGAAGCTGAGTCAACTGTGGGTTGTCCCAGCCCCCATGAGGTTCCATTCACAGACCCAGAGGCACCACACCCCATCTGGAGACCATCTCCATGTGTCCATGAAGGACTGGGTTAAAGCCACTCTGGAAAGCAGAAATGGGGGTGTCATCTAGAAGTATTGTTCGTCTCAAGTGTTAGTTTACCTTTACGTCACTGGAATGATTTTGTCAGCTTGTTCTGCCTCCTCACCACCTTCAGCTGTACACAATTTATGTTTATATTCAGGTCAATTGACATCTACTCTTATGACAGCTGTGTTCTTCCCTGACCCTTAAAGCTATGAGACCCTATGTTGAAGGTCTTTAGGTAAAAGAAATTAGTGTCTTGCTGTCCATTGTTAATTCAATGGAGATGGGGGAGGGTAAGCTGTGCCTTCTCACCTTCACTTCTTTCCTGATCCTCTATAAAGACTCCAATTGGGCATAATTTTAAAAACCTTTTAAATAAACTTTATCGATGTAAACTTACATATAAGAAAACACACCCGGGTTGGCTCCGGTTGCAGAGTTGAGTGTCCTGAGAGGTCAGAATGCCGTCAGACATGGCTCATGAACATGGACGTAGTAAAATGGAACTTCCAGATTATAAACAATGGAAGATAGAAGGGACACCATTAGAAACTGTCAAGAAGAAGTTGGCTGCGCAAGGGCTAAGGGATCCATGGGGTCAAGGTGAAGCTTGGAGATACATGGGTGGCTTTGCAAATAGTGGTTCCTTTATTGGTGCATTATTAAAAGGATTCAAGTGGGGATTTGCTGCATTTGTGGGAGCTGTAGGAGCTGAATATTATCTGGAGTCCCTGAATAAAGATAAGAAGCATCACTGAGGATAATACCTGGAAGTACCATAGTGGTTTCTTAACTCTTCAGAATAAGATTTCTTCACTGTAGCCTACTTGTCTGGCTTGTCCCTTAAAGAATATTAGTAAGATTTAATAAAGTAAAATAATGTATATGCAAAAAAACCCCACTCATTTTTGGTGTATAATTTTATGAGTTTTGGCAAACCTACATACCCCTGTAAAGCATAATTTGAAGCCAATGGCTTAATAGATAGGAAAACAATGAAATAAATGCAGAAGGGGGGGTCAACAGCATTTCATATTCACCTACATTTCTCTAACCCCATGGGTGCAACATCGTCACATGTTAAGGCTCCTTTGCCATCAGACAATATTCAATATAGTTTTACTTGGATTTCATAGGAGAAAACAACTTGGATTGAACAGAAAACAAAATATGAAGTGAAGTGGAAAGAGAAAAAAATTGCTACATTTCTTTTTTTAAATTTTTATTTGAGTATGGGGATACATGTGCAGAACGTGCAGGTTTGTTACATAGGCTAGATTTCAAATATCTTTTTTTCTGTATAACAAATATTAGCTCTTAAAAGTTCTTTGTAAAATTAAGAAATTTCGGAAGTAATGATGCTTTTTTTTGTGAACCACACATTTCAATTTTATACATTGATTGACTTCCACAAAAAAAGAGGATTATCCTACTTCCTCTCCTCACATTCCCCTCTCCTCAACTTTCATATTTATTTATTTATTTATTTTTGAGATGGAGTTTTGCTCTTGTCGCCCAGGCAAGAGTGCAACGGCGCAATCTTGGCTCACTGCAACCTCCGCCTCCTGGGTTCAAGCGATTCTCCTGCCTCAGCCTCCCGAGTTGCTGGGATTACAGGCACCCGCCACCACACCCAGCTAATTTTGTATTTTTAGTAGAGATGGGGTTTCTCCATGTTGGTCAGGCTGGTCTCGAACTCCTGACCTCAGGTGATCCACCCGCCTTGACCTCCCAAAGTGCTGGGATTACAGACATGAGCCACCACACCCGGCCTTCATATTTTTATTTTGACAAGTTTATAACATTAACATTGTCTTCAGTGATAGTCCAACAGTTTTGTATTGATCTATATTTAAATTAATTTGGTGTTCACCAAAACCTTTTTTCTTTTTGAGACAGTCTCACTCTGTCGTGATCTTGGCTCACTGCAACCTCTGCCACCTGGGTTCAAGTGATTCTCCTGCCTCAGCCTCCCGAGTAGCTGGGATTACAGGCACCTGCCACTGTGCTCGGCTAATTTTTGTAGTTTTAGTAGAGACAGGGTTTCACCATCTTGGCCAGGCTGGTCTTGAACTCCTGACCTCGTGATCCACCCACCTTGGCCTCCCAAAGTGCTGAGATTACAGGCATGAGCCACCGCACCCGGCCCACCAAAACCTTTTACATGGCTTCTGCTCCTTTATTTCTTTATCGAAGTCTTCTCTTAATTGCCAGGATATCATCAAGTAGTTTCTCTGAGAGAGGCTCATAGACGCTGTGTTTCCTGATTTTTTTCTTGTTTGGGAAAGTCCTCTTTGCCCATGTGCGGGAACTTATTTGCATAAGAACCTTGGGTTACACTCCATTAGCCATTGGTCCACTGTCTTCTGCCATTAAGTTCTGAGGTCAGCCTGTCCCCTGCATATAACGTGTTATTATTTGTCTGAATGCCTGAAGAATTCGTTATTTTTGAATTTCAATAGGTAGGTCAAGATATGTCTCAATATTGAATGTTCTGTGTTGAAGTTGTTTGAAACACAACATGTTCTTCAATTCAGCAGATTCACTTTTCTTTGTTTCAGGGATGTTCTCTTGAATATTTTTCTGTTCAATTTGTTGGGCTTTCTACTTCAGACACAATTTGTCATTATATTACATCATCTTCATCTAGTTCTCACTTCTTTCTATTGTAGAGGAGGAAAAATAATGTTCTCTACCTTTCATAGTTCTTAGTGAGATTCTTGTAATCAAAGACAGATTAACAAGAGAAAAACAGAAGTTGATTAACATGTATACCTCAGGTATACATGGGAGATACACAGAGAAATGAGTCAATCTCAAAGAAGTGGCTTTGAATTCAGCCTTATATACTATAGTTCACTGAAACAAACAGGAGTGGGGAAGGCCAGTTATGGAGAGGTAGCCAGGGAAAGCATGGGTAAACTAGGGTAAGGTTTGTTATGTGGATTTAAGTTGGTGCCTTCTGCATTGACAAGTCTTTTGTGATTCAGAGTCATCCTCTCCTCCTGGTACAGAGAGAAGTCATCCTTACAAATGGAAATTTCCTTTATATTTTCCTTACAAGATGGTAATTTGTTTTCAGAGCTAGTCCTTTGCTATTGTTCAAAATAATCCTTGCGCCAAAAAGGCATATTTTGGGGTGGCATATTCTGGTCTCCTACAGTCATATTTCAGATGTTATATTCTGGTCTCCTACACTACTTTATTTATTTATTTGGGACAGGGTTTCACTCTGCCACCCAGGCTGGAGTGCAGTGGTGCAATCTCGGCTCACTGCAGCCTTGACCTCCCAGGCTCCAGCAATCCTCCCACCTCAGCCTCCTAAGTAGCTGGGACTACAGGTGCATGCCACCACACCTGGCTAATTTTTTTATTTTTTGGTAGAGATGGGGTCTTGCTGTATTTTCCAGGCTAGTCTCAAACTTCTGGGCTCAAGTGATCCTCCTGCTTCAGCCTCCAAGTAGCTGGGACCACGCCTACCACACCCAGCTAATTTTTAAAATTTTTTGTAGAGACAGGGTCTTGCTGTGTTGCTCAGGCTTGTCTGGAACTCCTGGTCTTAAGTGATCCTCTCTCCTTGGCCTCCCAAAGTGCTGGGATTACAGGTGTGAGCCACCTCACCTGGCCTAGTTTTTTTTTTTTTTTTTTTTTTTTGAGACAGGATCTCACTGTCACCCAGGCTGGAATGCAGTGTTGCAATCATGGCTCGCTGCAGCCTCTACCTCCCACCCTCAAGTGATCCTCCCACCTCAGCCTCCCAAGTACCTGGGACCACAGGTGAGAGCCCCCATGCCCAGCTAATTGTTTTATTTTTTTTTGTAGAGATGGGGTCTTCCTGTGTTGTTCAGGCCGGTCTTGAATTCCTGGACTCAAAGCAATCCTCCCACCTCAGCCTCCCAAACTGTTGGGATTACAGTCATGAGCCACCATGCCCAGCCAATATGCAGCCTTGGTTAGACTATTTGGGCTCTGCTTTCCTGAAATTTTGTTAAATATCTTGTACCAGTTTTGTTTTGCCCAGCTGGAGGTTGTATCCTATTCTTAGGTTGGAATGGCTGAGTGGGGAGAAGGCATACTCTCAAGTTTAGGATTATTTAGTGAAGAAGTTAAGGACATGTCACCCCAAAAACATATGCTGCTTCGGCATGTTGTTTATTCTGAGCTGAAGGCACTTGAAAAACAGCAGAGGCAGGAAGAGCTCTCTGATCTACCCTTTTCTATATAAGAACAGGCCATAAAATTCCCCATAAGAAAGGCGCCCTCCCTGTACAAGGAAGAGAAAAACATCCTTAACACCAGAGACTGGGAATCAGCACCGAAATGGATCTGTATAAACTTACTAAAGCAACCCTTATCATCCAGTAGTTTTATCTCCCTCCCCGTATATTTCCTGGTCACTTCCCCACAATTTACTGCCCCTAACCCAAACCCCTTTGTCTGGTCATCACTTCAAAAACTTAGCATTGCTTTGACTAGAAGGTATAAAAGCTTTCTACTCTGTTCAACTTCTTTGGGTCTTGGGACTCTTGTGAAGGGCTCCATGTGCATCTAAAAATTTAATAAAACTTGTATACTTTTATCCTATTAATCTGCCTTGTCGGTTTAAATCTTTTTTTTTGTTTGTTTTTGTTTTTTTTTTTTTTTGAGAAGGAGTCTCGCTCTGTCGCCCAGGCGCGGTCTCGGCTCACTGCAAGCTCCACCTCCTGGGTTCACGCCATTCTCCTGCCTCAGCCTCTCGAGTAGCTGGGACTACAGGCGCCCGCCGCCACGCCCGGCTAATTTTTTCTATTTTGTTTCAGTAGAGACGGGGTTTCACCATGTTAGCCAGGATGGTCGCGATCTCCTGACCTCGTGATCCGCCCGCCTCGGCCTCCCAAAGTGCTGGGATTACAGGCGTGAGCCACCGCGCCCGGCCGTCAGTTTAATTCTTAGGCCTATTGGAGATCCTAGAGGGTAGAGGAGAATTTTTTTTCTCCCCAGCAGTTCTGGTGATGAGGAGGGAATTTCACTGCCTGCCTTGGCTACTGCAGCTGAGAGATTTTGGGACCTTTGACAAAAACCAGCAGAGGGTAGAAATTCTTACCACTTCAGTGTCCTAGATCTCTGCCTGCAGGGTCTGCTTGAAGCAAGACTGATGAGTCTCTTGTCTTTTTTTCTTTCTACACTTACGTTAGCAGGAGAAAATATTTGTGTGAAGTCATTCTTTGGGTATGGCAACTTTGGCATTTTCTGTTTCAAGTATTCTTGTTTTCTATTTGATCCCATTCTTCCCAGAGATGGTCATTGTTTTCCTTTGTCTTTATCTTTTGTGTCATATGCTACAAGGGGGAACCCAGCTCTAGGGCCTATAGTCCTGTGTTCGAGCTGGCCTCATGGACTGGTGAGTGCACACTTCTCACCAGACTGGTGTCTGTTTAGACAACCTTTGTTGTGAGTCCCTGAAGCAAAAACAAGATGAGATTCTTCTTTTACTTGTTTTATGTACTGAAAGCTTGGCTTTGTGACCAGTGAGAATATTCTCTCTGGGCCCCACTAGCTCAGGGGAGTAAGTTTTGGCTTGCCTTGTGTCAGGTGGCTGGCCTACAGACTGGAAGCCTGAGACATGTGATGACAGGTAGCATTCTCTTTGTTTGAACATGCCAGCTTCCAGGGGAGGTTCCAGTCCATAAGGGGCCTTTGCTGTGTCAATCTTCTTTGTCTTATTAGTACTGGGAATATCCCATCCTAGGGTTGCCCACCTGGTGCTACAGATTAGTGGGTATGTGGCTGGAGGTGTCCCACATCTTGTGAGAGACCAGAGACAGCAATTGCACAAACACAGTTCTCACTGCTGGTGACGGCAAAGGTCTTTGCTTTCCTAGGCCACCTCTGGTGTGAACTTTTTAGGATCATGTGCGTGCATCTTCTACACTCACTCTAGGGATGCCTCTTGCATCCATGGTAAAGATTTATTCTAAGCCTGGAAAGTTATTTCACAGTCTTTCCATGAAAAGGTTTATTGGTTTGAGTTGCTATTGGAATAAACACATTCTTGGAGATCCTATTTGTCAATGGCCAGACGATGGATCCTTTGAATTGGAAAAACTTCCCTATTTGAAAAAAATTTTGTCATCGAAAACAACTGTCCTATTGGCACTATGGGAACATCACATTGTAAAGAGGATGTAGAGGAGGGTAACAGCTAGCTTTAGGGAAGAACAGATTTAGAACAAAAGTTAAAGTCCACACACACTACAAATCCTCCTTCTCCATCCACTTATACTTCCCTTTACCCCCAACTGCCTGTCCCTGACCCTCCAGAAGATCTTCTGGATCTCTGGGCCCCTGGCTTGAATCCCCCTCCTCAAAATATGGCCCCATCTCTTCAGCAAAATCCTTTAACTTGTAAAACTTTTCCAACTTTTTAGAAAATCCCTTAAACATTCAGCTGCCTGCTTTAACTTCCCTTTCCTGGGAAGATTACAGAACACACTCTGGCCTGATCTCCAGGCCTGGGGTATACAGTTTGCCTGTGTAAATGCTGATAGCCAGGAAGTAAATCTGGCCCAGGCTCCAGGAAGACTCCTCCTACTTCCCAGGGTTCTGCAAACTCCGTCAACTCCAGACCTTACTGTGCCGTGCATGTTATACTGGATCCCCACCACAAAGAATTTGTCTCCAGACAGCAGTAGACCCTTTATTTTATGTTTAAAAGTGTATATATTTTTTGAGATGGAGTTTCGCTCTTGTTGCCCAGGCTGGAGTGCAGTGGTGCAATCTCAGCTCACTGCAACCTCCACCTCCCGGGTTCAAGTGATTCTCCTGCCTCAGCCTCCTGAGCAGCTGGGATTACAGGCACGTGCCACCACGCCTGGCTAATTTTGTATTTTTAGCAGACACGGGATTTCACCATGTTGGCCAGGCTGGTCTTGAACTCCTGACCTCAGGTGATCCGCCTGCCTTGGCTTCCCAAAGTGCTGGGATTACAGGTATAAGCCACCGTGCTTGGCCTAAATATTTTTTATTAGTACAAATTTATGGGGTAGTGTGAAATTTTGTTATGTGTATATAATGCATAGTGATCAAGTCAGTATTTAGGGTGTCTCTCCCATCTCCTGAGTACAATACATTTTTGTTAACTACACTCACTCTACTCTGCTATCAAACCTTGAATTTCTTCCTTCTAATTGTGTGTTTGTACTCTTTAACCCACTTCTCTTCATCATCCCTCTTCCTCCCACTCACCCTTACCAGTCACTGTTATTTATCTTTTCACATCCTACCTTCATGTGATCAAATTTTTTAGCCCCCACATATAAGTGAGAACATGCAATACTTGTCTTTTTGTGCCTGGCTTATCTCACTTAAGATGATGATCTCCAGTTCCACCCATGTGGCTGTAAATGACAGGATTCCATTCTTTTTTATGGCTGAGTAGTACTCCACTTGTGTGTGTATAACACATTTTCTTTATCCATTCATCTGTTGATGGACATTTAGGTTGATGTTGTATAGCAGGAGATCTTTTATATTACAAAGCCCTTTGGACCCCACTTTCAGAAGATTCTACCACATTTAGAGAGGAGTTAGAAGGATTGGTAGCCACTCATAATCCCACTCACAGGGACCTCAACTGGCCACTAAGATGTGTTCTTCCCACCTGTGATGATACTGTAGTTATTAGACAGGCCAGATGGACTCTACGGGAACCAACTCTTCCCCACCCACCTCCACCCAGGAAATAAATGGCTGGAACTACTTCTAGACCCTACTGCAAGTGACCAGGAAATGGCTCAGCTAGAGGCCAATATTCCATGCCTAATGGAGGTGATGAAAGAGGCCTTTCTCCCTAAGGTGAATTGGTCTCAGGTTGAAGCATGCACTCAAAGGAAGGAGAATCTCCTAAGGTTTTTATGGAATACTTTATACAAACTTTTAAAAGCCACACTGCATTAAACCAGAAAGCCCCAGAACACAGAAATCTTTTAATTTCTGGCTTGGTTGGAAATCTTCTCCCTGATATAAAGAGGGAAATTCAAAATAGTGTGGCTGCCTGGGTGAGTCAGTCTCTGAGTGTTATTATAGAAGCAGCTATGCAATTCTTTGAAAATAGCTTGCAGAAAATAAGAAAAAAATAAAAACCAACAGCTCTGCCTTCTAAATCCAGTATTTACAGAAACAAAGCTATGAGTCTCAGAGTAACTCAAAATCCCCTCATTTTTCTTACCAACCACAGTGCCTGCCTTGTTTGCCTCCAGATGTCTGCAGATATTTAAAAAACCAGGACACTGGAAAAACAACTGTCCTGCCACTTCAAAGAAAGATGAAGAAGAAAGAAAAAGTGGGGTCCGTAGATCCACCATCCTCAGAAGTTTCATTTTCCCCTTCTGAGGGATAATACCCTATTAATTGATGGGGTCAGCTCATCCTCAACCACACCCCCAAACCCATCATTAAACTTTAAGCAGAGGATTGGGAACTGCATTTCTTAATTGACACTGGTTTGACTTCTTCTACCGTAACACCCAGAGGATTTATTTTTACCTGTCGCCTCTGATTCTGTTTAAGTTGTCAGAGTCTGTGGGCAACCTATTTCACTGCCCATATCTTAGGCCACCCCAATATTCTTAGGCCCTCTCAACATTGTGCTTTTCTGGTTTCTGACTCCTTACCAGCAAATCTTTCCAGAAGAGATTTTTAATGCAAGTTTAATGCAAGCATATAATGCAATGAGAAAGATGTTTTTATTTTCCTGCCCTCAGAACAAACCTAAAACTTTCTACTTTCCTTAATGGAAACCCATCTCAATTTAAAATCCTTTGAAGAGGATGCAGTCTTAAAAGATGCCTGAACTAGTCCTTGGGCCTCACATGCAAATGACACTGGCTTGCTACTAAGCACAGGGCCTGCACACATCGCCTGGGAAAGAAACAAACCTTTCCCACCAGTAGCCCACAATCTTCTCTAATGAGATGCAACGTGAGGAATCAAACATATAATCGACTCCTTTTTACAGCAGGGTGGTGGTGTCTTTATTTCTTTACCCTGTAGCACCCCAAGCTTGCTGGGAAAGAAAGAAGAGAAAGTTGATTCAGATGGGGGTGGGAAGGGGGATGGGGGAATCACTTCTAACCAATTGTACAAGATCCAAGAGCCAAAAGCAACTCCTTTGTAATTCCTTTCTACCCTACCCCATAGTCACTAATCCAGCTACCATTCTTACCTTGATTCCTGCTGACACAGCCTGGTTTACAGTAATTGACCTCTGCTCGATTCCATTGCACCCTGACTAGACATTTCTCTTTGCATTTACATATAAGAGAGACAATTAACATAGACTCACAGACCTCAGGGATATCGTGAGTCTCCCTTAATACTTTCCCAGGTCTTTAAAGCCCACTTAGATTCTTTAGCCCTTACCCAGGGCTCCAATCTTGTGCCATATGCTGATGATCTCCTCTGAGCCTTAATATTAGCATTGTTCGTACCCACTGCCCTTGGCTTACCTAATTTTGACAAACTTTTTCACTTGTATTGCCATAAACATAATGAGATTGCTGCAGGTATTCTAGGACAACTTTTTGGATCTCATATATGTCCTGTAGCATATTTCTCATGTCAGTTAGACCCCATGGTAGCAAGTATGCCCTCACGCCTGTGTGCAGTTACTGCAGCTGCCACCCTAATTGGCAAAGGCGGTACTCTTATATTAGAATCCTCCATTTACCTCTATGTTCCCCCTACTATGTCTGTCTGCTTTCTTATAAGTTTATAAAACACAGCACCTCTCTACATGATGACCGACCACTTCAGAAAAGCCCTGTTAACCATCCCTCCATCACGTTACATCACTGTAACACTTTAAATCCAGCTACTCTACCACCTCTCCCTGCTAATGAAGAGCTTCACTCCATTTCTCATCATTGCCTTAACACTGTAGAAATGGTCTCAAAGCCACGAGCAAACCTCTTAGCTACCCCTTTGGACAACCCAGACTTACTTCTGTTTTGTGATGGCTCTTGTAGATGAAATTGCCAAGGAAACATAACAACTGGCTAGTTTTCCCACATGAAACACTTGAGGTGTGCTCTTTGCTCATTGTAAGATCAGCCCAAGCTGCTGAACCGATAGCTGTCACTCAAGTTTGCACACTGGCAAAAGAAAAAATGGCCACTCTTTACACCGACTCCAGATATGCCTTTGGAGTCTGCCATACTGTTGGCATAATCTGGAAATGCCTTGAATTTTTAACTTCTGCTGGTGCTTCTATTGCCAATGGGCATATAATTGTTGATCTATTACAGGCTATTTTCCTCCCTACTAAAATTACTGTTGCTTATTGTTCAGCCCATACTAAGGAGTCTGGTATTGTATCTCTTGGGAACAATAGGGCTGACAAGGCTGCTAAATACACAGCCAAAAATGTGCCACCTTTTTTTTTTTATATCTAGTTTCTAAACCTGCCTTTATCTCTAGCTGATACTATTGATTATCAGGCAGATGCTCCATGATCTGAAAAGACAAATGGATACAAAAGCATTCAAAACAATGATCAGATGGATTATACATTGGGCCAAAAGGATTTCCTATGGCCCCCATTCTTTCAGCCTTTTGGCTTGCACTTGTCTCCCATCAAATGGGATGTATGTGCAGATGGAGGATAGTTAAGGACCCAAAAGATAAATGGGCACCAGGTGTGGTGGCTCATGCCTGTAATCCCCGCACTTTGGGAGGCCGAGGTGGGTGGATCACCTGAGGTAAGGAGTTCGAGACCAGCCTGGCCAACATGGTAAAACCCCATCTCTATTAAAAATGCAAAAAATTAGCTGAGAATGGTGGCGGGCACCTGTAATCTCAGCTACTTGGGACGCTGAGGCAGGAGAATTGCTTGAACCGGGAGGCGGAGGTTGCAGTGAGCCAAGATTGTGCCATTGCACTCCAGCCTGGGCAACAACAGCGAAACTCCGTCTCCAAAAAAAAAAAAAAAATTATAATTGGTTCTGCCCTGGCACCCACAAAATTTCTGACCGAATTATTTCCCAGCATACTGCTTGTAAATCTCACCAAATTTCTGTAGGAAACCAATATTCCTCAGGAAGTCCTTGAGGCCTACATTGCCTCTTGTGGCACTCCAAGTGGATTTCATAGATTTACCTCCAGCTTTAGGCTATTCTCACTGTTTGCTTATTGTTTCTATGTTTAGTGGATAGACTGAACGCCATCTGACTAGACGTGCTGATGCCACGACAGTGGTGAATAAATGAATAAGATTATTCTTTGTTTTGGCATTCCTTTATGAATTGAGTCAGACCAAGGAATTCATTTTATAGCAGAAATAAACCACTTGCTTGCAAAAACTTTGGGATACTCATTAAAATTTCATACCCTGATCATCCCTTATCCTCAGGGCAAGTGGAACAGAAAAAGCTAGACATAAAAAGGACTTTGGGGAAAGAAGCATTGGAGGGACTGGGTTGTTTTCACTGCCCTAGTGAGCATGAGCTTGTGTGTGGTGTGGGGAGGGCTTTAGGAGCTGAGGCAGCTGGTGCTTGGTGGGGGTGGGGGAACCACAGTCCACCAGAAAAAGCAGATAAAGTATAAGTTCCCCCACATCTTTAAAAAAAGATTTTATTTAAAAATTTTTTAGAGATAGGGTCTTGCTCTGTCACCCGGGCTGGAGTGCAGTGGTGTGACTTTGACCTCCTGGGCTCAAATGATCCTCCTACCTCAGCCTCCCAATAATTAGGACTACAGGCACGTACCACCACACCCAGCTAATTATTTTGTTTTTTATACAGATGGGGGTCTTGTTATGTTGCCCAGGCTGGTCATGAACTCTTGCTGCCTCGGCCTCCCAAACTGTTGGGATTACATGCCCATGTGAGCCACCATGCACAGTCTCCCACGCTTACTTAATCAAGTCTTCAAGTAACAGAAGCCTCACCTTCATATGGAGACAAGTGGTGAGTTACTGGCCCATCTGAATGACTTACTGTTTGTTCATTGATTAGCAGAAGAGTCCAGGACAAATGCCTGTGAGAATAAATGTGGAGTCATCAAAAAGGAGCATGTACCGGCTGCAGCACAGGGAATTCTACAGAACAGAGGCTCAAAATCAACACATTCTTGAAAATTGTATGATGCATTATCTTAGATGGTAACAGGTTGTAAAAGCACTTTTTATGAATCAGCTAATATTGTGGATTATTAAAATATTGGCTAGGTAGAAACAAAAAATTTTAGGAAAATTCTATCAAGAGACTGCACTGAAATGGCCAGAAGCGTTCCCCTAAATACATAAAACCTGTAATACTTGAAATAGAAGGCATGAATTTACCCCTTTGGAAACAATACTTGGTTGTTCTATGCCTACTGGTATCTCTAAGCCTTCTATTCTTGAATTGAGTGAACCATTATGGAGACTTAAGTGAACAATTCGATGCTATGACTAGTTATATACAGGAACTGACAAGTATACTTGGAGCATATCAACAGGTAAAAATGACACAGCCAGCCTCTGCCAACTGACAATGCTTGCCATCTCTTTTGACGAGGAGATCTATGTACATCAAGGTTTTTAGAAGACATTACCTAGCTAGGAAGGACCTTATGAAGTACTGCTAACAACTTATGCCGCTATCTAAATAAAATAAAAATCCTCATGGATTCCTGCAAGCCATGCTAAGCTAGGTCAGCACTCTTAGGACAATTGAGAGACCCCAGATCAGCACTCTCAGGACAATTTGGAAGACCATCCCTGCAAGTGACCTTAAAGTAAGGATTTCCAGGGTTAATCCCCAGGCTCAGGAAGCAGACAGCATCATGAAGTAGACAATTTTTTCCCAAGGTCATTAAGAAACTTCACTTCCACCGATTTTCTCCCCCATTATGTCTCCTTACTCCAAAACAAAAACAAAAATACCTCTTCCTTTTAATGAAGACTCCTTTTCTTTGGCCATTTATTTAAAGGCTGACTGGAGATTGCGCGTCTCTATCTATCCTGTTTTCACTCTGACTCTCCGCTATGGGCTCTCTTCCAAACTCTATTATGCTTTTATAAACTCTTCCAGTTTTCTCAATAGGCCAAGCAGAAACCTGACATCCTCCTACACCAGTTTCCCAAACCCTGGCATATTAGTTAATCAGATTGCTGTCTATGTCCAACATCTAGATCACACAAAAGAACCTGAACTAGGCCAGGCACGATGGCTCATGCCTGTAATCCCAGCACTTTGGGAAGCCAAGGTGGGCGGATGACTTGAGGCCAGGAGTTCGAGACCAGCCTGGCCAACATGGTGAAACCCTGTCTCTACTAAAAATACAAAAATTAGCTGCCGTGGTGATGCATGCCTGTGATCCCAGCTGCTTGGGAGGCTGAGGCAGGAGAATCGCTTGAACCCAGGAGGCAGAGGTTGCAGCGAGCCAAGATTGAGGCACTGTACTTCAGCCTGGATGACAGAGCAAGACTCCGTCTCAAAAAAAAAAAAAAAAAAACCTGAACTAATTTTAATTCCTGCCAAGGAATGACAGGTACTTGCAAAAAGCTGGTAGACCAAGACTGGAAAATAGATCTATGACAAGATACGGCATTTATCACCAAGAAAACAATGTCACTCTACTTCTCCTCTTGGTGAGTTACTTGGATATGGAAAAACTTTCAGGGAAGCTCAAGGACTGTCCTTTGCTCAGGTAAAGCCATTAGAAGGGAATTTTCCCCTTTGTCTTGAAAACAGGAGTGGTACTGGGCCTTTCCTGTGTGACATACCAAGGCAAGACATACCCTGTGGTTTGATTTCACAGGCAGCATCCTCAAGCCTCTTATGAAGGTCATAAATGGTCCTGACACTGACTCTTACGGTACAAACACTTGTCAAATTACCAGATGTTACAGCTGAACCACAAGCCACCCTTGTGTAACCTGGGGTAGCTCATCTGCTTTCCACATTAGGCTGCCAAGCAAGCTGGTGACCCA
This sequence comes from Homo sapiens, assembly GCF_000001405.40. Taxonomy (NCBI): domain Eukaryota; kingdom Metazoa; phylum Chordata; class Mammalia; order Primates; family Hominidae; genus Homo; species Homo sapiens. The sequence goes on from NC_000014.9 coordinate 53,025,461, forward strand.
TGAAAGCTGGTTGGTGGCATAGTTTGAAGACCTGAGAGCCACAGAGCCAATGGTGTGTATTCCACTGTGGATCTAAAGACCTGGGAACCAGGCGTACTGAGGGCAGGAGAAGATAAATGCCTCAGCTCAAGCAGTCAGGCAGAGGGAGTGAATCCTTGTTTTCTCTACTCAGGCCCTCAATGGATTGGATGGTGCACATTCACATTGCGGAGAATAATTTCCTTTACTCAGTCTGTCAATTCAAATGCAAATCTCTTCTGGAAATACCCTCATAGGCACACCCCAGAAGTCATATTTAACCAGATATTTGGGCATTCCATGATCAAGTCAAGGTGACACATCAAATTAACTGTCACAGGATCTGACAAAACTTTTCTTAATATCTCTTATTTAAGTGGCAGGATGGAGGTCTGTGTACTGGGTTATTCAGCAATTAAGAGGACCATAGCTGGTTGGTTAGCCATTTCCTTAAGATTAATGTATGTTCTTTAAATCAGAGGAAAGCCTGGTTACAATGATTGCTTCTGACCCTATCCTGTGCAATTCTTTAAGTCTGGAGAAGCACAAAAGACTATCTAAAAAAGTGTGTAGCAGCAGAAACCTGGAAATGTAAGCTCACTGGATGGCAAAATCACTGGATTCTCAACTGATGAGCCCAAATTAACAAAGTGAAAATTTAAATATTATATATATACATATATATATATATATATATATTTTTTTTTTTTTTGAGACAGGATCTTGCTCTGTTGCCCAGGCTGGAGTGCAGTGGCAAGACCTCTGCTCAGTGCAGCCTCAACTTTCCGGGCTCAGGTGATCCTCCCACCTCAGCCTCCCGAGTAGCTGGGATTACAGGTGTGTGCCACCATACCTGGCTAAGTTTTTAATTTTTTTTTTTAGAGATGGGGATTTGCCATGTTGCTCAGGCTTGTCTCAAACTCCTGGGCTCAAGTGATCCACCTGCCTTGGCCTCCCAAAGTGCTGGGATTATGGCATGAGCCATTGTGCCTGGCATATAATAGATATTCATAATTCAGGTGGTCCAGCATCCAAACCCTTTTATTTATTTATTTATTTATTTATTTATGTATTTATTTAGAGACAGAGTCTTGCTATGTCACTCAGGATGGAGTGCAGTGGTGCGATCACAGCCCACTATAGCCTTGATCTCCTAGGCTCAAGTGATCCTCCTACCTCAGCCTCCTGAGTAGCTCGAACTACTTGTGTGTACCACCACTCTTGCCTTTTTTCTTTGTAGAGACTAGGTCTCACTGTGTTGCCCAGGTTGATCTTGAACTCTTGGACTCAAGTGATCCTCCTGCCTTGGCCTCTCAAAGTGCTGGGATTACAGGTTTGAGCCACTGTGCCCAGCCTAAACTCACTTTATATGTGCATGTATTACTTGCAAATTATTCTAGCTTCTATGTGGAATGTTGAGAATTTAAATACTTGAGGATATTTTGCATTTGTGAGAAATAAAAATATTGAAGGTAATTAAATCCTTTTGTTAGCCTGTATGAGGTTGGTGCAAAAGTAATCGCAGTTTTTGCCATTGAAGGTAATGGCAAAAACCGCAATAACTTCTGCACCAATCTAATACATAAACTGGTTCTACAACTCCCAGGATCCATTGGCATCAAGAATTGAGAGAAGTTGTGGGGAAATGGAGGCCTTCTTACCTTTAACTCTCCTTGGCACAGCACAAAGGACCAAGGCTTCTCCCTGGGAAATACAATCTGGGTACTCAGTACTGGCAGGATTTAGAGTCAAACAAGAGCTTCATTCAGGCTAATGAGAGTTGGTACAAGTAATATTGCTGTAAGGATTCTTCTGACTACTGAGCATGCATATTAACCAGCTTAACTTTTGTTCCTTGTTTTTGCAGTTACAGCAAGTGATCTGGTTTAAGCCATCTTCCCTACTCCTTTTCCTGTTTTGTGACACGTATTTCTGTAGGCTGATTGAGCTGCACCAATAGAACAGGCTGTGAACTCCTAAGGTGGGAGTAGGGAGGTGGAAGGAGAGAGGCTTGGCTTCTTGAGTTTTCTGTATCACCTCGGACAATTGCAAGCACATAGGAAATTACTGTTGGATTGAATTGAACCAAACTGGAATGGAACTAACTGACCCGTAAGATGAAAACCACATACAAACAAGGAATGCTTGTGTTGGGGTTCAGAAAAAGATCCCTAAAATATGATACTTTGACATGCTGAACTAAAGAAGAAGCCTCAAGGTCTCTCTGACCTCCCTGCCCGCTTCTCTTTCAATACTCTCTCTCTCCCAAAGCACAGGATGTAGCTGTTCTTGGAAGTTCCCTTATCTACCTAGAAACTGGACCCATGAAAGAGAAACACAACTGTCTTTGATCCCCTCCCTGAAATTTCATAAACCAGAGATTAAAACTCGTATCACCAAGGAAGAGGCTGAAAATTAAACACCACATCTAGAGCTCAGCTGAACTTTTTTCCAAACTATTTTCTGTTCTCTGGCTCCATTAAATTCCCCCAAATAATTATTTGATAGTCATTGTCTGAGCATTGGACCCATTCATTTCCCCTAAAAATAATTTATTACCTGCTATAGTTTGGATATTTGACCCTCCAAATTTCATGTTGAATTTTTTTTTTTTGACAGAGTCTCACTTGCTGCTCAGGCTGGACTGCAGTGGCACGATCTTGGCTCACTGCAACCTCCACCTCCCAGGTTTGAGCAATTCTCTTGCCTCAGCCTCCTGAGTAGCTGGGACTACAGGCGCACACCACCATGCCCAGCTAATTTTTGTATTTTTAGTATGGACAGGGTTTCACCATGTTGGCCAGGCTGGTCTCGAACTCCTGACCTCAGGTGATCTGCCCGCCTTGGCCTCCCAAAGTGCTGGGATTACAGGCATGAGCCACCGTGCCTGAACTTCATGTTGAAATTTTATCCCCAATGTTGGAGGTAGGGTTTAATGGGAGGTGTCTGGGTCATGGGATGGATCCCTCATGAATGTCTTGGTGCTGTCCTTGAGGTAATGAGTGAGTTCTCGCTCTATTAGCCCTCAAGAGAGTTTCCCCAAGAGCTAGTCGTTCAAAAGAGCCTGGCATCTCCCTCCCATCTCCCTTGCTTTCTCTCTCATCATATGATCTCTGCACACTGGTTTTCCTTTGCCTTTCACCGTGAATGGAAGCAGCCTGAGGCCCTCACCAGAAGCTGAGCAGGTACCAGTGACATGCTTCTTGTACACCCTGCAGAACTGTAAGCCAAATAAACCTCTTTTCTTTGTAAATCACTCAGCCTTGGGTATTCCTTTATAGCAACACAAATGGACTAAGACACTACCCCTCAGAATGGCCATATTTTCCCCATCTCCTTTTCCCCCATGAAGGAGAGTATATAAGCATATGGACCTCATTGGGTTATTAATCATTCTCCTGCAATTCCCCTGTGCTTATGCATATTAAATAAACATGTATACCTTTTTCTCCGAATAATCTGCTTATTGTCATTCATTTTCAGTGAACCTTTAGAGGGTAAAGGGGAAACTTTCCCTTGGTCTCTACACTTGCTAGATATCTAAACAATTAAATTAATAGATAAAGCAACTTTGGACAGGGAGAGAAACTGGAAATGTGTTTTTCCTTGATCTTCACATTATAGCCTGAACTATTGTATAATAATTTATTAAGAATTAAGGGATGCCAGGCGCTGTGGCTCATGCCTATAATCTCACCACTTTGGGAGGCCGAGGCTGGTGGATCGCCTGAGGTCAGGAGTTTGAGACTAGCTTGGCCAACATGGTGAAACCCTGTCTCTACTAAAAATACAAACAATAAGATGTCAGCTGAAGCACCTTTTCCTTTGAAATTCAAAGAAAATTAGCTTGAACTCGTGTCCCTCCTCAGGAAAATCTGGGTGATTTATGCATTTTCCAGTTACCTCAGTATTTGGAGAATTAATTTTATTTATATTTATTTTAGAGATAGAGTCTCACTATGTTCCCCAGGCTGGACTTAAGATCCTGGGCTCAAGCAATCTTCTTGCCTCAGCCTCCCAAGTAGGTGGGACTACAGGTGTGTGCCACTGTGCCTCCCCACGTGCTGTTACTCTCCTGTATTGCTTTGTCCCAACTGAGGACTCTCAGCCTTTCCGCCCTTAACCCCCTCAAAACAATAATACTCACACAAGGCATTTGTGTATGAAACTAACTTTACTAAAGGCTGCTTGGTTTCCCTCTCCCTTTTCACAGCTTTTTACTTTTTCTTTTCACATGCTCCTATCTTAAACTTACCTGCTTCTATGATTCTCTGCCCTTCACTTTACTTCCTTCTTTATACGCAGAACTATTTTTAAGTTTGAGGTACATGTGCAGGTTTGTTACATAGGTAAACCTGTGTCATGTGGGTTTGTTGATACAGATTATTTCATCACCCAGGTATTAAACCCAGTTCCCATTAGTTATTTCTCCTGATCCTCTCCCTCCTCCAACCCTCACCCTCCACCCTCTGCTAGGCCTCAGTGTGTTGTTCCTCTGTGTGTGTCCATATGTTCTCATCATTTAGCTCCCACTTATGAGAACATGTTGTATTTGGTTTTTCTGTTCCTGCACTAGTTTGCTAAGGATAATGGTCTCTAGCTCCATTCATGTCCCTGCAAAGGACGTGATCTCATTCTTTTTATGGCTGCATAGTATTCCATGGTGTATATGTACTACATTTTCTTTATCCAGTCTATCATTGATGGGCATTTAGGTTGATTCCACATCTTTGCTATTGTGAACAGTGCTGCAATGAACAGACACATATATGTGTCTTCATGATGGAATGATTTATATTCCTTTGGGTATACATCCAGTAATGGAACTGCTCGGCCAAATGGTAGTTCTGTCTTTAGGTCTTTGAGGAATCACCACGCTGTCTTCCAAAATGGGTGAACTAATTTACACCCCCACCAACAGTGTATAAGCATTCCTTTTTCTCCACAACCTCACCAGCATGTTATTTTTTGACTTTTTAATAATAGCCAGTACAGAACTATTTTGATTCTTCTTTTCCAGACCGGCCCTGTCCTATCCCAAAACTCATTAGTGTGTTTTCCAAAACAATGGCTCATCTAAGGAATATGAACCTTGAGCTATAAGGAGAATTGCAGTCAAAGGCCTTTCTTTTCAGCCTTTCTGAAGAAGAGCATGGGGACAGATAGTTAAATCATCCTACTTTTAAAGATTGATCCTTTATTCCTCTAATTCTGAGTAAGGCATTTCTTTCCTAATCTCACATCCTACAATCTCCTATCTGCCTCTGGGATAGTAATCATATTAATATTGCTCAATACTCTCAAAAGAATAAGGAACATTTAAGTTCCTTGGTATGTAGACTAGTATGTAAAGTTATCAGATTATGCCTGTTATTTCTGCTACTAATGTTTTTTGTTTCTTAAAAAATAAAACACACTTTTGAATAGGTAACTCATGCATACAATTAAAAATTCAAAAGGCATAACAAACTGCATATAGCTAAAAGCAAGCATACCTTCTACTCCTGTCCCTCAGTTATCTAATTCTCTTTTGCAGAGGTAACCACTAAGAGTAATTTCTGGTTTGATCTTTCAGAGGTATTATATCCTATGTCTTCCTGACTGCCTATAAATGGCATAAATTCTAAACACTCTACACTCTACATTCTATACATCCTGTTTTGCATTTGGGTTTTCACTTAACCACATAGCTTGGGGACTCTGCCATACCTGTACATATAGAACTGCCTTATCTTTAATTTCTTTAATCTATACACAATTCCACCTTATAGAGGTACCATAATTTCTTTAGCTAATCCCAATCAATGGAATTTATATTGCTTTTAATATTTTGCTGTCAGTAACAATTCTGTAACTAATTACTTTATATGTAAGTCATTTTTCAGGAGTGGTAATATTTGAAGGACAGATTTGTAGAAGCAGAATGGTTGGGTTAAAGGGTATGGGCATTTTCAGCTTTGATAGATATTGCCAAACTGCCCTCCAAAAATGTTGTACCTATTCACATTTCCACCAGCAAATGTTTGGGAGTAACTTTCCTTGTACCCTCACCAACAGAGCATGTTATAAAGCCCTTAGAACTTTGTCACTCTTATAGGTGAAAAGTGGTACCTCACTCATTTTTTTCTTAGGCTCTTCTTATAAATGATTTGAAATGCCTTTATCATATACTAAAATTGGCTATGTATCTGACATATTTCTGGGCTTCCTCATCTATTCTATTGGTCTCTCTTGTCTCTTCATACACTATTACTATAGTGTTTTGGTCACAATAGCATTATACTATGTTTTACTATCTAGTGGGCTAATTGTCCTCATTACTCTTCTTTCCCCCTTGGAAATTTCCTGAATATTCTTATTTTTTCTATACAATTTTAAGACACAGCTTGCCCAGTTCCAAAAAAGATCCTGTTGCATTTTTGAGATTGTATCATATGAACAGATTATTTCAGATACTATTACTCACTTGGTAAAGCTTACTGTTGAAGCTTACCATTTGTCCATATATTTTGAGTTACATCTTCCTTATGCTTATCACAACAGTGATGCCTTACATAAAATGTTATCTTATTAATTCTTTATAACCACCTTGGGAAACAGGTAGGGTAGTTAGAAGATTAGGCATTAGCTCAAGATTATATATGATAGACCATCCTAATCCAGTTTTATGTCTACTACATTGTAATACTTCCACAGAGATTTCATACAAATTAAAAAGACAAAACAGACTTTCCTACTAAGGGTTCTATTTTCCTATTGCAAAAAGCCAGCAATATGCAAGTACAATTCTGCAGTGTACTTCTTGTGTGACAATCTGTGGCCAAGCACTGTGGAATGCATTCCAATCAGGGATTAACAATCTCAAAAGAATGTTGAAACCAGAGTTGGCTTGAATGTTGTACAATGACACCAAGGATCTTGGCCCACTTCCCAGGTTTTCCCTTTTTGGTTTTCTAGCAAGTTCGATTATGCCTGGGAATTTGTGGAATATGGCACTTGGATCAGTGACTTCCTGAATATGACATTGAGATCAATGGCATTTGTCTGCCTGAAAGATTTTGGACTATGATTTTTAGATATATTGCAGTTATAAATAAGTTCTCTGTTGAAATGGTACTCAGGAAGCCTTGACACAGGGTGCAAAGAGGAAGAGGAGTTTGTGAATTGCTTATGGAAGGCAGAGATCTTGAAAGAAAGTTCTTTTGTGAATAGTGAGTTGCATACTTGGGCACACTGACATTTCAGCTGGAGGATCTTCAAGTCTTTAAAAAAAGATCGAGTGGATTAAAATCTATCTTTAATGCCTCATTTGACAAATGGGCACTCACCAAGGGTCAGCCAAACCGTTATAAACTGGGAGGTCCTTCTTACCATCGCCCTAGTTCAGTTGAGAGCTGACAAAGAGCCTGCATTAGTTACTGAATTATTTTTGAGGATAAACTTATGTGTTGACTTGAGTGTATTTTTGGATTACATTTCCAAAACAAATAATGCATTCATCATTTCATTGTAGTCAAACTTTTCTCAATGCCATGAGTAATTAAGAGCTGACTTAAATTTTTTAAGATGTATAGCAGTATGATATACATACCTAGGTAAGTCTGAGTTTCCTGCCACCATATAAATGAGAACATTCTTTAGCTTGTCCCTCTGCAAAAAGACTACTGTTTTCTAAACTAGAATGTTATGCAAGAATCTGAACAGCATACAGTTTACTGAAAGCTCAGCCTGTACAGTGACAACCAAAAAGTAGGACAAAGGTTAAAAGCAAAAACTTGGGGCAAGTTCTAAGCAATAAAGTTAAAGGCATATGGATGATAAAATATTTACCAAAGCAGAGACCAGGCTGTAAAATCTGGCTAGTAAAAGTGTAAAGATGAGCTGTGATTGACATGGCTATTCAATTCAATGATCTCACTGGTTTCTTGAGCATTAAGAATGTTGCCAAAATCATGAAATTAGACCTCTTTGAACAGAGAAGAGGTGGCGTGATGGTGTAATATATCATTTGCCTTTTATTCCCACTATAAAGGCAACACCTCAAGCTATAAATATTAACTATTTGTACATGAGAAATTATTGAAAGGTGAAGCAAAGCTAAGTAAAGGAAGGGGAACATCACACTCCGGGGACTGTTGTGGGGTGGGGGGAGGGGGTAGGGATAGCATTAGGAGATATACCTAATGCTAAATGACAAGTTAATGGGTGCAGCACACCAGCATGGCACATGTATACATATGTAACTAACCTGCACATTGTGCACATGTACCCTAAAACTTAAAGTATAATAATAAAAAATAAATTAAAAAAAGGTGAAGCAAAATAGGCAGCGAAAAGAAACTGTTACATTAAATTAAGCATAAAGCATTATCAAGTTAGGAGAGCATTTTCAATTCTAGGAAAATGACCTAACACAGATTTCATGATTCTCCACATACATTTAGTTTTTAGAGACAGGGTCTTGCTCTATTGTCCAGGCTGGAGTGCAGTGGTGCAATCATAGCTCACTTGCAGCCTAGGACTCCTAGACTCAAGTGATCCTTCCACCTCAGCCTCCTGAATAGCTAGGACTACAGGTGTGTGCCATCATACCTAGCTAATTAAAAAAAAAAAATTGTAAAGAGGAGGTCTTGCTATGCTGCCCAGGCTGGTCTTGAAGGCCTGGGCTCATGTAATCTTCTTGCCTTGGCCTTCCAAAGTGCTTAGGATTTCAGGCGTGGCCACCACATGTGGCAGATTGTCCTTATATTAATAGAATTTGTCTCAACTGAGTTATATGAGGAATACTTTTTTCAAACAGTGACCATGCTGAGTTTTAACATGTGCCTTAAGTATCATTAAGTGCTGTGGTTACAAGACTCAGCAAATCTCAGATAAACGGAAATCTGAGTCTGACAAGCCTCTCAGAGAAACGTAAAACATGATTCCAAAACTAAAGGGTATTCCAGTTCCTTTTGATGACAATTTTTAAAATTTAAGATTTGTGGACTCGTTAAGGACCTCTGTATAGCTAATAATCTGAGTCTTAGTTTTATATACATATATACATACATAAATAAAACATATAACATATATATGACATGCATGCCACATATATGTCATATATGTGTGATTCTGAAGAACCTTTGAAAGATTTCAGGGTCTTTATTCTGGAAAAGCCTTCACACTCTTAAAAATGTGGCTCCAGGATGATTATGACATTATAATACAGGATATTTTCAGACTTAAACCTGGGGAGTGTGAATTGAACCATTCCTAGGACTATGTTATTCCTAGATAAGAATATTTAGCTGTTGCATGTACTGGAAGGAATACAGGTTAAGATTATACTCATTGGGCAACTCACTTGTCAAGATACCAACCATTCTGCTCAAAGCCCAGAAGAGGCAAAACAGGAAGTGATCACCTTGGTTTCTTCTTCCATGTGAAAGGTTTCTCTCTTTTCCACTTGTGCACACTGTAGTTATTTTACTAGCAACTGAGATCACTAGCAGGGAAGTAGGCTAGACTTTTGGCTGAGTTACAATTTTCAGGCCTCTACATACAGACATTTATGTGGAGTCTGGTCTCAAGGCCCATCTAGAAGGCGTTCCCACACATTAAGCTGGGAGAGGCAGCAGAGTACAGGATTAAGCATAGACATATCACGGCTCCACCGCTATCTCATAGCTGTGTGGCTGTGGTTACCTAACCTTTCTGTGCCTTAGTTTCTTTGTGGAAAGTTAAGAGCTAACAACAGTATTTCCCTCATAGGGGTATTGTGGACATTAAATGAGGGGATGTATCTAAAGCACCTACAGTGCCAGGTATAGCAAACCTTCAGTAATGTTAACAGTGATCTTAATACAAGCTGCACAATTAAGGATTTAATAAATTTTGCAAGCTAGTAGGCTCTCACTCCTATATACATAGCCACATTCTTAAATATTTTTACAGTTGACGGGGAAAAATGAGAATTCTTTGTAACAGGTGGTGTTAGCAAATATTTAAAGCCACTGATCTTGTTGAGAAAAATGCTCAGCCTTTGATGTATCAGCAATGAGTGTTCTCTATTTTGGCATTACTATAAGGAGCCAGACTCGGCCCCTAAATAAGATGCCCCAGTAGTCTCCGTTGCTTAAGTAACTTTCCACCATTACTATCTGTGGGAGGGGTTTCTCTCCCACATTAGTTCCCTCTTCACTGTGTTGTGGTTTTCTCTCCCCATAGAAATCATTTTTAGTACATCAGCCACACCTTAAAATGCGCTTATATACTGGTAGAAACTGGTGATCCTTAGCCTTCCAAATAGTTGCATTCCTAAAGTTAATAGCTATTTATTTAAAACTTGGAATACATTCCATTCCTTATAAACAAAACAACAAAATGTTTTAGTATCCCTCACAAAAGCAAATTAATTGATCAACCACCATTTTCCACAAACCTCATCTTTTTCTCCTTTGTTTTCCCTTCCATTTTATTTCAGTTGCAGAATGAGTGAATCATAAATTACTGTCTAGCTTAGAGACAAAATAGTCTGCAGCTGGAAGGCATTGAGAAAGCACTGGGAATGTGTCTTTTTTCCAGCTGCAACTCATTGCTGACTCCAAAATAAGTGAAAGTTCAATACATGGAAGTTTCTGGGGTGAGGGGACAGCAAATGCAAAGGTAGAGAGGGGCAAACACGCACCGTTATGTTTAGGGAACAGCACAGGGCAAGCAGGAAATACTTCTTGGTTTATGTAGGAAACTGCCACTGAGTTACTATGGGACCAAGTTGGGGAATGCCTGCAATTATAAATATTTTGTTAGGCATTTTAGCACAGGTTAATGTAACAGTTTTTTAAAATAGCACACCCCAGTTCTGCATTCAAGTTCACCCTGACATATAATTTCTACTCTTCTGCCCTGCCCCACAAGCTACTAATTTTGCTTTCTTTGGCTGTGGAAAAAGGAATCTTCCTTTTGTCTGAGCCGTTTGGTTCCAGGTAGGGTTTGCCCTTTCTCAAGGCTTCTCCCAATTCAGCAATTCTCATTATTTTGGTCACAGAATTGCCCATGAAGGCAAAGATTTTTGTATTTTTAAAACTCATGGTTATTCCCAGTACTTAGAGCCTGGTGTATATACTGGTGTAGATATAATTCAGTAAATTTAAGCACCTATGATGTACTGTGGAGGGTCTGGTGATGATTAGGATTGCTCCCCACCTTTAAAGAGCTTACACACACAAGTGGGAGACTGTAATCAAACCCCAAATCAAGGCAAAATGAAACCAGTGCAATTATTGAGAAACATATTGCTTTTGTGTTTTTTAATAAAAAATATTTCAACTTTTCATTTAGAAACAGTGGGTAAATGTGCAAGTTTGTTACAAGGGTATATTGTGTGATGCTGAGGTTTGAGGTACAGATCCCATCACCCAGGTAGTGAGCATAGTACCCAATAGGTAGTTTTTCAACCTATCCTTCTGCCCTCCTCACCCACAGTGTTCCAGTCTGCAGTGTCTGTTGTTCCCACCTTTGCATCCTGAGGTACTCAATATTTAGCTCCCATTTGTTAGAACATGCAGTACTTGGTTTTCTGTTCTTAATTTGCTTAGATTATGGCTTCCAGCTGTATCCATGTGGCTGGCTGCAAAGGACATGATTTTGTTCTTTTTATGGCTGCCTAATACTCCATGATTTATATGTACCACATTTTCTTTATCCAGTCCACTGTTGATGGGCAGCCACGTTGATCTGTCTTTGCTACTGTGAATAGCACTGTGATGACCATATGTGTTTTTGGTAGAAGGATTTATTTCCTTTTGGGAAATAAACCCATATGCTGGGTTGAATGGTAGATCTGTTTTAAGTTATTTGAGAAATCTCCAAACTGCTTTCCACAGTGACTGAACTAATTTACATTCCCACAACAGTGTATAAATGTTCTCTTTTCTCTGAAACCTTACTGGCATGTTATTAGACTTCTTTACAATAGCCATTCTAACTGGTGTGAGATGGTATCTTATTGTGGTTTTGATTTGCATTTCTCTGATGATTAGTGATGAGCATTTTTTCACGTTTGTTGATTGCTTGTATGTCTTCTTTTGAGAAGTGTCTGTTCATGTCCTTCACCCATTTTTTAATGGGGTTGTTTTTTGCTTGTTAAGTTCCTTATTGATTCTGGATGTCAGATCTTTGTTGGATGTCTAGTTTGCAAATATTTTCTCCAATTCTGTATGTTGTCTGTTTACTCTGTTGATAGTGTCTTTTGCTGTGCAGAGTGCTTTAATTAGGTCCCCACTTGCCAATTTCTGTTTTGTTGCAATTGCCTTTGGGGACTTAGCCAAAAGTTCTTTGCCAAGGCTGATGTTGATAAGGGTATTTCCTAGGTTTTCTTCTAGGATTTTTACAGTTTGAGGTCTTACATTTAAATCTTTAATCCATCTTGAGTTAATTTTCATATACGGTGAAAGGTGGGGGGTCCAGTTTCATTCTTCTGCATAGGGCTAGCCAGTTATCCCAACACCATTTATTGAATACGGATAAAATCCAACATCCCTCATGATAAAACCCCTCAACAGACTAGGTATCAAAGGAACATATCTCAAAATAATAAGAGCCATCTACAACCAACCCACAGACATCATACTGGATGAGCAAAAGCTGGAACTATTCCTTCTGAGAACTGGAATAAGAAGAGGATGCCCAGTCTCATCGCTCCCATTCAACTTAGAGCAATCAGGCAAGAGAAATAAATAAAAGGCATCCAACTGGGAAAAGAAATCAAACTAGCTCTCTTCGCTGATATGATTTTATACCTAGAAAACCCCGAAGACTCTGCCAAAAGCTCCTAGACTGATAAACAACTTTAGTCAAGTTTCAGGATACAAAATCAATGCACAAAAATTAGGAGCATTTCTATACACCAATAACGTTCAAGCTGAGAGCAAATCAAGAACCCAATACCATTTACAATAGCCATAAAAAAACTGAAATACTTAAAAATACACCTAACCAAGGAGGTGAAAGATCTCTACAAGGAGAACTACAAAACATGGCAGAAAGAAATCAGGGATGAAACCAAAAAATGGAAAAACATTCCATGTTCATGGATTGGAAGAATCAATATAGTTTAAAAATGGCCATACTGCCCAAAGCAATTTACAGAATCAATGCTGTCCTATCAAACTACCAACCTCATTTTTCACAGAGGTTGGAACATTTTCACAGAATTAGAAAACAACTATTCTAAAATTCAGATGGAACCAAAGAAAGAGCCTGAATAGCCAAAGCAACCCAAAGCAGAAAGAACAAAGCCAGCAGCATCACACAGATGTGGCTTCAAACTATAAGACCACAGTAACCAAAACAGCACGGCACTGGTACAATAACAGACACGTAGACCAATGGAACACAATAGAGAACACAGAAATAAAGCTGCACACCTACAGCCAATAGATCTTCAGCAAAGCTGATACAAGCAAGCAATGGGGAAAGGAACACGTTGTTAATGGGGGCTCACAAGCAGTAATTAACTTCAACCAGGGGATCACAAGACATTATCTTCAAAGACAACTTCATTAGGAATGTGGAGGTAATTTTTTGTCAAATGATTATTAATTTGAACTCTTTTGGATCCAAGAGACAGAGACCCACCTCAGAATAGTGTAAGCAAATAAAAGTACAACTGATCTGGAGGTGATACTTGCTTCAGTTCTCCAGGAACTCTTGGCTCATTTCTTGTGTATGCTTCCTTTTCATGGCAGATGCACATAATCCATGTCACAGGAAAGGGTGGAGTTTTGCCATGGATGGCTCCATCCTCATATCACCCCATGTGCCACTGGATTGTGTTTAACAGCCATAGAAGGCTACCTGCATTTCAGGGCCAGCAAATAAAATCCTATGGAAGGCTTCTGCCCTATCTAGTTAGGGTTCTGTGCCTATTTCTTGTCTAATCATTGTGGCTTATGGGGTGGGAAATAAGGTCTGACCTGAGTCATGTACTCATCTCTTGACCATGGTACAGACAGTGCTGATTGAGCTGCTGGTGCTTACAGGGACTCACACAAAGCAGAAAATAATTTTAACAAGGAGCAGGAAAGGATTCAAGACATGGAATTGGCTAGGAGAGGATCCAAAAGGAGGGGAAACAGGATGCTGGGCAGACAAAAACAGGTAGCCAGTACAATAACTAAAATGCAAGCATTTAAAGGCAAATGGAATGTAGTTTGCTGTAACAAAAATATAGTTTGATTGTTGAAGGTAGGCAGTGGAGAAGCAGGCAGGAGAGTCAGGTTGGGCAGGCTGTGGGGAGCCTTGAGTGACAGATGGCATCATCAAAGGGCTTTGGTTGTCATCAGACCTATGTGTCCCTATCCCCTTTCTCATAAACAATGCCTCTGAAATGTCTAAGCTGTCAGACTGTCATGACCATGCACCAATCTCTTTCCTTTCACACATTTACCTTTTCTTTCCCCTCACAGTCCATACGTACACTGTCCCATCTCAATTCTACATGTAGTCCTTATAGCCTGGCCACGTATTTCTCATCTAAGGTCAGCACCACCTCACGGAATTGCACTGAAATTCCTAGACTGTTAAAAAAACAAACACCTAAAACTCGACTTTTAAAGTCACTTTGGTAGCAAAGGTGGGGGAATGGGAAGGTGAGTGGAAAGGTAGTAGGAGTAGGTTTCTATCTGGCACGGGTTCTTGGAGTTAGCCTGAAGACCTCAGAGCTATGGTCACTGACTGAACCCTGGACTGAGAAATTGTGAATGAACCATAATCAGAATATGCCTGTCTTTTCTAATATATAAGTGTACTTTATCCTCTGATGTTCTAGAGGGAGTTGTGGCCACTAGCCTTCCTAGTAGAACGGAATGTGGCAGCCACAGCTGATGCATAGGGAGATCTTTCAATTTTCATAAACTTTTTGGAAGAGTTACCACAAACTGTATGATGAGGATTATTTTCTCCAGAATGCTTAGAACAGCCTAGTCTGAGGTTGCTCACTGTAGGGCACAACTACTTGTTTCGGGTGAGCAAGATAACAAACGGATCAATTCAGCTAGAGAAACACAGTATAATGCAGGAGAAAACATTTACCTCTCACTTCTTTGAAATTATTAAATGTGCATGCACCAGTTCCAGCTGAGAAAATCAGAACTGGACAATGCCAGAATAAAAGTTTAAAGTTTCTGTCATCCAAACTGATCACTGCAGAGAGAAAACAGAAATAATGCATGCTTCAGTAAAACTGAAGATTCTGAGAAAACTAACCTGCTTTGGCTATTGAAAATAAGAGGTAACAAAGGAAAAGAAAAAGCCTGCCTTCAAAGAGTTGTGATTGCAGTCATTGACAACATTTAGTAGTGTTAGAGAGAGTGAACATAAGAAGTCATAGGAGCTGAAAGAAAGGAAACAAGGGTCTCAGGAGAGTTATGGTGCCAGCTGCTTCTGAGAAATGTCCCTATGAGCAAAAATTCTCCATCTTCTTACTGGCAAAGTTGGGATTATGGCAGCCTTAGAACCAGAAAATGGTTATAATTTTTTGTCATGAAGCTCAAAGGGAAACAAAAAGTTTGAGAGATCAAGCAGGGACCGCAGTGGGTGTGGGTACAGTCAAGGGAAGGTATGAGTGACGCTCCTAGATATTCAATGTCTTCCAGGAGAAAGCAGTAAAGGTCAAGTGTTAACATACTTGTTTTTCATCTTACTCCAACAGAAGACCAGATGTAATCTTCCTAAAGAATATTCCCCAACATATCCTGACAACTGTTGGGTGGGGAGGAAGCAAGTTGTACCATGTTACATATAAATGAAAAACCATAAGGTAGCAGACAATACTAAGCATGCACCCGCCCTTATACAAACACAAAGGCAGAGGAAAAGTTCACCCTAACAATCTGCCAATGGACTATTTTTGGGGAATGCACATACATACACACACACACCAAAAAACAAAACAAAACACAATAGTAAAAACTCTTCTCATAGTCTCCAAAAAGGATAGTACTTAAATTTTAAATTTCTGAGTTAACCTATGTTGGAACAGTTTTGGAGGTGACCTATTTGTCATGAATTGATAAAAGGCCCACATAAACACTATGGAAAGGAATGTTAAACATTAGTTAACACTGTGCAACTTGTTTCCTTAAGTTTGCATTTGTCACCAGAATAGAAAACTAACAAAATATTTCCTGGATATCTTATTTTTTTCTTGATTTTCTTTTTGTTGTTTTGTATTTCTTCTTCTTTTTCCTGGGTATTTTGAATCTGAGGCATAAACGGAAGTCTGTCCAGACCTGATAGGGTACTCTTATGAGAGTCTGGAAGAAAGAAGGGACCAACTGCTAACTCAAGCCTACGGCCATGTGTCAGATTAAAGCTTGCTGATGCTTTAATCTGAGCTTAAAGCATCAGATTACAGAGGTGTATGTGTGGAGGGGAGGTTGGGGGACAAAAACAAAGAGAGGCAGTTTCTGCCCTTTAGGAGTAGTTTCCTATCGATTAGGGGAAACAGTCTGGTATAAGACATGGTTGGGAATCAGGGGACTAGGTTCTAATTCTGACTGTCATTCATTGGCCATGTGATTGTATAGGGTGGAATCGGTCACTTACAAAATGAAGGAATCACATGAGGAGGTGAAACTGTAAAACGAAGGAATTAAATGTGATAGCATTTCTCTAGGTAAATGCCAAATTAAAAAATATGGTTAAATAAATTTGGAGGCCCCCACGCAGCACCAGATAGATTCACAGAGCATTTAGTGTAGCAAAGGCTCTCAAAGCCCTGCTGTAAGGGAGATTTTTGAATTTGTCAATTCCTAAACTTAGTTTCTGACATGACACCTGTTAATATTTGCAGAATATTATTGAGAAAAGAATGGTCTCTATGCCCCTTCCAGCTTTAAAATTCCATCATTAATATTTTTTTACTTTACCACTTCCCTCAGTTGTCACTGTATTTAGTTTTTCATGGAGTTTGCTGCCTTTCACTTCACTTTTCATGACCTTTACTGCTATTTAAATGCTGACATGATACTGTAACAGGGTTGGATTAAATGATCTCTAAAAATCTGTACAGACCCGGAAATTTTACAGTTCTTTGAAAACTATCACAAGCATCTACTGAAGACTGAAAGAGAAAGCATATAACCCAGGCTGTCACCAACTTAGCACTAACATTTACTAAATGAGACCTTTGAGATTCTTATGTTTTAAGTTCAGCCAGAGTACCATCAGATTCCTGGCAGAGGCTTGAGGCACAGGAATGACAGCGGAATACAGATAAGGGATAGAAAACTTTAGAATAGCTACAGAGGTCAACTAACCCAAACATAGTTTAGCAAAACTTAGTTTCTTTTTCTAGTATATGATTGCTACGTTCTTTTTTGCTCTGCCTTGATCTTTAATATTTTACGTGTTTTTAGAAGAGCAATTTTAATACATACACTCAAATTAGTTTTCTCGATTGTCCACATGCCTTACTCATTAATTAGCTGAGAAGATAGAAATACCAATCTAATGGATCAAAAAGAAATTTGTCTTCTACTACAGACTTTACAGGAAAATCTTTTGGCTTGATCTGACTCCACTGGAAGGGGCTCATGTACTATCACTGGAATGAACAGAGGCACTAGCTGTGATACGGTACTGACAATTTCTTTTCCTTTTGTCTACTGTCTAGGTGATGCAAAGCTGGAATATGGTGTGTTAAATTTTCTGCAGACTAGGATGCTTCAGCTCCCAATGAGAAAACAGAGAAAAAAGAGACTAAGGATGAATGTTTACATGTCTGAGGCCTTTAGCGTGAGTATTCAGCATGAAGCATGTTCAGTGTGAGTACTTCAAAAGATAACAGATGCCGTTTAACAGAAAGAAGTAAAACGTAAGATTCCTAAGGCTTGCTTCACATACAAAAGAGCAGTTATTAGAACATCCAGTGTGTGTGTGTGTGTGTGTGTGTGTGTGTAAATACATACTTTTTTTTTTTGGATACAGTGTCCAGCTCTGTCACCCAAGGTGGAGTGCAGTGGTGCAATCTTGGCTCACTGAAGCCTTGACCTCCCGGAATCATGCAGTCCTACCGACCTCAGCCTCCTGAGTAGCTGGGACCACAGGCGTCTGCCAACACACCCAGCTAATCTTTGCATTTTTTGTAGAGTCTGGGTTTCACCATGTTGTCCAGGTTGGTTTTCAACTCTTGGGCTCAAGTAATCTTCCCTGCTTGGCCTCCCAAAGTGCTGGGATTACAGGCATGAGCTGCCACACCTGGCCAAAATCCAGTATATTTTTAAATTATGTCCTAAAACACAGAAACACTGGATTATAAACAAGATTACTGTTGAAAAGAAAGTATGAACTAACATAAGGCCTTAGCAAGACTAATTTTAAAGTAAAAATAAAGCAAGATTTAATCTAAGTCTTATTCTAACGGTTAATAATTCTTGGGAAGCTAACTAAAGTTCAGTGATCTAATCAGTACTTGGGAGAATCATCATAGCATGTACACAAAATAGAGAATAAAATTTTAATGGTATCAAAAACAAAACTTTTTTTGGCCGATTTAGTACTTGCTGGAATAAAGTTGCAAAATGTTACTCAGTAACTGACTTAGCTTCTAATCAAGCCAGAATGACACACAGTCTGTATATTAATTAAGTATATACAAATACATCCAATGTTAACATGCACAGACATAGAAACAAGGATACTACAAAACCGAAATCACCATCTCTACTGATGAAAAATGAACTGAAAACAAAACATCCATCCAGTAGTCCAGAATATCTTATTTTTGAAAAGGTTTTGAATATTGCTCTTTCCAAGAATTCAAATAAACTCCAAATGGTTAAATTTGACTGTTTTCTCAACATGAAAAAAAGGAAGCAGACATATTCCTATGGCTATAGGAACATACCTTTTACTCAGTGATATCAAATTAAAAGGTCTGACATAATTTCACTCTTCTCAGGTAAAAAGGGCTCTTCATATTCTAGTGGTTAAGAATAAATCCCTTCAAGTTCTTATGCATTTGAGTGTCATACCACCTACAGCAACATACGCTCAAGTACCTTTAACGATACAGTCATATAGCATGAGTTTAATTTTCCTGAGAACTAAATTAGACCTACAAAATAAACAGGCTATGAAAATGACCTGAGTTCATAGGAATCTCTAAGTTAGAGATAATTTAGCTTTGCTAAGATTTCATCAAAAGCCTTTTATAGCAAGGGTTTCTTAGTGAGTCACATACTTGGTCATGGAGCCTTGGAATTTTTTTTAAACATTAAAAAGAAGTGCTTTATGTTGTTGTGCAAATTCAGCAAAAGGCCAAAACAGCCAACAGTACTGAAGCACTAAGTAAAACCTACAAGTAAGCCACAGATTCTACTATCTTATGAAGAAAGGAGGAGGTGAGAGATACAGCTGACCAACTTTGCTCCCAGTTTGACAATGATTATTGGGAAGCTAAGCAATTCCTTGCAAGTTAAGAAAAGACAGCACCTTAAGTGGAACCTAGTGGAAACCACTCAGAAGTGAGGGTTGTGTGCAACAGGGATGGCTACTGATCCCCTCTAGGTAACTCCTCTTTTGTGTGAGAATCCAAGAACATAGAAATCAAGCAGGGAAACACCGGCTTCATGGTCATTTCTCTGAATTATGAATTGCAACTTCTGTTATTATTGTTTGCAAACTACTAAAAGGTCACATGTGAATCAAGTCATTGAACAGCATATAAAAGAATATGGCCTGGCTTCAACCCAAGCTTTTCTTTTTTGTTTTTTAGAGACAGGGTCTGGCTCTGTCACCCAGGCTGGAGTGCATTGGTGTGATCAGAGCTCACTGCAGCTTTGAACTTCTGGGCTCGGGTGATCCTCCCACCTCAGCCTCTTGAGTAGCTGGGACTACAGGTGTACACCACTACAAGTGGCTAATTTTTGTCAGTTTTTGCAGAGAAGAGGGTCTCACTATGTTGCCCAAGCTGGTCTTGAAATCCTGGGCTCAAGAGATCCTCCCATCTTGGCCTCCCGAAGTGTTGGGATTACAGGCGTGAACCACGGTGACTAGCTCAATCCAAGCTTTTCTGATTTCTGATGTAATCTAATTCATGGCACTTTAAATGTTTTGGTGCCTTGGTGTATTAACATGTAACATGAGAACAAGATTTATTTACTTACCTCAAGAAGCTAGTACATGGGTTATTGAATGCACTCTTAAACTTTGAGCCCCTCAGATGAAAAGCACTGTGGAAACAATTACAGCTGAAGAAAACCCTTCCAATGCCTCAGAATCCTGACTTACTGTGCCTTGTGTCTCAATGGCACATTGAGAAACAATGTGCACTAGTTAGTGGCATCACATCCCTTCATATATGTTGTTTGGCACACAAATGTTTATACATTTAAAATAGCTGTCATACTACCTATTCAAAAGCATTTACTAGTTTTCTAATAAAGCTAATGAAATGTACCCATTATGGAGTACTCCGTGTCAAGTTTAGAGAAACTTTAGCTTTCTCTGAAGTACATGTAACATAATAAAAAGTTTATTTAAAAAATTGAACTAGTGTTGTATGAAGCCATAAGTTTTTAATGAAAAAAAATGTATGCCACAGTGTCTATATATTCATCTGAAGAGTACAAAGATGGAGTTCTGAGAAAAAAGGGTTTATCACTATAGAAAATAAATCTGGTTCTTAAATTATGTTCAAAGCAAACATTAAAACAGTAATGTCTCATACACTGAAATAAAGCAATTAGAGGTAATAAATTATAAATACAGTAGTTCAAATATTGTTTTAAGCATTAGTTTTTCTAAACAAGTTAAATTCAAAACATTTTAAATCTGTTATATTTTTTCAAAGGGATGTACAAATGAAAGCCTTCATAGAAATCTAAAACGATACCACCTTGTGATCTTCATATAGAATATGCTGAACCTTGACCATTTTTGATTTATAACATACTTTGGTTAATACATTATGTTCCATATGCCTTTATATTTGGGAGGAATCAGATTGTGATTTGTAGCCTTTACATGCAGTTTACCCAAACCTTCTTCACATCCAGGTCTTGCTTGATTCTCTGGAGAAGGTTTTGTCAGACTCATAATTAAAATGATGCAAACTGTAAATGACTTCTTCAGAACTGAAAACTTCTTTTTTTTTTAAATAAAGTGCTTTTAAATTCAAATATATGTTGCCCTAAAGAAAACTGAAATATACTTTAACCCTGAAATCTCCGTATCTTGACACACACATTTTAACGGAAAAAAAAAAAATCAGTTTTAGGCCATTCATGTCCTTCAAGAGAGTTCAGATTGGATCTAAATTGGGTTTTGCATCATCATCGTGCTCATGTTTATACATGAAGGTTAAAAGAAAAAGGGCAACATCCAAGGATGACCAATAGGCAGTATGCGACGTGACAGCTGACCAATAGCGGCTCTCCACAAGGCCTTCTCTGAGTTCAAAATCAATCCTGTGATCCAACTCCACTAAAAAGAAAAGAAGTTAAACAAATGAATACAGATTATAATAAAATATGTTCTATATAGACTTACTGGAGTTGAGAGTAAAAATTTAGCTAAATAGAAGTGATTCTGTCACTTTTTTAAGAAGTGACTTTCCATTATCATCTTAAGAGAAAAACACTCAAAAGAGCCTCAGTAGTACAGGATTCTATTTGTAAAGTTCTTTCCTTTGTATGCTAAAGTTAATATAAAATAATAAAGGAAGACAAAAAAAAATCACTTGGCATATCACAGAATATTTTCAGAGTTAAAAAAATTGCTTTCAAAACTTGGCATTACCATTTAATCCTTGTGCCTAATCTATAAAATAAGGAAAACACCCCTCTTGAAGATTTACGGGCCAGGCTTGCATGCAATGATGCCCGTGGGAGTGCAAGAGATCATTCAATCTCCTCCTTAGGGAGGCCCTATATATCCACTAGTTGTGTGAGGGATATGTTAGAAGATAACCATCTGTGTACAATCCTAGAATGTTTTCTTCTCTACTAGGCTGAATGTCTCACAGGCAACCCCCATAAACCCTAGTGTCCATCCAGTCAGCAGGGTCTAACATGTGCCTGGGACATACAAACGCTCATTAAGTGTTTGTTCAACAAAAGAAGAACATGCAGGGTGGCTGGGAAAGTTAAACAGGGAGGAGCAGTGGTGATTCTTGGGAGGAAGGACTTTGCTTATAACAGTGCTGTCCACAAACAATTCAGTGAATTCAATCAAGTATTTTCTAAAGCCCACAGAAAGTCCTTGCGATTACCTGTTAGAGAAAAATCACCTTAACAAATCAAGGCTCTAAAATAATTCCAGTGAGCTCATTTAATAAATTATTAGAGATAAACACTTAAGAATATGACATTTTGATCCTTAGGAACTCCTTTAAACTGTTAATGAGCCGTACAGTGTTCTGAAGGGTCTATGTTACAAACAAAACAAAAATGCTCAAATCACTACCAACCAGACACTGTAAAGTCTGCCCCTGAACATGCACCAAAAGGATTTTAAGAGTAAAACTGGCACAAATTAAGAAGGAGATTGGAGAAAAAGTTGGGTTTTGCTTTATACTGGGAATTTGGTAATCATACATAGGAAATCATAATACTCTAGGGAAATATTTCATATAAATGCTTAGTTAATGCTTATTTTAAATAGGTATTTTGTGACAATACCATTTGGTAATTTAACAATGCTTATACAGTTGTTATTTTTCTATTAAACTATGCTCTTCTTACAAGGTATGTTCATAAATCTAGCTACACATTTTCAGAGAAGGTTTACATTTAAGTGGTATAAATACCAATTAGGTTATAAAATACTTGTAAAATACATTGACATGGGCTTTTAACTAAGTTTTTTGGGCTGTTTTTTTTTTTTTTTTTGAGATGGAGTCTCACACTGTCACCCAGGCTGGAGTGCAGTGGCACGATCTTTGCTCACTGCAACCTCCGCCTCCCAGGTTCAAGCGATTCTCTGGCCTCAGCCTCCCGAGTAGCTGGGATTACAGGTGTCCACCACCACACCTGGCTAATTTTTTTGTATTTTTAGTACAGATGGTGTTTCACTATGTTGGCCAGGCTGGTCTTGAAACTCCTGACCTTGTGATCCACCCACCTCAGCCTCCCAAAGTGCTGGGATTACAAGTGTGCACCACCGCACCCGGCCTGGACTGCATTTTTAAAATTTAAATTACAATAAGCTAATCAATAACAAGTCAGAAATAGCTGAAATCCATGTGGACTGGTGAGTTAGTAAATGTCTTAATCTTTTGTATTCCATGGGACATTTGTATTAGATTTGTAGTACATTCTGACACAGTAGACGGGAAGACAAAAATAGAACAAGAAACTGGAATGCTCAAGCACAATGAAGATGAGTCAAGATGAATTACAAAGGAAAAAGAAGATGAAAAACAGTTGGAAAATGTGTTAATATTGGTGAAGACCACAAAGTTATAATTTTTAAGACTTCACTTTCAAATGCCACTTCATAATGTTTTCCTAGTCCAACACTCTTTAGTTACAATTCTGTTTTTTAAGTCAAAGAAAGGAAGATATTTCCTGTTTATAACATGTGTTATTTGGCTCCACTTTGATTTTATGTTCCTGAAATTATTCTTAATATGCTATTACTGTCTTACAACACTGCCTTTCATTGAGTAGGCACTCAAATGTTAAATTTCATTCTTGTCCTATATTATGTGCCCTTATCATTTTATCACTTAAAGGGACTTTACTCAGTGTCACTAACCAGATTGACTCCATCTATCCTTCCATATTTATCTACAGATTGTCTCCATCAAAGTGGGTATTAGGAAGCTAGCTTGTACTTGATGAACCTGTTTCAGTTTCTCGTCCTCCCTGAAAAGGTTTACCCCAGGCAGTCTGGCTATCAGTGCAGTGGACCTCACATCTATGTTGGTTATGTAGGTGGATGGATGAAACTAGGTGGGCCTATGTTCCATCTTTTTTCTCTCTTTTAGGTAGATGACAGATTTCCCAAGGGAGTGAGGGTCTACATAGTAGCATCATTCTGTATGTGCTGTGAGATCAGCTCTTGGCCAAAGTAGGCTCAAATCTACATGGATTAGCCTAGGACCTACTTTCTCATTATTACCATCTCAAGAATGGGTGTTGTCATTCAGGTTGGTAGTTTTTCCCTGGTTTCTCTAACTGAGCTAGGTCAAAAAAAAAAAAAAAAAAAAAAAGAACATAAATTATCACTTCTTTTTCTCTCTGGAATGCCCAAGTGACAGAATTTCTCTATCCATAAAAAAGAAGAATCAGGTTTCTGAACAGTTGAAGAGAAGTAAAAATGAGAAAAGAAACTGTGTTTTTAAACAATCATCAACTCTTTGCTTACACTGTTTTAAAACACGGATTATTTTCTTTCTGGGGTGTCACATACATAGGCATATTTCTTTCCCTCTTCCCCAAAGTAGAGTATCTGCTACATTCCATGTGGAAGTGCTTGACAATCAAGGAATCTCCATAGTGTGAAGGTCAAGTGTCATCAGTAGCGTGCTTTCATCAGAGAATTCTTTTGTGCACAAGGCTTGTCAACAGACATATAATAAGTAATTATAATATATGGTAGAATGTGATGAACCACAAAACAGAGGTACAGTAAAGGACTCTCTCAGTTCTAAGGAATGAAAGATGGCTTTCACCTGGAGAAATCATAAGAGGCTCTCTGGAAGGAGGAGGATTTGGACATGTAGAGATGAAAAGACATTGCAGGGAGAAGAAACAGCATGAGCAAAACTGCAGAGGTGGGAAGCATGGGGTATGAAGAGAAATACAAGTTAGTTTTCTTGAGAAAAATCAGGAACGATTAAAAGGGAGTAGTTCTGAATTTGCCTAGAAAATTTTGTCAAACCAAATTGTGAAGGGTCCAACAAATCTAGCTATTCATTTCTTTGTATGAATGATTTTCATAGGGTCAAACAAATCTAGCCATTCATTTCTTTGTATGAATGATTGAGACCTTTCTCCAGGTGAAAGCAATCTTTCATTCCCTAGAACTGAGAGAGTCCTTTATTGTACCTATGTTTTGCGGTTCGTCACATTCTACCATATATTATAATTACTTATGCAGTTATCTACCTTCCCTACTAGAGTTTATGCTCTTTAGAAAATACACAATTTTCACACTAGCATCTTTATAGGCAGTATTGAAATTTGTTTCATCTTATCTTTTCTAGTGACTGCCATGGTCTCTTGGCTCAAGGTAAACAGTGAAGTAAATAATTGTTGAGTGAATGAAAACAGGAAGCGCAAAAAGAAGCCATATAGATATTACCATCTGAATCATTTTGTGTAGTTATGACTACAGGTTTAACTACTTAGGTAGCTAGGTAGGATGGTTTTGAGATACTGGATATATGGGCTACTTGGTTGCAGGACAAATATGAATGAATTAATTTTCCTTTCTCCAACCAAAAATGCAAAAAACATAA
The DNA here is from genome assembly GCF_000001405.40 of Homo sapiens. Lineage (NCBI taxonomy): Eukaryota > Metazoa > Chordata > Mammalia > Primates > Hominidae > Homo > Homo sapiens. Next base: position 53,050,932 of record NC_000014.9, read on the forward strand.
ATAAAATTATTTATTTATGAAACAGGCTGGCTTGGGCAGAGACCAGAGACAGCACTTATGTAAGATAATTTCTTAAGGGGAATTCACTGAGTTAGATCAACGCAAACTGAAGTAATGTAAGAGTTTTTTTTTTTTTTTACTTGAAAAAATTTATGAAAATTGGTGATCAAATAAAGAAACTGTAAAATGAGATTTGGTTAAAACATTAAAAGAAAAAAAATCCCACAAAGCCCTGTAACGTGTTTTGTCAAAGACAAAATCCAGCATTTTTTTTTTTAAAAGAGAAGCTGTGGAAAAAGAATCAGAAGTTAGTCATAAAAATAATTTTAAACTGCTAAAGTTAATCCATAGTGATACATTTAGAATATACTGAAAATTAAGAGATTAAAAATATCTCTTACATCCAAGAATACTGTTTTTAAAAGTGAATGTACTCCCCTAAACTACATTAAATATCTGTGTTGAAAGCAATCAGCTATGACATACCTACAACCCTAAGTGGTAAATTTACTGATACCTGAAATAACCAAGAATGATGACATTCTTTGTACTATTAGAAACCCTTTTATATCTAAATGTATTAAATGAAAAGAAATAGCAAACCTCTTTGGAGCCTTTAGGACAATAAAGAAGGAAGAAAATGACCTTATGCTTTTCTTCAGGTTCCTTCTTTGTAGAAGTATACACAAATATACTTTAGCACATTAAGTGGCTAGTCAATTTTCAGGTTTCAGAACCACTACCATTTAAGACTAGAAAATATGGGATGAAAATACACATAAAATAGTCTGTAATGGTAACACTGAAGCTGGGATCTCATAGAAGAACTGATCCAATTTTTCAATAAGCAGAAGAACTCTAAGTAGATCATTTTTATAGTATTCTGAATGCTATTCCTGACATATACCATACCGAGGGCATTATCTTTATTCTGCATTACATTTTCCGGAAAAAGAAGTTGTGGGAGATTAAAGAACGATTCTTGAAGTCTGAAATCTGTGAAAAAAAAACACAAGATGCTGTAAAGGGTTGGCTGATGATTAAAAATGGCCTTCAATGATGTAGTGGCCAAAAGTTAGAACAATACTCCCAAATAAACTGACTAAATCTAGCATACATAAAGTAGTACACATCTTAATTTTTGTAAGGAGCTCTTTCATGGAAAATGTAAGCATAACTAACTTGAAATATAATCTCATAATCTGTTAACACCCAGATAGTCCCCAAATTCATAGCTAATTTAGTTCCTAACCTAGATGCAAAACAATGCTAAAAGAAACAGATCTTTGCATTATATGTTAGAAAAGAAGTCTAGACTTTTCAAAAGAAGAATAGCTAGGTAAGATGCTTCAACTGGATGAAAATAAAATAGGTTTCAATTGACAACACTAGTTCTTCACATAAAGAAACAGACAGATCATGAATTCTAAGCCTGTGCCCCATTTTACCCTCAAATAGCAAGTGAATCAAAGTCGGTAGCTTCAGAATAAAGGTTATCCAGAAGAACTGAGGCAATTAATGTAAGTAGAAGGAAGAAAGGAGGGAAGCCAGAATCACCTAATCACAATGACCAAATTTCAGAAAGAAGATTTAATGAAGAAAAGTTTTATGATTTGCACGATATAGCCAAGACAGCACTTAACGACGAGAAATTATGACGATTACACAGATTACATTATTGAAGCAAGCCAAATAATTAGTAAAGCAAATCTTGGGAATAGGATTTAAAAGGCAGAATCTTATTATAATAGTCCAATTTTAATAGTTATATCTATATCTAGAGGTGAATATGTGTAATATGTATAATATATAAGTATGTGTAATATGTGAATATGTGTAAGACTCATAATTACCTCATATTGAGTCTTGTTGACTATTTTACCATTCGGACTATCAAAGAATTTATGTGTAAGAATGACATAGTATGTATTTTGTTAAGCTCTCAAAATAAAAAGATGCAATACAGCTATGCACCTCTACTAACTGCTGTTCTGGAAGAAAAAACTGGGGGTTTCTCTATTATTTTGAAATTACTATGTTAAACAGAAAAAAAAAACCTAAAAAAGTTTTATTCCCTCAGAGCCTGTAGATTCTATACATACGTTTTCATTACCCTTTTTCTAGGGGGTTAAACCCTACCCTGCTCTTCTTGCTCCCTCCCTCACTCTGATGTTTACTAGCACTACTGTTGCACATTAATGACATTACAGAGAACCATGACTTTTTACCTGCTACCTTACAAAATTCTTTGAAATTAATTTTCTTCAGCAGTTAGAGTTTTCTTGACATCTGCATGTCACGACAGAATTTTGTATTTTCACAATCACATTTTTGATATTAAGTAGAAAAGGAAACAAGTCAGAAATAGTATGAGAACTCTTATAGAAGGTAAAATATATTTAATGCAAATATCAAAGTCTAAAAAAGAATTTTCCAGACTTGCAATTATAAAATTTTCAGTGTCCAGAGTCTGGCACAGATATAATTAAATTAAAAATGCTGTTGGCCCAAGTAGGAATGTTCAACCCTATTAATAATTCATCCTGGAGTGGAGTTGACTGTGGAAGAATTATTCAGCCTCTAGGAGTGTCACACCTGAACTTTCTAAGGATGGATGGCAATGAATGCCATCATTTTACAATTTAGAGTAGCAGACACAGTAAGAACACAATACTCTAAGTAACAAATAAAATCTGTTTAAAAATTTCTAGAGAAAGAAAAGTTTTCTCCCTGCTATAGTTACAGAAAAGGAGTAGCTAGTTTCAGAATTTATATTTCATTATAGGTGTCAATGAAAAAATAGGACTTGACGTTTTAGTTTTATTTTACTAGACACCTAAAAATAATGTTCAAGTTCAGACTCTTGGAAGTAAATATATACTAAGTGTATTCGTGTTTCACAACTACTCAACATTTCAAACTTTCTAAGTCCACCGGAGAAAGCTTAAAGATCCATATAATGCTAAGTCCAACATAACTATCCATTTATTTACTCATTTTTTCAATATCTGCTTTACACTAGGTAGCTGGGATAGAATTGGAAGCCATTCAGCAGATCCAATAAAATTTCTAAGCTTTGAATAGAAGTAGGATGACTTTGGTATAGCAGTTTTTAAAGTCTCAAGACCAGATACAGCATAGATCTAAAGCAATAATTACACGATTTTTGAGACTGAGAAGATCACATTAGTAAAAATCTACTTTATAAACTTCAGGGGGTACTTACCCTAAAGAGATTTGTTTTATGCTTGATGGTTAAGACCTTGTGCCACAAGGCCCTAATTACTAATATTCTATTAATTCATCAATGCAGAAAGTAAAACTGCATTTTCCTGGAAATTATTCTTAAAAATATAAGCAGAAGGAAAGCATTTTTTTCTTTCAAAGTTAAGGCACACTTTAGATCTTAGAGTTGACTAGCTAGTATTAATATTTTATACCTCCCTGCCCTCCCCAAGTTTTAAAAAGATACAGTATCAACTTAAGGAAATAATGTATGAACTAACATGCAGAATCGAGGAAGCCAGAACTGCTATGTGGAAGGGTCTGTGTCCCTACGGTGGTAGCAGAAGGTGAGGCAACTGGCTTCTTCTCATCTTCCATTGAGTCTTTTGATGTTTCAGATGACTGTGTTGTAGATGAACGTCCAAATCTTGAGAACAACATTCCTCCAAGTCCCTTTCCAATGCTAGCAGCCCCTGTATTTCACAAAGCAGGGTAGTCATTCTGTTGAATCACACCACACTCTAAGCTAAAGAGCACCACCCATAATTATAGCCAACTGGCAGAGGGACCAAACCCTAGTCATGTTTTTCCAGGGTGGGAACATAAGAAAATTATAATTTATATTGCAGGTTTCTAAATAAAAATGGTGAATAGAATGAGAGTTGTATAAGCTCTAGGAATATAACACAGGAATATATAAACAAAGGAATAAAGATTCTATTTTATTCAAGTGATCATGGTTTATTAAAATATTTGGCAAGATTAAAGTCTTTGATAAAAGAACCATGCCATTGACATGAGTATAGATTTACTATTGATATACTTACTACTGAATTTAAATGGACATGTAAGAAAAAGCCATCAATAAACAATGTATTAACATGAGAAAGTAAAACAGCCAATGAGTCCAGGAGATAAAGCCTATTTATAGTGCCACCTTGTGGTATTTTACATTAAGGCAACTTGTAACCAAAGGCAATGGACAGATTCAAATACCACATAATCGAGTTCCAGTGATACAGCAAACATTGTGCCAGTACTGGAGATCATTCAAAGAAAAATTAAACATCCTTGTTGCCCTCAGGAATCACACAGTTTGAGAGACTTTTAGAATAGATCAGAGAACTGGTTGACAGGGAGCACCCTCTGACACAAGTGCTTTCTCATTTCACAGATGAGCAAGTAGAGCATTAAAAACTATATTATTTACTCAAGATCTCACAGCAAGTGGTAGGACCAAGATTAAAATGAGGGACTTGATTCTCATAACAGCTTTTTCTGGTCCATCCAGCTATCTTATATTCTAAAACTATAAGATCTGATCTAATCAGAGAACTTTAGAGCTTTTTGGGCCTCAAATATGAACATTGGGAGGGTAGTTAATTCTAGACACAGGGATTAACTGCTGGGAGTTTCCTAATACATAGAATACTTCTAGTCCCCCAAACTTATGTCTAGGAAAGTGCTTATATGCATAGATAAGGAATACATAAGAGAAATTACCTAATATGCTTGCTTTGCCTATATTTGTTATAGATTCTCCATAGTGTCGGCGGGACAAAACTGGTGAGGTCACAGGGCTTGGTATGGTTGAAATGCCTTCATTCTCTGAAACTGAGGTAGGTTCTTTAGCTGGGTTGAGAAAGCTTGGCTTCATATGTTCATAAGGTAAAGGATTTGAAGTATTGTACCAGTGGATCTGGACAGGTGAAATGTTGCTGTAGTGTTTCAGTATTAATGGTTCTAATCTATAAGCCTTGATTTAAAAAAAAAAATTCAAAGAAACACAGTGTTAAATCACAATGCTTGGATTTTAGTAAACTGTTCTTACTCTACTGCATGTTAAGTAAACCTCCGAGAAGGAATTTAATTAAAAAACAATAGCTATTTCAAACATGTATTTCTATTTGTTCACTGTTAATATGCACTTGATCTAATGATGAGATTATGAAAAACAGTCTAGGCTAATAGTGTCTATCAATTAGTTTTTCAGAGAAATATTTTTATTATGTTCTGATATGTAACAATTAGATTTATTTTAGTCTTAGGAGCAAAGTTGAAGTAGTAGATGGTAATCCTGGGAAACAGCAAATAAGGCCAATTTTTAATATTTTAGGAGCTCTATTTAAGCTCTGTTTTAAAATAGATTGATACAGTAACAGCATAAATCAGATGCCAGCATAAGAGCATCTGTCTGATGTGAAGTAGCAATGAGACAGCAGAAAAGGCAATGGATACGGCATCAGAATCCCCCAAATTCATATTCTGGTTTCTATCACTTATTTTTTAATTTACATTTTTAGAAAATTTTATTTTTTAAGATGGAGATGGGGTCTCGCCTTGGTGCCCAGGCTGGTCTCAAACTCCTGGGCTCAGGCAATCCTCCCACCTCAGCCTCCCAAAGGGTTGGGATAATAGAGAGCCACTGCGCCCAGCCTCTGTCACTTATTAATTGCATGATGCTTGTTAAGTCACTAGGTCTCGGAGCCCTGAGTTTCCTGAGCTGTAGAAAGGAGGTAACACTTCCTCTCTTACAGAGATGTGAGAAAGAACAGATAACATTTGTAAAAACTGCCTTGCACCGTTCTGACGTAAACTATTTAACAAAGTATTAATTTTTTTAAAAATCACAGAAAAACTATAAAATGAATAATAAAAATTTAAGAGTTTGGAATCCTCCTTTAAAGTTACAACAAAGTTTAAGTTATACAAAGGACAGGGCTCAGAGCAGACCTATGAACTGAAATTCACTTTCAAGTTACGAGACAATGAATAAAATGAGTATATGTTAATGAAATGCTTATTGTCTAGCTGGGTGTATATATATTTTACTTAATCCTAACAATCCTAGAAGGCAAAATATTATCATCTACATCATACAGATAAGATACAATCTCAGAAATAACTTGCCCAGGATTGTGCAGTTTGTATTTGAATCTTATATTAAACTTCCAGTTCAGTGAAGTTAATATGGCAGTTGTAAGTCTTTAACATATGAGAGATTTTCTAAAATTCGAATGGTTAGTCAATGTTATATTTATTTGGTACTAGCTAAAAGGATCCTTTAAAAGACTTTCCACAATTATATGAAGCTATTTTTTCAGAGAATAAATGCTATTTAAAATAGTTTAATATTTAGTTAAACCAGCCTTGTCCCAAAGAAGTATTAAGGGGGCATTTTTCTTGTCTGAAAATCTTACTTGGCATTACACTGTTTAACAGGATGCAAGGTTCTTGGAGTGCTTCCATTAAAAAAAATATTTACAGCATAAACATAATAGAGAATAGAAAAATCCAACATCTTACAATTCTATTAGGCTATAATAAAGTTTTATTTTGATGTTCAGTATTTGAATATTTTCATTTTTCAGAGAGTCTACAAAATACATTCCAATATTGTAGCATACTTTAGATTAAAAAAGTATTTAGAGCAGGATTTTTAAGATTTATGGTTTCTAGGTTACTGGTATTACAATTGGTTAAGGTTTGAAAGTCCAGTAGACTCCTGTCTCTTGTACTAACTGTCTGGGAATAATATTTTTACATTACACTCTTGTATTACAGGTGCAACATAACCAGACCATCTCTAAGGTACTTTATCTCATGAGCCCTAAATTAACCAAAACACACGTTTAATAATCAGATAAATGAAGTGTTTTCATTAATTCGATGGCACCTTGTAAGATGTCTTAGACAGATTTTTACTTTTTGGAGACAGAGTCTCGCTCTATTGCCCAGGCTGGAGTGCAGTGGCACAATCTCGGCTAACCGCAACCTCTGCCTCCCAGGTTCAAGCAATTCTATTGCCTCAGCCTCCCGAGTAGCTGGGATTACAGCCGTGCCCAGCTAATTTTTTGTATTTTAGTAGAGATGGAGTTTCACCATGTTGCCCAGGCTAGTCTCGAACTTGAGCTCAGGCAGTCTGCCTGCCTTGGCCTCCCAAAGTGCTGGGATTACAGGCATGAGCACCACGCCCGGCTTTTTTCTTTTTGTTTGAGATGGAGTCTCACTACTCTGTCACCCAAGCTGGAGTGCAGTGGCATGATCTTGGCTCAGTCCAACCTCCACCTCCCAGGTTCAAGTGATTCTCCTGCCTTACAGGCACCCACTACCACGCCCAGCTAATTTTTGTATTTTTAGTAGAGATGAGGTTTCACCACATTGGTCAGGCTGGTCTTGAACTCCTGACCTCAGATGATGCGCCCGCCTCAGCCTCCCAAAGTGCTGGGATTACAAGCGTGAGCCACTGTGCCCAGCTGATAGATTCTTTTTAGGAACAATTTGACATTGAGAAAAAAAAGAGTCTATATTGCAACTCACCACTGGATCTGTAGGATGAAAAATATTTAGTAACCGGTTACAAATCTCTCTAGGCAAAATATGGTCTTGACTTCCAGTATTTCCTGGGCGGATGCCACGCAACGCCAAGAAAACTGCTAATGGGGATCCCATACAGAAGAAATTCTCAACCTAAAATGATAAAGTCATCTTAAAGTTTAAAAATGGTGAAGTGTTATCTTTCAACAAAATTTGGGCATAACGTAATATATGGCAAAATACAAATAATAAAATATCTTTGAGTATATTCGTTTTTAATAAGAGTTATCCAGATGGGCTCTGCCAACCATTAACCATTCTAGAATAATCTATTTCCATGAGATACTTCATTATCTTTAAATCTAATACAAGTTGAATAAAAGGAAGATAAGGATCATTTTCTTATATATTTGTATACACAAATCAAATATTTATTGAGGTACTACTTTGTGTGAAGTAATACACTCGGTGCTGTGATAGATATAAAGACCAGTAAGACACAGCTTCTGCACTCAAAATTTACAGTCCTGTGGGGAAAGCAGAATAAAATACGTGCATAACAGAGGGAAATAATGCTTTAAGAGAGTGAAAAAAATAATTCCAACTTTGAAGGCTTTACAGAGGAGGTAGCATATGCATTGGCCAGTAAAAGACGAGAAAGGTTTCTACAGCTGGGGTTGGATATTGGTGCTGGAAAGAATAACATTCCAGGCTGATAGAACCAAATGAACTAAAGCCAAGGTGGGAAATAACTTGGTTTATTTTATTTCATTTATTTATTTATTTTTTGAGACCGAGTCTCGCTCTGTCACCCAGGCTGGAGTGCAGTAGTGCGATCTCAGCTCACTGCAAGCTCCGCCTCCTGGGTTCACGCTATTCTCCTGCCTCAGCCTCCTGAGTAGCTGGAACTACAGGCGCCCGCCACCACGCCCAGCTAATTTTTTTGTATTTTTAGTAGAGATGGGCTTTTACTGTGTTAGTCAGGATAGTCTCGATCTCCTGACCTCGTGATCCGCCCACCTTAGCCTCCCAAAGTGCTGGGATTACAGGTGTGAGCCACCGTGCCCAGCCATAACCTGGTTTATTTTTGAGAATAAAAATAGTCTGATAGGCTGGGTGCGGTGGCCCACGCCTGTAATCCCAGCACTTTGGGAGGCCGTGGCGGGCGGATCACGAGGTCAGGAGTTCGAGACCAGCCTGGCCAACATGGTGAAACCCCGTCTCTACTAAAAATACAAAAATTAGCTGGGCGTGGTGGCGGGCACCTGTAATCCCAGCTACTCGGGAGGCTGAGGCAGGAGAATCACTTGAATCGGAGGGGCGGAGGTTGCAGTGGGCCAAGATCACGCCACTGCACTCCAGCCTGGGTGACAGAGCAAGACTCTGTCTCAAAAAAAAAAAAAAAAAAAAAAAAAAGTAATGATAGTAGAGATGAAATGCAAATTCTACAATGGGATCACTCCAAAGACCATACTCTTACGGCTTTTAAAAATATGTTATAACTTACCATATTGTTTTACAATGTATGGTATATATTTTTTTTAAAAAAACACTTTGTAAGTAATGGAGATAGATTCAATTTAAAAACTCTTAACGTTTTAAAGAAATTTCTGCATCATTCCACATCTTAACCTGTGTGTTAAGTTCTTGTGAGAAAAGAAACACATTTCAAGAAGAGGTAATACAGTATACTAGACATGAGCAAATACTCAACAGGAAATGAGTATTAGGAAACTTATGACATTTCCCATTTAACACTGCAAGCAAGTTATTTGTTATTCAGCTATAGGGTATGTCCTTTCCAATAGTCTAGTCAATGCTGACACCTCTGCCACATTTTCCTAAATCACTGCTTTCAACAGGTCATTCTAATACTTAAAAACCCTGCAAAGCTTCCCAATGCCTATATCAATGTAAGTTCCTTATTTCTAGCTATTCCTGCTCTCTCACTGCCTCCTTGTCCTGACTTCTGTATATTATAGCTAAACTAAGTTTGCTCACACAGCTCCAAGCTAACCTGTGCACCTCTGTCTTGTGCTTTTGTCATATATTGTTCATCCATTGAAATGTCAGCTTTCCATCCCTGGAATCATTACTCATATACTTCCTCTGATTTTTTTCTCACCACTGACCAACTAGGTGGTCATTAAGATTTCTTAATTCTAAATAGTAAATATTTCTCATCTGTCTCTATTTTTCTTTACCACTATTCTAGATTAGCTGATGTTTCTTGAGGTATATGAAGTTACAGCCCTCTATGCCTTTGTTTATGCCATTCCTCTTAAACAGAATAGCATCTCTCCTTTCTTTCACTTGGCAATATCTAATTTACTGAGACCAAGTACAAATATCACTCCTTTGTAAACTTTTGCAGGCAAAATTAGAACCTCCCTCTCCTGTACATATATTGTTCTGTATACTGATAATAGCATCAATAATACTGTGCCATATAACCTGAGGACTGGGGAACTGACTTGTCTATTCTTTTCTTTGTACAACCAGAAATGGCAGTGTCCAACATATAGTATATGTTGAATAAATATTTATTTTGAAAGAACAATAAACTTTCATTTGAATCCTAAAGGCATATTTCACATGACGTTAAAAAAAATACTGAGATCAATGTTGAAGAACACATTGCTCTTTCCTTACCTTAAATTTTAAGGCAGGTGTTTGTGTCATAGATGATGCTTTCAATCCGTGAAGCCGTTCTTCTATTTCCTTCAGCCTAAGAAGGGGTATGAGATTATATACACACACGTATTTATAATTTCATAAATATTAGATGCTTGCTAGCTTACTAAAGTATAAAGACGCAGATGATGGCCCACTATCCCTCACATTAATCCTGGTTGACAGTATTTAATAAATGTCTCTGCCACAGTACAGAAAGTATATAAAAATTTATGAAATAATTAGTAAAGTACCGCTAGTTGTCATGATACCTGCTGTTAACAGCTTTTTTGTAGTAAAATGTGAGTCATATACAAGCACATATACATCTTTTAAAAAATTATACCAAATGGTTAATACCATATATACTGTTCTCTCTTTTCTATACTTAAGAGTTTAGAGATCTTTTCATTTCATTGCCTCCTGACCTACTTCAATTTTTTTTTTGTAACAACTATGACTGTCCAAAATACAGGTGAACCATATAGTCTAACCCTTCTGTTGATGAACATCATTTTCAATTACAATGTTTCATAGCTACTTACATTTAGTAAACTATGGAATTAAGTTATTATTATCATTATTATTTTTTAAAAGCTATAGTTGGCCAGGCGCAGTAGCTTATGTCTGGAATCCCAGCACTTTGGGAGGCTCAGGTGGGTGGATCACTTAAGGTCAGGAGTTCAAGACCAGCCTGGCCAACATGGTGAAATCTCATCTCTACTAAAAATACAAAAATGAGCCGGGCGTGGTAGCAGTTGCCTGTAATCCCAGCTACTGGGGAGACAGGGGCAGGAGAATCACTTGAACCTGGAAGACAAGAGGTTGTAGTGAGCTGAGACCGTGCCACTGCACTCCAGCCTGGGCAACAGAGCAAGACTCCGTCTCCAAAAAAAAAAAAAAAAAAAAAAATTTGTTATTTTCCATGCTTTTTTTTTCTTTTTTTAAAGTTTTACTGGATTTATACATCTAAAATGCTGCTCCGAGTATTGCCAAACATGACATTTTATTTCAAACCTGTCAATTATTTTGACACTATAATATTTGTGTGTCTAGCCTATGGTACTTAATAAGATTCTAAATGAAATCCTTAGTTAACATCTGTAAGACAAAAACAAAACTAGTAAAAATTTTAGTCAATTAGCACATTTGTTTTAATATGCTAGTAAATTATCAAAATGAGTGATTTTTCATTTTTATATTAGAATTAATCATATAAAGAGAACAAAGAAGATAAGGCATGTAACTAGAGATGAAGATAGGAATGCAGCAAAGAATTAAAAGATAGTATCAGGAGGGCCACAAATGATTAAATAATAAAATCTTATAATTATATAACACATATAATTATGTTTATACATATAACATGTAAAAAAATATATTTGCTTAAAAAAAGCACTTAAAAATTATTTTCAGAATAATAAGAAAGGTAGAAACCCACCTCAAAAGGTCAGTAAAACTACAAAGGATTATAAACTGGTAAACATTTTCAATAAGGATTCTATGCAGTGACTAAGCTTGGAATAAGTTTTAAATTTCACTCCTAACAAACTGTGAAGAAACGATGAAAGGAAAACAAGGAGAATAACAAAAGAATTTATTTTATGCTACAGGAAAATGCATGTAATTAGCATGAAAATCAACAGTCTCCAGCTTGATTAGGCATGCTATATAGTAATCTTTGTATCTTGAACAATGCATTATTTCTTTATCATGAAATTCTTAGTTTTCTCGTAAGAGGTCCAGTAATTCCATAAAGACATTTAAAAATTTTTCAAAAGATGAGGATATTTTACCGTCGTTTAGTTATATAGAGTTCATCAAGAAGATGTCGTTCTTCATAGCTCATCCATCGTTCATCAGGCAACTCTTCTTCCTTTTGCAGCAACTGTTCATACAGCCGAACTGGATTCCAGCCAGTCATTATGTCATAAGTAATTACACATCCCAAGGAATGTGATACTATTGAGACTTTACCCCCTTTTTCTTCAAAGTCTGGATTCCGAGAACAGAAAAGGGAATACAATCGATTCAGCTCTTGCTGAAGGCCTTTAACTAGCTGTTTGAAATAAGAAAACATTATCATATTAGACTTGTCACTGACTACTATACACTTATTCTAAACTCAAATACATTAAGGTAGAAAAACATACATTACCGATCAAATATACCTAGGTTATTAAAATTAACTTAGGTCTTTCAAAATCTTGCAGGAATGAAGTAAGGTATACATACTATTATAATCCATATCATCACTAAGAACATAGGCAGATACTACCTACATAGATCCTTCTGTAGTCCTTAAACCAACTGTATAAGCCAGCAGTTCCATAGATTAAAAAAAAAAAAAACCAAAGTTCTATGCAAATACCAATAAGATTTTCAAAGACCCCCGCAAATTTCTTTTTTGTTGTAACTTACCCACATGCAATTCTAAATTTTTGTACCTTGTAGTTTTTAGTCAGTAAGTTTTAGAAAATGAGTATCTGGGCTTATGATAATAGGTATACTAACATATTATAAATTATTGTGCATTTAGATAGAGTAATGTAATAAAAGGCCACTGAATGATTGAAGAAAAAACAAAAGTTGATCTACTGGGTATTTCAAAGTTCCCACTAAGTTGGCAATACAGATATAAAAGTAAAAAGTTGTTTTCTATGTCTGGAAAGCAGGGCTATTTTAAGTTTAGAGGTTAATAATGTGGGGAGTATTTTCGTAATTTTTCTTTGTAAAAGTGCTTTCTTTGAAATTAAGCTTTAACAAATATTACTGAAATATTCCATAAAGTCAGAAGAATAAGGTTCTTTTGTTACTCAAACCCATCCTGGGCCCTGATCTGAGTTTTAAGGCAGTCTTCTTTCTTCCTACACTTTACAAACTACTGATTTAATGGCAATGTACATAAACATCTTCTAAGACATGGGTTTTAAGTAAAACTCTAATTAACATAGTTTCAGGAATATGCAGTGTGAAATACTACATGGCTCTGTCTGAAAGGAGCTATAATATGCTTTGGATTTGGCTTTGATAAGAATATCAACCAATCCTTAAAATTTCATTATTTTCCTGATTTACAATCTACATGAGGTAGGTACAGAGAAGGCTAATGTTTAGATAAAATAATTTCCTTTAAAAGCAACAGTTCTTAATCGTTTTTATTTTTGAAGACCTTGATTTTAAGACTTGTACCATGTAAATCTCAAAGCACTAAAAGATATATACTTTAGTACTCTGACAAAACATACCTAATCTTTTTGTTTTTATAAAATACCAGCTTACTCCCATATTAAAGTTTGTTAAAAAAGGAAATCACACTACCAGTAATTAACCTATTTCATATTCAAAAATTTTAAAACATCTCTCACTACACCAAATACTTCATTAGTTTGGCAATCATATATGGGTAAAAAAACAAGATCAAATTATCTAAGGCAGAGAAAGTCTATTTGATACTAAAATATTTCACTATGGAATGAGGCATAGCATGGACAGTTTCTGAAGACCTTGATGATGTCATCTGTTTTAATAATTATACACTTGAAGAGAAATGGCCTTTGTATTTCCTTATTAGAGCATATCTGGATTTGACAGCATTTTCTTTTTCTATTGCTTATGCATATATATGAGACATCTATGGTCAGACATTATGATTTTGAAAGCCAACTTTTTAAACAGCTTTGTACTACCTCTAAATGCTTCTGTATCTCATCCGCTCATCAGTGAAAGGAGAAATTCATTTCTATGTTGTATCCAACGAGTTTACTCTAATTGGAATTTTTTTTCCTTTTCCTTCTCCTTTCTGATCCAATTATATTCTCCTAATTAGGATCCCTTTGTGACCAAGTGTATTCATTTGGGACATCTCAGCCAAGATTAACAATATATACTGTGATCTTAACTTTATTATCTATTAGGTCTACAATATGATCTAATCAACTCAACGAACCTCTTACACAGTAAGCACTGGATAGCTTTTCAAAAGTTTAAAACAATTTCTAATTTCCATAACCACTGCTCAAGAGTTAAAATTTACGAAGGAAATGAACGTAAGGAGGAAAAACCCGGCAGTTTCAAGAGTTGAGTCCAAATACACAAAATATGGCTGAGGAATAGAGTTAGTCCTTTGTTCTCCCTGCTTCAAGAAATTGTAATGAGAAAATGTAATTGAGAGAGTTCTAGTCATCTATATCAATTAAATAATTCAAATAATGTCAAGATACAGCTAGGACAATTCTCTTTACAATTCTTCAATTTTAAAAGCTATTAAAAAGAGAGTTCAGATTTACACAAGATGTACAGGTCTCTCTGGATTTCTTGTGTTACTTTAGAGTTGAAGTAAGGGCCAAAGGCTCTCTGATGATCTCTTGATAGTCTGAAATTAACTTTTTTGGTTGATTTTTTAAACTGGTCCTCAGAAAGTCATCTGAGAAGTACTGATTGATATACACAACTTTTCCCCTAACCATGACTTTTCAGAAATTATTAGGAAAATCATTAGGGTTCTCCCATGAGCATGTAAGAATCTGAGAGTTAAAAGGGACCTCAGCAATGATCTAATTTAAACTGCTGTGAAGGTAGGAGTCCCTTCAGTAGCATCCCTGAGAAGTGGTCACTCAGTCTCTACCTTAGTGCATATCTCCATTTTAAAGTGTCCACTTCTATCTTTAGAGACAGCTTTGTTACTACAAAGTTCATTACAGTCAACAAACATGTTCCTTCCCATATTTTCTATCCACTGACCTTTACTTTTTAGAGTTAACAGAATAAGTCTATTAAAAATATGGTGGCCCTTGTAAGACATAAATATACACAGAATCAATCATAATTTGAATGTCTAAGGACCATGAATTGTACCGGAAACTTTATACACATTTCATTTTTAATCCTAATGACAAATTTTATCAGTACATATTTTATCCCATTTTATAAGTGGGGAAGCTAAGAAAGTGAGAAATTCGATCTAAGATCACAGAGCTGGTTAAGTGGCAGGTTTCTGTTGTTGTTGTTATTTTTGTTTTTTTAGATGGAATTTCGTTCTGTTGCCCAGGCTGGAGTGTGGTGGCGTGATCTCAGCTCACCGCAACCTCTGCCTCCCAGGTTCAAGTGCTTCTCCTGCCTCAGCCTCCTGAGTAGCTGGGATTACAGGTGTGCACCACCACGCCTGGCTAATTTTTGAATTTTTAGTAGAGACGGGGTTTCACCATGTTGGTTGGGCTGGTCTCGAATTCCTGACCTCAAGTGATCTGCCTGCCTTGGCCTCCCAAAGTGCTGGGATTACAGAAGTGGCAGGCTTTGAATCTGCATCTATTTGACTACAAAGGCTCAGAGAAGAAGGGGGAAAAAGGCTCTTTCAAATGCCTCACAAATAAACCAAACAAGGTTCATTCACCAGGCATGTGACTTAGTCCTAATCATTCCTTCCCTAAGGAAACATATACTTTTAAATAATTTATCCTAGAATATTGCCTAACACCAATGCCATGTTAATGTATTTTAATTTACAGAATCAACTTTTCTTTTTTAAAAATAGGAATAGGCCGGGCACAGTGGCTCACGCCTGTAATCCCAGCACTTTGGAAGGCCGAGGTGGGAGGATCACTTGAAGTCAGGAGTTCAAGACCAGCCTGGGCAACATGGTGAAACCCTGTCTCTACTAAAAACACAAAAATTGGCCAGGTGTATTGGCTCGTGCCCGTAGTCCCAGCTACTCAGGAGCCTAAGGCACAAGAATCACTTGAGCCCAGAAGACAGAGGCTGCAGTGAGCTGAGATCGTACCACTGCACTCCTGCCTCCGTAAGAACCTGTCTCAAAAAAAAAAAAAAAAAGTTTGCCCACCTCTCACTTAGGAAGCACCCCTTTTGTTCTTCACCATGCCTTAAGCAGTGTTTTCCCAGAATTCCCAGGATAGTATCAAGTAGGGGAACTGTTAAAAATACAAAATCACAGGCTCCATCTCAGAACCACCAAATGAGAATCTCTGGGAGATCCGGGAAACTATTCCTTTTCTTTTTTTTTTTTTTTTAAATGAGATGGGCTCTCCCTCTGTGGCCCAGGCTGGAGTGCAATGGCGTGACCTCGACTAACTGCAACCTCCGTCTCCTGGGTTCAAGAGATTCTTCTGCCTTACCCTCACCAGTAGCTGGGACTACAGGTGCCTGTCACCATGCCTGGCTAATTTTTCTATTTTTAGTAGAGATGGAGTTTTGCCATGTTGGCCAGGCTGGTCTGAACTACCAGCCTCAAGTGATCTGCCCGTCTCGGCCTCCCAAAGTGCTGGGATTACCAGCATGAGCCACCATGTCTAGCCTCTTTTTTTTTTTTTTTAGAGATGGAATCTCGCTCTGTCACCCAGGCTGCAGTGCAGTGGCGTGATCTCAACTCACTGCAAGCTCTGCCTCCTGGGTTCACGCCATTCTCCTGCCTCAGCCTCCCAAGTAGCTGGGATTATAGGCGTGTGCCACCACGCCCAGCTAATTTTGTATTTTTAGTAGAGACAGAGTTTCTCCACGTTGGTTAGGCTGCTCTCAAACTCCCAACCTCAGGTGATCCACCCGCCTTGGCCTCCCAAAGTGTTGGGATTACAGGCATCAGCCACCGTGCCCTGCCCAGCCTCTTATTTGAAAATAATTTCAAATATATAAAATGTTGCAAAATAAAAATAACACAAAGATCACTCATATAACCTTTACCCAGGTTCACATATTGTTAGCATTGTATTCCATTTGCTTTATTCACTTGTTCTGTTTCTATGATAAACACATAAACCGTCACCTTTTTTGGGAATCATTTGAGGATATATTATATATGTCATGATCTTTTACCCCTAAATTCTTCATTGTATATTTTCTAAAACTAGGAATATTCTCTTCTATAATCATAGTAATCAACTTTATAAATTTATTTTGATATAATATTTCATCTAATCTACCATCCACATTCTAATTCTGCCAGCGTATCTAATAATATCTTTTATTGCAGTTTCCCCTATCCAGTACAGGATCCAGTTCAGGATGAGATACGGTATTTAGCTACATGTCTCTTTAGCATCCTTTGATCAGGAACATTTTCCGCAGCCACTCGGCCTTTATGATACTTTTTTTTTTTTTTTTTTGAGATGGGGTCTTGCTCTTTCACCCAGGTTGGAGTACAGTGGTGTGAGAACAGCTCACTGCAGCCTCGACCTCCCAGGCTCAAGCAGTCCTCCTCGGCCTCAGCATTCCGAGTAGCTAGGACTACAGCCCAAACCACCATACATGGCTAATTTTTAAAAAATTATTTTTGGTAGAGACAGGGTCTGGCTATGTTGTCCAGGCTGGTCTAGAACTCCATGGCTTAAGTGATCCTCCTACCTTGGCCTCACAAAGGGCTGGGATTACAGGCGTGTGCCACTACACCCAGACTGATAATAATATTTTTACAGAATACAGTCTCATTGCTACTTTTTATTACAACATCCTCATTTTGTGTTTGTCTGATGTTTTCTCATTGTCAGAATACTGTAAAGTGATGTGTTCTCCTGTGTGTGTCACATCCAGAGGTGCATAATGTCCATCTGCTCCTCAGGAATACCCAGTTTAGGTACTGCTTGATTTCTCCAGTGTATGATTATTGTCGCTCTTTCTTAAACGAATTATCAGTTTGTGGGGATATACTTTAAGACCATGTAAATATCCTGCTCCTCATCAAAATACTGCCTTCAATTTAGTATCCATCGATGATTTGTGTCCAGTCTTCTCTTACCTAATCCTACCATGATAGCTGCAAAATGGTTTTCCAACTCCAGGATTCCCTCCATCAGTTGCCCTTTGGCATTCTACTGTAAGCAAGGATTCTCCTTTCTCCCCATTTATTTGCTTATTTATAGTCAATATGAACTTATAATTTTTTCAATGATCTATAAATAATAATTTTGGTGCTCAAATGTTCCAGATTTGGCCAGTGTGAGCTGCTTAATTTGGCCCTGTGTTCTTGTGACCTACCCCATGATTCTCTTGAGCATCTTCCTACCTTCTGTCATAACAAGTTGTCCCAGCCCCAGAATCAGCCATTTTCCTGAGGAACCCTGGTTTTCCTCAGTGGGAAATAATAGCGCTAGAGGAAAAGATCTGGGTGCTAGGTGTGCTCAATTAGGGTGTCTTTGCTTATTGGCCACTTTAATGGACAAAGTTAGGAAATACATGCATGAACAGGCATACCCTGTTTTATGGCACTTTGTAGACACTGCATTTACAAATTGAAGGTTTGTGGCAACCCTGGTGCCACTTTTCCAACAGTGCTCACTTCATGTCTGTGTGCATTTTATAGCAATAGAGTATTTTTAAATTAAGGTATGCATATCTGTTTAGACACAATGCTGTTGCACACTTAACAGACTATAGTATAGTGTAACCATAATTTTATATGTACTGGGAAACCAAAAAATTTGCATGACTTGCTTTATTGTGACATTCACTTTATTGTGGTGGTCTGAAACCAAATCTACAGTATCTCTAAGGTATGCCTGTATATATACATATTCACCTACATATATAAGTAATACTTACAACACACATGCATATTTTAGAAATTGTTGAATTTACAATGGTACCCTCAAATTCCAGTACCTGCCACCCCCGCCCTGGGTTTATTTTTGCTGTTATTTTTAATGAGTATGAAATGATTCTAGTCAGGGATGTTTGAAAATCACTGCTAAAGATTGCTGATGAATCTCAGTCACCAGTTCTCATGCTCTCCCATGAAATTCATCTGGATCAAAAGACTAATTCAAAGGACTGGGTGTTCCCTTTGCCCCCCATTTATCATAGCCATTGGTTCCCTCTTCCTACTATCTATTTTATTCAGTTCCTTTCTGAGGATAGTTATCTTTCCACATATAAGAGCATTACAGAAAGTGACCATTTGCTCAGTCACCACTAGCCAACAGCCAGAGCTCTGAGCCCTCTTAGGGGTACCACCAACCATATATATGCACATATGTGTATTTGTATGGTAACATGTGCTCTGATATCCTCCTCCCTCCACTCTCACTGGTTTTACTTTTAATATTATATTCTGTGCTATAAAACTCCAGAAGGAAATCGTAAACATACCAAAAATTTGCAAGTATAATTCATTATTTTCTTTATGTTCTACTCTCTTCCCCTACAAAAATCTGGTTCCCTTTCCTCCGTTTATAGTTAATATCAGAACAATCTACCAGTTGCCTAAGCTAGAAATTGTAAGCATCATCTGTCTCTTCTCTTCCTGTATCATCCATAACAAATCATTTCAAGACCACTTAATTCTATCATATTTTGAATCCATCTCTTCTCTTTATTCCTATTGATACTATTTTGGGTTAGAACCTTGTTATTGCTCACTTGAATTTATGAAGATAGAATTGGGGTATGGAATAGAACTGTTTTTTCCTTTTTTCATTCTCAAGAACATAAAAATATTGGGGAGAAATGAGACACAACACTATCTGTTACTTCCTTTGCCAAATCTATGTCATTTTACTAGCTTATAAAAATGAAAATGTGTCAAAATGTGCTCAGAAAATATTTGGCAAATTAAATTTATAAGTTAATACATACAAAATAAACCTGTTAACTCTGAAATGCTTTACATGTCTATTATAAAAATAGTTACAGGTTATGAAACCTTAAGAAATCTGAGATCTTTGTACAGAAAACATATACACTGAATCCATTCCATACTTAGTTTTTCAAAGCTTAGTTAGGAATATTTTTAGATTAAAAACACTGATGAAAGAAAGCTCCCAGAGAAAACATCGAACCCTTCTTTCTCTTATGAAAGCAGAGGGATCTACAGGCAGCAACACATCTGTTTCAGCATTGGAGAATTTTACTCAGAATTCAGAAACTAAAATGATTTGATATTATAGTACCTGTAATAACAGTAACTCTTGACTACCATGTGCCACATGTTAATATAAGCATTACCTCAATTAATCTTTACAAGAATGCTATGAAGTAGCTACTTGTTAGAATATCCACTTTGCAGATAGAGAAGCCATACAAAAATTAAGTGTTACAGTGGGACTGGAATCAAGCAGTCTATCTCTACAGCCCATATACAATTGGCAAAAAATAATTTCTACTGCATGGTTTTTAGAACAAAAATTGGGGCCATATATGATTATGAGGCAATGTGGAAATGTAATTTATCTTAAGTACTATAACAATAAGTGTAAATGCTTTTTTCAGAGGGAAAAAAAAGAATAATTGCAAATATTTCCACGGTTATCTCTTCCTTCCATACATTTCATAAATGTGGCCCTATGTACTGTAATATTTTAAACTTTTTTGAAGGCACAGACTCCCCCTTGTACAAGATCCTTGTACAGTATCTTATACGTAGTAAGTTCTCAATAAACAAATTTTCAATAAACATGTAGACCATATTCTTAGTTCAAAACACCTTTAACCAGCTGATTCAGTATATGTATATATTATCAAATCTTACCTGGGATTCCTGATAAATAAATTTTACCAAAGTGACTTATCTCACTTTCAAACACTTGCACTGATTTTCCCTGTCTCCCTGCTAATGAAGGGTAACAGTCTGCAGTAAAGTGGCCCCCTGTTAGCTAGTGTTTGGCATAGAGTAGGGCTCACTAAATATTTACTGATTAAAGGCCCAGGAAAGTCAAAATAATCAGCCAATAAATAACAGAGAGACTGGCTATATTGTGAACACAGAAGAGAGAAGCAGTAAACAGAGTAAGCTGTGAAGCTGTATTGCCTGGATTCAAATACTGGCTCTGCCACTTATTAAGTGAGATGCAATGAGCAAGCCTCAAAACCTCTCTTGGCATCAGTTTCCTCATCCTTCAAATGAGGATACTAATCATACCTACTTCACAGGATTTTTTAAAATAAGGGTTAAACAAGTTCACACATGTTAGGCAATTAACAAATGTTAGTTATTCCTACTAAACAGAATTCTCCTTTCCCTCTTATCAATAAAGTGACAGAATGCATTTGGTGGAGATTCTCTCATCTTCTTGAATAAAGCTTCACCTCTCGCCCCCAGTGTTACTCTTGGGAGACATCAGCTCCACTACCATTTGAAAACTGTACGAATTCATTACAGAAGTGAAGCAATAAAAGTCCATCACATACAAAAAGTTTAAAGGACATTTTATGTCTAAAACTCTTTTGTGAAGACAACAATCATAGATATAATTAATTAGATTTATGAAAAATGTCATGTCTCAAAGAACTATTTTCTAAACAGTCCCCCAACCTGAGACCATCTGTTTTATTAAGGGTCACAATGTCTAGTTTGAAGACTATCAAATTTATTAAAAGTAGGCTATTTATAGATTAATGAATTCCTGTAATTTCTCATTTGCTTAAAAAAAACATAAAATGTAAAAATTCAGGACATTTATAAGCTATCACTAAAAAATACCCACCAGCAAGATAATCATGACACTTACTTCATCTCTATAAAGTGGACTAGTATAATACATTATGTCCATTGCACTGCTGTTCAGCATATCCCTTAAACCTCGTACTTTGTCAGGAGTAATGGAATCAACAGTGTCTACAAAAACAAACAAAAAAAGCAAGTTAACTTATAGAAAGTCTCTGTTACAGGAAAGTAATAGTGAAGAAAATTACGTTGCCTGAAATAGTAACTATTTAAGTTAACATTTAAATATTCAAGACCAGCTTTGGCTCTAATGGATCTTCCCTTCCTATAAAATACTTCAAGAAAAAAAAAACAGTAAAAGACAACATAGGAGATGAAAAGAAACATTAAAGGATGAAAGCCATTATCAAATCTATAAAGCGTCACCCTTTTTTGTATGTACTGGCTTTTGCATGAAATTCAGGGATACTCAGAGCAAAATGAGGCCACATATTTAGAACAGGTGTCAAAACACAATCCCAAATGGCAGCTGCTAATATTATATCCAGTATAACAACTCTCTCATTTTGCAGATTATGTAAATAATCTAAACATTCTGTTTTTATGGTTTTAATATTTAACAGACATAACTTTGTGTAAAGAAAGACACATATTTTGGTTGATGACAGCTCTTTAAGGAAGACAACTAAACTGATTTTATTTAAACAAATATACAAATTATCTATGCTAGATTGTAATTCACCAGCCCAGGGAATGTACGAAAAACAACAAAGGAAAACAAAAAACCTGAGATTTTTATCTTCCGATTATGGGGAGAAAATTATTAGAAAGAAAAATGTAAGCTCGTATGGAATTATGGAAAACAAATATTTTTAAAGTACTGACAAATCAACTTCGTGTCAAAAACTTTAGAAAACATTTTGTTCCCACTATATCCCTCCACCTGCCACAATCCAGAGGGCATGCATGAAAACAGTGCTATCTATGAAATCTATGTAATGGTCCAAATGATATTAGTCAGTATAATTATTCTAGAAATCAATGGATTTTATTTTCTTAATCTAGAACAAAGGGTGAGCATATCTCAAGACAATTAAATTGAAGACACTACATTCTCAATTAACAAAAAGTGTTTTCTAAAACTTTCTGCATTTATTTTGGTAAAAGTTTGCCATTGGCTAAATCATTCAATTTTTAAATAAATATACCTCCATCAAGAGTAAGTTTTGACCGCCACTCAACAGGCAGAAATTCAACATGTGTTGCATGGTTGGAAAAATGCCTTTCTTCTATTTTTCTTGCAGCTTCTCTCATCCTAAAAAAACAAACAAACAAAAATGCAAACAAAGCTTTATGAGAATAACTTCACATATAAATTTATATGAGATAAAATGTGTTTAATCATAACACTTCCATTTGCTTATAGCTTTGTCCAGTTACATTCCAGTGACTACCACACTAAACAAGTCTGCAATACTAGGATACCTTCATTTCATGGTTATTTTCCTAAATTTGCCATCTATGATTTCAAATATTCTAAGCTTTTACATTATATTCTAAATAATTATATGTAAGAATTTTTAGTACACAGAATGGCATAATGAATACCTCTGTGCCATCACCCAGCTCCAAATATTAGCAAGTCATGCCCTATCTTGTTTCATCTATTGCTCTCTTCATCCTTTCCATAATATAAATTTTAAAATTTTATTTAAAAATATTAAGATACTATAAAATTGACCCTTTTCTCCCTTTTGGTGTCAGTTATATAAATTTTAGCACATGTGCAGATTTGTGATTAGTATTACAATTACAATTAGTATTAGTATTACAATTAGTATTACCATTCAGAACATGCTATTCTTTTAGTAGTCACTCCCCTCCCCCATATTTAAAAGCAAATCCTAGATATTGCATTATTTTGTCTGTAGTTTAGTATCTACTTCTAAAATATAAGAAAAACATAACCTATTCAGTATTATCATGCCAAAGAAATTAATAATTCTTTAATTTCAGCAAATATGTAGTTCAGTGGTCCTATTTTCCCAGTTGGACTATAAAATATTATTTTAAATTATTTTATAATATTAAAAATTTTTTTACACTTGTTTAAATTCAGCTCTAAATACAATCCATGCACTGCAATTGGAAGACATGTCTCTACTATAGGCTCCTTTCTCTATTTGCCTTGTAAAGGCATACCCTGTTTTACTGCATTCATTTTTTAAAAAATTGCACTCTGCAGATATTGCCTTTTTCTCCACTTTTTAAAAAACTGAAGGTCTGTGGCAACCTTGCATGGAGCAAGTCTATTAGTGCATTTTTCCAACAGCATGTGCTCACTCTGTGTCTCTGTGTCACATTTTGTAATCCTCACAATATTTCAAATTTTCTCATTATTATTACATCCACTATGGTTAACTGCACCTGTATAAGATGAGCTTAATCGATAAATGTATGTGGTCTGACTGTTCCACTGACTGGCTATTCCCCAACCTTTCTCCTGCTCCGAGGGCTTCCGTATTATCCCTGAGACACAACAATATTGAGATTAGGGCACTGAATAATTCCATACTGGCCTCTAGGTGATCAAGTGAAAAGAAGAGTCGCTTATCTCTCACTTCAAATAAAAAACCAGAAATGATTGAGCTTAGTGAGAGAGGCATGTCAAAAGCCAAGCATGCCAAAAGCTGGACCTCTTGCACCAGGTAGCCAATTTGTGAATGCAAGGGAAAAGTTCTTGAAGGAGATTAAAAGTACTACTCCAGTGAACACACAAATAAGAAAATGAAAAAGCCTTATTGTTGATAAGGAGAAAGTTTTAGTGGTCTGGATAGAAGACCAAAACAGCTACAACTTTCCCTTCATTTATGCCAAAGCCTAATCCAGAGCAAGCCTTAACTCTTTTCAATTCTAAAAGACTGAGAGGGGCAAAGAAGCTACCGAAGAAAAGTTTGAAGCTAGCAGGTTGGTGCATGAGGTTTAAGGAAAGAAGCTGTCTCCATTAACATAAAAGTGCGAGGTAAGTGCTAATGTAGAAGCTGCATCAAGTTAAGAAGATCTAGCCAAAATAATCCATGAAGGTTGCTACACTAAACAACATATTCTCAATGTAGACAAAAAAGCCTTTGGACTTTCACAGCTAGAGAGGAGAAGTCAATTCCTGGCTTCAAAGCTTCAAAGGACAGGCTGACTCTCTTGTGAAGAGCTAATGCAGCTGGTAACTTGGAAGTTGAAGCCAATGCTCACTGACCATCCCAAATAGCCTAGGGCCCTTAAGAATTATGCTAAATCTACTGTGCCTGTGCTCTATAAATAGAACAACAAAGCCTGGATAGCAGCACATCTTTTTTACAGCATGGCTTACAGAATATTTTAAGCCCACTGTTGAGACCTACTGCTCAGAAAAAAAAACGATTCCTTTCAAATGGTTACTGCCCGCTGACAATGTACCTGGTCACTCAAGAGCTCTGATGGAGATGTACTAGGAGATGAATGTTGTTTTCATGCCTGCTAACACAATATCCACTCTGCAGCCCACGGATCAAGGAGTAATTTTAACTTTCAAGCCTTATATTTAAGAAACAAATTTTATAATGCTATAGCTGCTATAGATAGTGGATGAATCTGGGCAAAGTAAACTGAAAGTATTCCGGAAGGAACTCATCATTCTAGATGCCATTAAGAACATTTGTGATTCAGTGATTCATGGGGGGTGAAAATATCAACATTCCAGAAGTTTGGAAGAAATGGATTCCAACCCTCATAAATGACTTTGAGGGGCTCAAGACTTCAATGAGGAAGTAACTGCAGATGTATTGGAAATAGCAAGAGAACTAAAATAAGCAGAGTGTGAAGATGTGACTGAATTGCTGCAATTTCATGAGAAAACTTCAGTGGATGAGGAGTTGCTTCTTATGGATGAACAAAGAAAGTGGTTTGAGATGGACTCTTGGTGAAGATGTGAATATTGTTGAAATGGCAACAAAGAATTCAGAATATGCCATAAACTTAGTTGATAAGGCAGTGGCAGGGTTTGACAGGATTGATTCAAATTTTCAAGTAAGTTCTACAGTGGGTAAAACGCTCTCAAACTGCATTGCATGTTACAGAGAAATCTTTCGTGAGAGGAAGAATCAATCGATGTGGCTAACTTCACTGTTGTCTTATTTTAAGAAATTGCCACACCCACCCCAAACTTCGGCAACTACCATCCTGGTCAGCAGCCATCAACATGGACGCAAGACCCTTCAACAGCAAAAAGATGCTGTGAACTCACAGAAGCCTCAGATAATTGGTTAGCGACATTTAGCAGTACAGCATTTTAAAATTAAGATATGTACACGATTTTTAAAGACATTATGCTATCACATACTTGTTTACAGTGTCGTGTAAACATAACTTTTATATGCACTGAGAAGCCAATTTGTGCAACTTGCTTAATTATGATATTCACTTTATTGCAGTGGTATGGAACCAAACCCACAATATCTTTGAGGTATACCTGTAATTTTTTGTGTATGTGTCCTATAGAGTTACTCAGAGTCCGATTTTCATTCACTGCATCCCTATGGTGTTGTTTAACATGTTCTTTGTCCCGTTTCCTATAATTTGGTAGTTAGTTATAGGGGCTTCATCAGATGCAAGCTCTGTTTTGGCGAGACTACTACTCCATATGTACATAGGTACACACAACTTCTTCTCTTTTTAGTGATGATAGCAGTTACTGATGATCATTGTTTAAATCCATTAGTTTATCATGGTGGCAAAAGGGCCTTTTAAATTCCATCACTCTTCATTTGTTTATAGGCTTATACTTCTAGAAAGAGAAATTTCCTTACATTAAATATTTAGCTGCACTGGGGTATAACCAAATAGTTTCTGCATGAACTGAGGCACAGTTAATCTAGAAAAGGTAGGATAAATGGTTAATTCTTCCCTTTATTAACAGTTTTCAAAATAACAAGTCATTAGGTTTTATATATTTTGATGTCATTGCTAACTCACAGATTTAAGCATATTTGATGCATATCAATCCACTGTAGTTATTATCCTTGCCAAGGTTCAAATTGTCTATTTTAGGTCTGTGAATCTCTCCAAGTTGCTTTTGACACAACTTCATTAGTTTTTGTTTTTGTTTTTTTTTTTTAAAAAACAATTGTGGCTTTTAGTATATTCAAAGAGTTATGCAGCTATCACCATTATCTAATTTCATAACACGTTCATCACCCCAGAAAGAAACACCATACCCATTAGCAGTCACTCTCTATCCCTCTTCTTCCCACCTGCCAGCACCCACTAATCTACTTTCAGATTTGTCTATTTTGAACATTTCATATAATCATACAATATGGGGCCTTTTGTGTCTGGCTTTTCAGTTGGTGTAATGTTTTCAAGTCTCATCCATGTTGCATCATAAATCAGTACTTCATTGCTTTTCATTGTTGAATAGTATTTCATTATATGGATACGCCACTTTTGTTTAGCCGCTCATCAGTTGATGGATGTTTGTGTTGCTTCCATTTTTGGGCTATCATGAATAATGCTTCTATGAACATTCTTTTAACAAGTTTTTGTGGACATACATTTTCAGATCTCTTGGGTATACACATAAGCAATATTACTGGCTCATACACTAACTTTAACTTTTGGAAGAACTGCCAAACTCTTTCCAAAGCAGCTGTACTATTTTCTGATCTCACAAGAAACATGTAAGGGTTGTGATTTTTCTTCATCCTAGCTAATACTTGTTAATTTCCATCTTTTTGATAAGAGTTATCCTAGTGGGTATAAAGTGGTACCTTTAAAGTGGTAGCGTTCAAGGTCACATCTAATAACTAAAGATGCTGAACATCTTTTCCTGGATTTATTGGCCATTTGTATATCCTATTTCGACAAATGTCTACTCAAATCCTTTACCCATTTAAAAAAACTGGGGTCTTCCTTTTTTAAAAACTGTTGAGTTGTAAGAGTACTTTATATATCCTGGATCCTAGACCTTTATCAGATATGTGGTTTGCTAATATTTTCTCCCATTCTGAGGGTTGTCTTCATTTTCTTCACTGTCCTTTGAAGAACAAAAGGACTTTTCTACTTATAATGTCATGTCATTTGCAAACGGAGATAGTTTTATCTCTTCCATACTAATCTAGATGCCTTTTATTTCTTTTCTTGCTTAATTGCTCTGGCTGAAACGTACAGTACAATGCTGAACAGAAGTGGTGAGAGTGGATATCCTTGTCTTGTTCCTGATCTCAAGGAGCAGGTTTCAGTCTTTCACTATTAAAGAATAAGTTTAGCCACAGGCTTTTTGTAGATGCCCTTTACCAGGTTGAGAAAGTTGTCTTCTGTTTCTAATTTCCCGAGTGCTTTTATTATGAAAGTATGTTGAGATTTTGTCAAATGTCTTTTCTGTATCTGAAAATCACATGATGTGTTTTTTTTTCCTTCATTCTACACATGTGGTGGATTACCTTGATTAAAAAAAAAATGTTGACCCAATCTTGTATTCCTGGATAAATCCCACTTAGTCATGGTATATAACCATTTATATATGGTGCTGGATTCAAGTTTGTTGGCATTTCATTGACATTTCTGTGGTCTCTATTCAGTAATATTTGTATAGTTTTCTTTTCCTTATGATGCTTTCATTGGTTTTTGGTATCGGGGTAATACTGGCTTCATAGAATGAGCTGGGAAATCTTCCTTCCTCTTCCATTTTTTAGAGAGTTTGTAGAGAAGTGGTGCTAATTTTTCTCTATTTTTTTTTTAAGACACAGGATCTTACTATGTGGCCCAGGCTGAAGTGCAGTGGCTAGTCACTGGAACCGACATGTACTATAGCCTGGAACTCCTGCTTTACTTGTTACAGGTCTACTCAGATTTTCTATTTCTTCCTCGTTACCAGATCAGTTTTCCTAGTTTGTGTCTGTCTTGGAAAGTGATTACTAAAACAGTTTTGGTAGTTTGCTTCTAGAAATTTGTCCATTTAATCTAGGTTATATACTTTGTAGCATAGAATTGTGCATAGTATTCCCTTACAATCCTTTTTATTTCTGTAAGTTTGCTGGTAGTAATGTCTCCTCCTTTATTTTTCATTTTAGTAATTTGAATCTTTTTCTCGTTTGGTCTAGTTAAAATGTTCTCAACTTTGTGGATCTTTTCAAAGAACCAGAGTAATACATACAGATCTTCCCTATTTTACAACTGCATACTACTCCATTATATAAATAAAAGCTGTAGTTTATCAAGCCATCTCTTACTGATGAATATTTGAGTAGTTTCCTACGTGATGCTGCAATCAAAAGCCTTGTGCATGCCTCTTTTATTTTTTGCTGATTTTTTTTGGGATAGTACCTGGAAGTAGGTTTTCTGGGTCAAAGGATAAATACATATGCAATTTTGATAGATACTGCCACATACTCGTTTTCATTGCATTCCATCAGCTGTACAAGAACATCTATTAACTACAGCCTGGCCAAAAAAAGCATGTTGTCAAATTTTGAACTTTTGCTATTGCTAATCTGATAGTTAAGAAATGACATCTGTTTGGGTGCATTGCTCACGCCTGTAATCCCAGCACTTTGGGAGGCCAAGGCAGGCAGATCACTTGAGGTCAGGAGTCTGAGACCAGCCTGGCCAACATGGTGAAATCCCAACTCTACTAAAAAAACATAAAATTAGCTGGGTGTGGTGGTGTGCACCTGTAGTCCCAGCTATTTGGGAGGCTGAGGCAGAAGAATTGCTTGAACCCAGGAGGTGGAGGCTGCAGTGAACTGAGATCATGCCACTGCACAACAGTCTGGGTGACAGAGCAAAACTCTCTCCAAAAAACAAAAAAAAAGACTTTTCACATGGTTAAGAGCCATTTCCTTTTCTGGGAACTACTTGCTTATATCTTTAGCCCATTTTCCTATAAGGTGGTTGAACATATTTTTATTTTTAGAACGATTTTACATATTAAGAATCCTTCATCTGTAAGTTGAAAATGTTTCTTTCAGTTCAACTTAATTTTTCTTTGCCATATATTTTTTTTCCTAGACAATATATTTATCAATATTTTTCCTTATTTCTCGTGGATCAAGTCATAGAATAATTTTCTCTATTCCTAAGTTCTAGAAGAATTCAAACTCTCCTTTAAAAAAATCCCTAATACTTGTATAATTTCATTTCTTTTCCTTCCCCCTTTTTTTTTTTTTTTTTTTTGGAGATGAGGTCTTGCTATGTTGCCCCAGCTGAAGTGCAGTGGCTATTCATAGGTGTGGTTATAGGGCACTACAGCCTCAAACTCCTGGGCTCAAGCGATTCTCCTGCTTCAGCCTCCCATGTAGCTAGGACTATAGGCATGTGCTACCATGTCCTGGTTTCATTTCTTTCACTTAAATGTGATCCAATTGAAATTTATCCTTGTGTGAGAAATGGATCCAATTAATTTTTTTCTATATGCAAATCTAGTTATCCCAATAGTACTTGTTGAGAAGTCTATCTTCATTTTCAGTATATTTTAAAAGACATTGCATTATAATTATGTTTATTGACTGCATATCCCCAAAGTTCGCATTTTAAGAAGCCTAGATTCTACTTTGCCAAAATAAAGATGTGCTTCCCTTATCATCACTGAAAATAAAATGACAGCCAAAACTTTAGACTTGAAGGCAGGATTTCTTTATTATCCACAAAGTCTAAAAGTTCCTTTTTTACATCAGATAAGTAATCGCATAAACATTTTTAAAGTTTCTTTGTCATCTTTTCAAATGTTCAGTTTTAACAAATATGAGTATATGCAAGGAAGAACATATTTAAAAATTTCTAATATTTTTCTACCCACTCATTCAATTTTGATGGCTGTGTAGTTCTTATGTAAATCATTGTGGCATAGTAATTAGGAAGTGGTACATGTGCTGCTGTTTGAATTTGCACACAAAAGAGTTCATTTAGATTAGTGGTTCTCAACCATAGACAATTTTGTACTTCGAGGGACACTTGGCAATGTTTGGAGATATTTTTGGTTCTAACAACTAAGGGTTTTATTTGCATCAGTGAGGAGAGGCAAGGGATACAGTTATACATCTTACAATGCACAGGCCAGCCATCATAACAAAAAATTATCCAGTCAAAAATGTCAATAGTGATGTAGCTGGGAAACCCTAATTTTGAGTTCTCAACTTGGAAACACTACATCTGCTTAAAATGTTGTTTTGTTATAAAGCAAACTTACACAATCCTTCACTCCACAGGATCGCTATCATAATTCTCAAATGATTAAAAACTGATCAAACAGGTATGTCTACTGAATCATTTGGAGTACTGGAGTGACTGTTAAGAAAAAAAAGAAAAGGATGGAAGAAAAATGAAAAAATAATGAGGGAAGGAGAAGGGAGAGGAGGGGGATGGGGAAAAGAGGAAGAGGGAGACAGGGAGAGGGAAGAGAGAAGTTGGATATGTTCTGGCTATACGCCCAAATTTGCCTTACTAAAAACAGTAAAATCTATTTCTTAAATATCTCATAAGAACTACTGAGACCAATGGGAGATAGAGAAAATGAGAAAAAGGAATGATTAAACAATATTATACTATACCTCAGACAATGACCCATTACTGTGCTGCTATGCATGCACAAAAATCATGATTTCAGTCCTGTTATAAGCTTATTTCAATTTCCATGTTCTCTGAGCAATGAATGTTTACTTCATATTGTAAGAAGAGAAGATAGAGATTAATAGCATTTAAGAATTACTGTACAACTGAGGATCATTAAATAGCTGTAAAACATAAGTCTTCATAATTCCTCTCAATTAGAAAAAAATTGGTAAACTAATTGGTTTTAAGAAAATATATGTGTGACATAAATATAGAAAAAAATAGAAAAAGATATAAATAGAAAATCATGAACAGTGATCTCCAAGATACCTTTTTTTTTTTTTTTTTTTTTAAGAGATGAGGTTGGCCGGGCATGGTGGCTCACGCCTGTGATCCCAGCACATTGGGAAGCTGAGGTGGGTGGATCACCTGAGGTCAGGAGTTCGAGACCAGCCTGACCAATATGGTGAAGCCCTGTCTCTACTAAAAATACAAAAATTAGCCGGGTGTGGTGACGTGTGACTGTAGTTCCAGCTACTAGGAAGGCTGAGATAGGAGAATTTCTTCAACCCAGGAGGCGGAGGCTGCAGTGAGCCAAGATCATGCCACCACACTCCAGCTTGGGCGACAGAGTGAGACTCTATCTCAAAAAAAAAAAAAAAAAGACATGGGGTCTTGCTTCATTGTCCAATGCTGCAGTGCACTGGCAACTCACAGGTAGGATCATAGCACACCACAGTCTTGAACTCTTGGGCTCAAGCAATCCAAAATACATTTTTTAAACAAACAAACAAACAAAAAAACAAGGTCCAGAAGTCTATAGCATGCACCTTTTGTGTGGAAAAAAATTTGTGTATGCCTAAAGAAAATCTAGAAGACTCTAAATGGGGACACAAGGACAAAGGATAATGAGGGAAGACGGGGAGAGAAATGAGAATCAGCCTTTTTACTCCATATTTTAATATTTTGTTTTGTGAACTACATGTATGTCCTGTTCAAAAAAATAAGTTTCGTTGATATTCTTGTCACTATTGTTTATTCTCCCATTTTTTTTCTGTACTTACGGGTTTATGCCTTTTTGCTTTTTAAAATTCTTTTTTATATCATGTTCAAAAAGGTTTCAGGAGGGAATAAGATAAGCTCATGTGTTCAACATACTGTGTTTAACTGAAAACCTCTTTATAGTCTTCTAAGATTATAGCTTTAAAATGACTAATTTAGGGTATTAGATATGCCAAGTTCTATGAAGAGTTCCCTTGTAATTAAACTCCACAAAAAGTAAATTCAATTGTATTTAAAATGCCTTCCATTTATCCCTTTTAGTAAACTAATTCTGACATTCCCAGAAGTTGTCTAAAAATTTGCTTCTCAGTCTATGTAAGCGGTAAACATATTTTTCTGGAACAAAGGTGATTGAAGCTAGTCTGAACTAATCATTAGCAAGTTTGCTAAAATAAGGTTAAGAGGGAAAACTCTCTATTCCCAGGAATCTAAGACATGATTTAAAGAAATCCTCAGAGAACAAAAGGCTGTCAAATCAATCACAAGTACACACAAGCTTCAGGATGGCACTGATAAGGATGAAGTTTTGTATAGGCCCGAACACTGAACTTAGGAATGACAGCAAGCAGGGAAATGGTAAGAAATCCTATGGATTTTCCCATCTTTCTCTCTTTTATTATGCAGAATTCCTTTTTATATGAATATTTTCCATTGATTACTAAGTTATGTGTAGAATTTTCCATCAAATTAACCTGTCTACGAAGAAATGATAGCAATGCTCCTTGTAGTGGACACTTGGGTTTTTTTTTGAGCCACCTTGGATTCATTCATCCTGCTTCCAATAATAGCTCTTGATTTTTATCTGTGAATCTAGCTCTTCCTATAGTTAAGATGAAGTCAACTTCCATCTGATTCTAGGTTGGGAATATGACAAGTTTAGCCAATCATACCCTGCTTGGCTACATACATAGATTCAGGAAGTTGGATCAACATCATTAGTCACTAGCTAATGCACAGACTAGCTGGGACTTTTGGAAAAAAGGACTTATTCTTCTTGAATTTGAACACAAGATTATATAAATCACATTTGGAATCAAAGGAGATGTGTGATAATGGCTCCAAAATGAAGGCTATAGAGCAGATAAAACTGGATTTTGATGACTTGCTTGGCAATATGACTCCTAGACTCCTCAGTTTTATGATTTACTAAATCCTGCTTTTGGCTTAAGCCTTTTTGGGTTAGGATTTCCCTCACCTGTACTCAAAGGAATCAAACTGATACCTTCTTATTTATCAATGGCTCCAGAGAGAATATACAAGTAAACCTAGTTCTCAGGTTCCTAGATATTCAAGCAAAATATCTGCATACTAACATATAAATATAAACATCACGGGAAGTAATACATAATTCATCAGAGAGTAAAATCAGGATCAGAGTGAAGAGATTTCTGTAATATAAGCTATGGACATTGAAAAGGATCAAGGTTGGCCTGGCACTATGTGACAAGGTTTTTTCTTTAAAAAGTTGAATTGTGAGGTCTTTTCCAAGATGGTCAAATAGGAACAGCTCTGGTCTGCAGCTCCCAGCTTGATCGATGCAGAAGACAGGTGATTTCTGCATCTCCAACTGAGGTACCTGGTTCATCTCACTGGGACTGGTTGGACAGTGGGTGCAGCCCATGGAGGGCAAGCCGAAGCAGGGTGGGGCATTGCCTCACCCAGGAGGCGCAAGGGGTCTGGGGATTTCCCTTTCCTAGCCAAGGGAAGCCGTGACAGACTGTAATGGGAAAATCGAGACACTGCCACTTAAATACTGTGCTTTTCCAATGGTCTGAGCAAATGTCACACCAGATTATATCCCGCGCCTGGCTCAGCGGGTCCCACACCCACAGAGCCTTGCTCATTGCTAGTGCAGCAGTATGAGATCAAACTGCTAGGCGGCAGCCTGGCTGGGGAAGGGGCATCTGCCATTGCTGAGGCTTGAGTAGGTAAATAAAGTGGCTGGGAAGCTCAAACTGGGTGGAGCCCACTGCAGCTCAATGAGGCCCGCACGCCTCTGTAGACTCCACCTCTGGGGGCAGGGCATAGCTGAACAAAAGGCAGCAGAACCTTCTGCAGGCTTAAACATCCCTGTCTGACAGCTCTGAAAAGAGCAGTGGTTCTCCCAGCACGGGGTTTCAACTCTGAGAATGGACAGATTGCCTCCTCAAGTGGGTCCCTGACCCCTATGCAGCCTAACTGGGAGACACCTCCCAGTAGGGGCCAAAAGACACCTCACACAGCCGGGTGCCCCTCTGAGACGAAGCTTCCAGAGGAATGATCAGACAGCAATAATTGCTTTTCTTCAACATTTGCTGCTCTGCAGACTCCGCTGGTAATACCCAGGCAAACAGGGTCTGGAGTGGACCTCCAGCAAACTCCAACAGACCTGCAGCTGAGGGACCTGACTGTTAGAAGGAAAACAAACAAACAGAAAGGAATAGCAGCAGCATCAACAAAAATGACATCCACACCAAAACCCCATCTGTACGTCACCATCATCAAAGAACAAAGGTAGATAAAACCACAAAGATGGGGAGAAACTACAGCAGAAAAGCTGAAAATTCTAAAACCCAGAGCACCTCGTCTCCTCCAAAGGATCGCAGCTCCTCACCAGCAATGGAACAAAGCTGGACAGAGAATGACTTTGATGAGCTGGCAGAAGTAGGCTTCAGAAGGTTGGTAATAACAAACTTCTCTGAGCTAAAGGAGCATGTTCAAACCCATTGCAAGGAAGCTAAAAACCTTGAAAAAAGATTAGATGAATGGCTAACTAGAATAAACAGTGTAGAGAAGACCTTAAATGACCTGATGGAGCTGAAAACCATGACACGAGAACTACGTGACACATGCACAAGCTTCGGTAGCTGATTTGATCAAGGGGAAGAAAGGTTATCAGTGAATGAAGATCAAATTCATGAAATGAAGCGAAAAGAGAAGTTAAGAGAAAAAAGAGTAAAAAGAAACAAACAAAGCCTCCAAGAAATATGGGACTATGTGAAAAGACCAAATCTACGTCTGACTGGTGTACCTGAAAGTGACGGGGAGAACTGGAACCAAGCTGGAAAACACTCTTTAGGATATTATCCAGGAGAACTTCCCCAACCTAGCAAGGCAGGCCAACATTCAAATTCAGGAAATACAGAGAACACCACAAAGATACTCCTCGAGAAGAGCAACTCCAAGACACATAATTGTCAGATTCACCAAGGTTGAAATGAAGGAAAAAATGTTAAGGGCAGCCAGAGAGAAAGGTCAGGTTACCCACAAAGGGAAGCCCATCAGACTAATGGCGGATCTCTCGGCAGAAACTCCACAAGCCAGAAGAGAGTGGGGGCCAATATTCAACATTCTTAAAGAAAAGAATTTTCAACCCAGAATCTCATATCCAGCCAAACCAAGCTTCATAAGTGAAGGAGAAAAAAATCTTTTACAGACAAGCAAGTGCTGAGAGATTCTGTCACCCCCGGGCCTGCCTTACAAGAGCTCCTGAAGGAAGCACTAAACATGGAAAGGAACAACTGGTACCAGCCACTGCAAAAACATGCCAAATTGTAAAGACCATTGATGCTGGGAAGAAACTGCAGCAATTAATGGGCAAAATAACCAGCTAACATCATAATGACAGGATCAAATTCACACATAACAATATTAACCTTAACTGTAAATGGGCTAAATGTCCCCAGTTAAAAGATACAGACTGGCAAATGGGATAAAGACCCATCAGTGTGCTGTATTCAGGAGACCCATCTCACATGCAGACACACACACAGGCCCAAAATAAAGGGGTGGAGGAAGCTCAACCAAGCAAATGAAAAGCAAAAAAAAAAAAAAAAAAAAAAGCAGGGATTGCAATCCTAGTCTCTGATAAAACAGACTTTAAACCAACAAAGATCGAAAGAGACAAAGAAGGACGTTACATAATGGTAAAGGGATCAATTCAACAAGAAGAGCTAACTATCCTAAATATATATGCACCTAATACAGGAGCACCCAGATTCATAAAGGAAGTCCTTAGAGACCCTACAAAGAGACTTAGACTCCCATAGAATAATAATGGGAGACTTTAACAACCCACTGTCAATATTAGACGGATCAACGAGATAGAAGGTTAACAAGGATATCCGGGACTTGAACTCAGCTCTGCACCAAGCAGACCTAATAGACATCTGCAGACCTCTCCACCCCAAATCAATAGAATATACATTCTTCTCAGCATCACATCACACTTATTCCAAAATTGACCACACAGTTGGAAGTAAAGCACTCCTCAGCAAAGGTAAAAGAACCCAAATGACAACAAACTGTGTCTCAGACCACAGTGTAATCAAATTAGAACTCAGGATTAAGAAACTCACTCAAAACCACACAAATACATGGAAACTGAACAACCTGCTCCTGAATGACTACTGGGTACATAACGAAATGAAGGCAGAAATAAAGATGTTCTTTGAAACCAATGAGAACAAAGACACAATGTACCAGAATCTCTGGGACACATTTAAAGCAGTGTATAGAGGAAAATATATAGCACTAAATGCCCACAAGAGAAAGCAGAAAAGATCTAACATTGACACCCCAACATCAGAATTAAAAGAACTAGAGAAGCAAGAGGAAACAAATTCAAAATATAGCAGAAGGCAAGAAATAACTAAGATCAGAGCAGAACTGAAGGAAATAGCGACACAAAAAACCCTTCAAAAAAATCAATGAATCCAGGAGCTGGTTTTTTGAAACAATCAACAAAATTGATAGACCGCTAGCAAGACTAACAAAGAAGAAAAAAGAGAAGAATCAAATAGATGCAATAAAAAACGATAAAAAGATTATCACTACTGATCCCACAGAAATACAACAAACTACCATCAGAGAATACTATAAACACCTCTATGCGAATAAACCAGAAAATCTAGAAGAAATGGATAAATTCCTGGACACATACACCTTTCCCCCAAGACTAAACCAGGAGGAAGTTGAATCACTGAATAGACCAATAATAGGCTCTGAAATTAAGGCAATAATTAATAACCTACCAACCAAAAAAAGTCCAGGACCAGAGAGATTCACAGCCAAATTCTTCCAGAGGTACAAAGAGGAGCTGGTGCCATTCCTTCTGAAACCATTGCAGTCAACAGAAAAAGAGGGAATCCTCCCTAACTCATTTTATGAGGCCAACATCATCCTGATACCAAGGCCTGGCAGAGACACAACAAAAAAGAGAGAATTTCAGACCAATATCCCTGATGAACATCAATGCAAAAATCCTCAATAAAATACTGGCAAACCAAATCCAGCAGCACATCAAAAAGCGTATCCACCAAGATCAAGTTGGCTTCATCCCTGGGATGCAAGTCTGGTTCAACATATGCAAATCAATAAACGTAATCCATCACATAACCAGAACCAAAGACAAAAACCATGTAATTATCTCAATAGATGCAGAAAAGGCCTTTGACAAAATTCAACAGCACTTCATGCTAAAAACTCTCAATAAACTAGGTATTGATGGAACATATCTCAAAATAATAAGAGCTATTTATGACAAAACCACAGCCAATATCATACTGAATGGACAAAAACTGGAAGCATTCCCTTTGA
Organism: Homo sapiens; assembly: GCF_000001405.40. NCBI lineage: Eukaryota > Metazoa > Chordata > Mammalia > Primates > Hominidae > Homo > Homo sapiens. The sequence continues at coordinate 53,088,751 of NC_000014.9, forward strand.
AAACTGGCACAACACAGGGATGCCCTCTCTCACCACTCCTATTCTACATAGTGTTGGAAGTTCTGGCCAGGGCAATCAGGCAGGAGAAGGAAATAAAGGGTATTCAATTAGGAAAAGAGGAAGTCAAATCGTCCCTACTTGCAGATGACATGATTGTATATTTAGAAAACCCCATTGTCTCAGCCCAAAATCTCCTTAAGCTGATAAGCAACTTCAGCAAAGTCTCGGGATACAAAATCGATGTGCAAAAATCACAAGCATTCTTATAAACCAATAACAGACAGAGACAAATCATGAGTGAACTCCCATTCACAATTGCTTCAAAGAGAATAAAATACCTAGGAATCCAACTTACAAGGGATGTGAAGGACCTCTTCAAGGAGAACTACAAACCCTGCTCAATGAAATAAAAGAGGACACAAACAAATGGAAGAACATTCCATGCTCATGAATAGGAAGAATCAATATCATGAAAATGGTCATAATGCCAAAAGTAATTTATAGATTCAATGCCATCCCCATCAAGCTACCAATGACTTTCTTCACAGAATTGGAAAAAACTACTCTAAAGTTCATATGGAACCAAAAAAGAGCTCACATAGCCAAGACAATCCTAAGCAAAAAGAACAAAGCTGGAGGCATCATGCTAACTGACTTCAAACTATACTACAAGGCTACAGTAACCAAAACAGCATGGTACTGGTATCAAAACAGAGATATACACCAATGGAACAGAACACAGGCCTCAGAAATAACACCACACATCTACAACCATCTGATCTTTGAGAAACCTGACAAAAACAAGAAATGGGGAAAGGATTCCCTATTTAATAAATGATGCTGGGAAAACTGGCTAGCCATATGTAGAAACTGGCTAGCCATATGCAGAAAGCTGAAACTGGATCCCTTCCTTACACAAAATTAATTACACCTTATACAAAATTTAATTCAAGATGGATTAAGGACTTAAATGTTAGACCTAAAACCATAAAAACCCTAGAAGAAAACCTAGGCAATACCATTCAGGACATAGGCATGGGCAAAGACTTCATGTCTAAAACACCAAAGACTTCATGTCTAAAACACCAAAAGCAATGGCAACAAAAGCCAAAATTGACAAAAGGGATCTAATTAAACTAAAGAGCTTCTGCACAGCAAGAGAAACTACCATCAGAGTGAACAGGCAACCTACAGAATGGGAGAAAATTTTTGCTATCTACCCATTTAAACAAGGGCTAATATCCAGAATCTACAAAGAACTTAAACAAATTGACAAGAAAAAGTCAAAGAACCTCATCAAAAAGTAGGCAACGGATATGAAGAGACACTTCTCAAAAGAAGACATTTATGCAGCCAACAGACACATGAAAAAATGCTCATCATCACTGGCCATCAGAGAAATGCAAATCAAAACCACAATGAGATACCATCTCACACCAGTTAGAATGGCAATCATTAAAAAATCAGGAAACAACAGGTGCTGGAGAGGATGTGGAGAAATAGGAACACTTTTACACTGTTGGTGGGACTGTAAACTAGTTCAACCATTGTGGAAGACAGTGTGGTGATTCCTCAGGGATCTAGAACTAGAAATACCATTTGATCCAGCCATTCCATGACTGGGTATATACCCAAAGGATTATAAATCATGCTACTATGAAGACATATGCACACGTATGTTTATTGCGGCACTATTCACAATAGCAAAGACTTGGAACCAACCCAAATGTTCATCAATGATAGACTGGATTAAGAAAATGTGACACATATACACCATGGAATATGACACAGCCATAAAAAAGGATGAGTTCATGTCCTTTGTATGGACATGGATGTCGCTGGAAACCATCATTCTCAGCAAACTATCGCAAGGACAGAAAACCAAACACCGTATGTTCTCACTCATATGTGGGAACTGAACAATGAGAACACTTGGACACAGGGTAGGCAACATCACACACCGGGCCCCACTGGGGTGGGGGGATGGAGGAGGCATAGCATTAGGAGAAATACCTAATGTAAATGATGAGTTAATGGGTACAGCAAACCAACGTGGCACATGTATACATATGTAACAATCCTGCAGGTTGTGCACATGTACCCTAGAACTTAAAGTATAATAAAAAAAAAAAAGTTGAATTGTATTTTAACTTTAATCCGTTAGCTGGCATTAAGAGATGTTACAATAAAAAGTGAAATAAAACTCAGCATTGCATTATTATTATAGAGGTGTTGCTGAGGACATACTTTCTGGTATCACACACTGTTTGCTTTATAAGGACTCAAGCCTTTATAAGCCTCAGAATCAAATAAACTGGGCTTGTCAACAACAGACTTGTTCTCTTGGCATCATCTATAACTGATTATATTTTTCTTTATACTGGTTGCTAGCTCAGAGCCAAATTTGTGGTGGAACCCTTAACCCTAACATGCCCTTTCAACAAAGTTGTTAATGTTTTTGAAACACGCAAATATCACATATACCCCTAAGACATCTTAAAAAGTTTCAGGATAAAGCTGAATATAAATAAACTAATGAGGTAAATAACCTGTCTGGTGTGTTGGTAAATAATCCACTGTTTTCCACATAAAATTCAGAGTTCAGTTTCCTTGGGTAGCAATTAATTGGATAGGTTAAGCTGCTAACTGGCTAATTCTTAGCCTTTTTAGAGTTGTGCAGCTTTGCAGTATTCTTAGTTTCTGAAGTTCAGAGAGTAAGATGTAACTTAAAACTAGATCTTCTTCTTGCTTTCAATGTTAGATTATAAATTAACTTAATGTATTAGATTAAAAAAGGCTTCCTTATCCCTCTTCTCCATACTGTGGGGAGAAAGATCAAACATTGTCATCATCCTGTAGACATAATCCCTCTCAAAATTTGGTCCAGATACTTGATCTATGACTTAAGAGGTATTAGAATAGTTGGCACTGGAGGAACATGCAGTGGAATTAGTATACTGTTAATATCTCTTATACCCTGGATCAAAGTTTGGATTCTAGATTAGATATACAATGCATTCATCAAAGAACTTACATAGCTGTATTTTTGATAATTCTTCCTTGGTCCATTTTCTGCCCAATGCCATGCACAACAAATACAATATGGGTAGTCTGTGATGGCTTGTCTTCTAATGTGGCTTCTTCTACATAACCTCTATGAAGTCTGGTACCACTACTTGATGCTGTAGAAAAATTATAATTCTAAGTTTACTATTTAATCTGAGAAATAGCATTTCCACAATATGTTAAAAGAAAAAAAAGAAGTAAAAGGAATATTATGAAAAAATTTCACTGGCTGTGGGGGAGGAAATAAAAACTGTAAGAAGGTATATATTGATCAGCTGTGATATAAAGTGAACTGGACACAACACCAAAGCCAGAAACCATAAAGAGAAAGAAATGGAAGGAAAGAAGGACAAACTGAATATATAAAAATTTAAAGCTTCTATATTATAATAAGAAAATATCAGGAAAAAAGAAATGGCAAACTGGAAAAAAATATGCAAAATATAACACATAATTACTTAAGTATACAGAGAGAGCTTACTAATTAAAAAGTAAAGACAACCATTCAAATAGCAAAATAAGTTAAAGTTATGGAAGGTAATTCAAAATAAATATAACTAATAAACATAAAAAGATATTCAAAGCACACTTATTGATGAAATTAAAATTTTAAAATAGGATATAAAAATTTTATCAAACTTTAAAATTCTTTTTACATTTATTTTTTGATAATGCTCTCACATCTTTCCCAGGTATCATTCTCTCTTTTCTTTCATTTAGTCAAACTTCTCTAAACAGTTGTCAGGCCAGGCACTGTATTTCAAGCCTGTAACCCCAGAGCTTTGGGAGACCAAGGCGAGAGGATGGCTTGTGCCCAAAAATTTGAGACCAGCCTGGACAACACAAGGAGACTCCGTTTCTACAAAAAAATAAAAAAAATTAGCTGGGCATAGTGATGCATCCCTGTAATCCTAGTTACTGAGGAGGCTGAGTTTGGAGGATTGCTTGAGCCCAGGAATTAGTTCCAGGTTATGATGTGCTATGATCACACCACTGTACTCCAGCCTGGGAGACAGAGTGAGACCCCATCTTAAAAATAAAAGAAGAAAAAAAAAAAGGAGTTGTCTATTCTCATTGCTTCCATTGCTTCACCTTCTACTTACGCTTCAACCCATGCCGATCTGGTTTCTGCCCCATCAATCCATCTAAGTCACCAGTGACCTCCAGATCACTAAATACAATGGAAAACTTTCAGTCCTCATCTTCCTTGACACTATATTTCAACTGCCACATTTTAGGTTTAACAGCTTTTGTGCTTTTAGAAGTATAAAAGATATTTATTAATTTTGTCAAATCATTCTAAATATATAATAATTATTCCTTGATGAACACATGTCAACTCAATCAACTTAATAAAAGTTTCATTTAAAAAGGAATCTGTCACTAAATTTAATATACTTAAAACATACTAAAAACAGAATATGAATTGTCTATTTTGAATATGAGAGAAAGTCAGATTCCCAAAATTTTGATAAGCTCTAGTAATATTTAACAATTACCTTTAGAAAATCCCAGTTTTTGGGTAACTGTTCTTGCAATTTTAGATGTTGTTGCATCACTATAAAGATATACTTCATCCACACTGTGCCAGTCCACATGGTTTCGACTCAACTTGAAACTATGAACAGCTATTGCAAAAAGGAAAAGCTAATTTGAAGGTCTCCAAGACAAACTTTATTTGTTTGAAGAATTATAACACTCAGATTTTAAAATCAATATGTTATCTAAAAAACTCAGATATGGAACTTAATTCAATAAAACACTATTTCACATAAAAAAAGTTATGTGAAGCAAGTAATGGATAGGGACTTTATTTTATAAATGATTAATCCTGCTACAGGGAATGGCAACTTTTTAAACCATTGAGTTACTTAACTATCATAATTTTAACCTCTAATATACAGCTTCTATGTGTTTTGATAATTAACTGCTTTCCCGGGTGATGTGGCTGACTCTTCACTGGGTCTAAGGCATATATACCTCAAGCCCTCAATAGCTTTGACAGAGCAACTTAATTTCAGTTTCTTCTACTGATTTTACTAAAAATATCAAAGGATTTGTAAAAATTTCACTAAGTGGCCAGGTGCAGTGGCTCACACCTGTAATCCCAGCACTTTGGGAGGCCAAGGCAGGCGGATCACGAGGTCAGGAGATCGAGACCATCCTGGCTAACACGGTGAAACCTCGTCTCTACAAAAATACAAAAAAAAATTAGCCGGGTGTGGTGGCGGGCGCCTGTAGTCCCAGCTACTCAGGAGGCTGAGGCAGGAGAATGGCGTGAACCTGGGAGGCGGAGCTTGCAGTGAGCCGAGATCACGCCACTGCACTCCCGCCTGGGCTACAGAGCAAGACTCCGTCTAAAAAAAAAAAAGAAAAAAATTTCACTAAGTACTAGACAAAATAAGACTCAGAGGGGAAAAAAATTTACCTTTAAACTGGGAAAAAAATAATCTATTAGAAAATGAGGTATTTTTGGAATGGATAGTAAAGCCAATAATTATTGGATATTGCTCATCATAGCAGAAATCCAAAATTGAAAGATATTTTAGTAATACAAAATTAAGGAAATGTTTTTCTGCCATGATGTTCAAATCAGTATGGTTGGCTGGGTGCAGTCAGTCACGTCTGTAATCCAGCACTCTGGGAGGCTTAGGCAGGAGGATCACTGGAGCCCAGGAGTTTGATAGCAGCCTGGGCAACAATAATGAGACCCCGTCTCTTAAAAAGAAAACTAAAAAATTAGCTGGGCATGGTGATATGTGCCTGTGGTTCCAGCTACTTGGGAGGCTGAGGCAGGAGGATCACTGGAGCCCAGGAGTTTGATAGCAGCCTGGGCAACAATAATGAGACCCCGTCTCTTAAAAAGAAAACTAAAAAATTAGCTGGGCTTGGTGATATGTGCCTGTGGTTCCAGCTACTTGGGAGGCTGAGGCAGGAGGATCGCTTAAGCCCAGGAGGTCAAGCCTGCAATGAGCTATGATCATGCCACTGCACTCTAGCCTGGGCAACACAGAGAGATCCTGTCTCAAAAAAAAAAAAAAAATCAGTATGGTTGCTGCATTTCTGTAACTGGGGATATGCTTGGTGAAAATGAGGCCTTAAAAAAATTCCAAACCTATTTTCTTTAGGAATTCGTAAGCCCCAGGAGCCAGGGAATGTGTCTTGACCATTTCTTATATATCCCTAGCACCAAACAGAATGTCCTATCACAGTGTCTGGCACATACCACAAATACAGCAATGTTTGTGGAAGTAGTGAAGAAATTGATATAACATATCCATCAATTCATAATTTGATAATTCTTATGTTTTGAGGACCTTAAGCTTTTCCTTTATAGCTCTGGTATATAGGTAGGAAAAATTAACATACCCATCTTCAGAAAGCTAAGTACCTTCAAATCACTATGCTTGATTTATTTTCTTAAAATTCTTTCAAGGCAAAATATTATCTCCCATTTTACTTACAAAAATACAGAGGTACAAAGAGACAAACTGACCTGCCACAGAGTTAGCTACTGGCAGAGTCTAACTCTACTGATTTAAAGATGGGCTGAAAATAACCTCAAGCTAAATATAAAAAGATATAGCTCTGGTCAAGATGTATGATCATAAGACATTTTTATGAAAACCTATTCCCCACTAGGATACAAGTACATTATGAGGAATTGTACTTCTTAGTTATATTAAATATGCAACTTCAGAAGTTTATGAAAAACCAATTTATATTTTACTTACCTGCCACGGCACATTACTAACACTGTACACCAGATCAAGATTCAATTAACATAATAAACATAAATTATATCTTCGGTTCCAAAGAAAATAATGTATAAGGTCAGCTTTTTAAATAAAAGAGCTTTTCATAAACTAAAAAAAATCTTTTGCAAGGGTTTAACAATCACTTTTCTAATTACATATCTGATCCATGCCACTACTTCAAGCTCTTATATGTTTCTAAACCACATTTTTGTTAAAATAGTTGTGAGCAACAGATGCTTAAAACGTTAAACTATGAGATCAAGATATTTAGAGATGAGTGTTAAGCCAGAAAAATTATTTTCCTCTTTAAATCATCCATATATCATCTTAAACCATTTTAATGTTGGGGAACATCTGAATATCCTGTTACTGGACTATACACACTGTTTACCAATATTTATACACATAATAAAGTAGCAGTAAACAAACTAATACAATGGACACATTTAAAAAAAACTAATAATTTCTATGCTTTAAATGCAACTGAATACTATAAGCCAGGAATATAACTACATGGAGAAATAAAACTACAATTACTGTACCTTGGGAATGCTTTCGTTTAAGACCTGTCGCATCTGTACTCTCCTTATATCTTCTCCATTTGAACAGAGAAGGGAGGGAGAAGGGAGGGAGGTGGTAGACAACTAAGAAAGCAAAAACACTGAGCTTCAAAGTAAATTTTAAATGAGATTTGCCATTTTGCCTTTTTGTTCTAGTATTAACTTTAAAAAATGAGTTGTATTTGAAAAACATTATTCTAAATGCTTCATTTATATGATTTCTAAGAATCAGTAAAGCAAAACATTAGTATAATGTTTATCAAATAGCTGCTGTTACTGAAAGAAAAAAGGCAAATAATATCTAAATTTATTAAAAACAACTGATTATCATGTTTAATGTCTTTGCATAGAAAGAATTTTTAAAAAAGAACATAACATTTTCAAATGCCAAGAGATTTATAAACTCCATCTTTACAACACTAAGGTTATTTACTCTCACCAAATTTGTGACTGACACAGCCAACAGCTGATGTACAAATTGAAAATGCAATAAATAACATTTTACATATCTAATGCAACCTTCCTGAGAAGATACCACAGCATACATTCTACTAGATGCTTTCCACTGCTGAAGTATAATGGAACCTTCCCTTAGGGAAAAAAAAAAATTCTTTTCTCAACTCCATTCAAGTTCTTAAAAGACTTTAAAAAACAAAACTTTTACTAAAAAACAAAAATCAAACTGGAAGCTCTGCTTTTAACTTTGCTTTTGAAAAGACTGTAATAAAATAATGAAAAAAGTCATTAGTAAAAATGTATGCTGTGACAACTTGTAAGCACTAAACAGACAACATAGAGTAAAGCTAGGCACAGACTTGATATTTGGCAAATCAGTAGATAACCTTAAAGTCAACATTTTCCCTGTCAAATTTTGGTAGTTATATAAATTTCTTTATATTTTAAGTAAGCAATTATTTAAAAGTTCACTTGAACTTGAACCTTACAAATTAGTTTCTCACCAGTTAATAAATTACAGGATCTTTATGATTAGCTCAAATTCATGTTCAAATACATTTGATTTTCATCCTCACTCCCTTCTATATTAATGTGACATTCAAAGGTTAAATACTGCTCAAATACAAAAATATTTAATTCCTGTTTTATAATACTAGAAATGTAACAAATCTGTTGAATATGCAGATGTAGTATATGCAAAGATTTGTGTAATAAAAGTAATTGAGAAATGCTTACAAGACACAATAACTATATCTATATGTAATTAGATGGCTACAAAACTATAAACTGGAACTAAAAGCTGTGCTACGTCAGGATTATAACAACATTTCCTTGTCACAGAGAGGTAAAAAATGACAACTGATGCAATTTTCTTCACTGAAAATGTTTCTTCTTTCATGTGCCTTCTGGTCAGTTACTGAGGAGCAGATGTACCACTTAGACCAGGAAACAGTTTTAAACAAAAAATTCATTAGGAAAAAGATGCTAATATATCAAAGTAAATCAAACTGACACAAACTTGAGACTTTACTGCTTGAAACAAAAACTAGATTTTGTAGATCTGGTAGTAAAACTAACGTGAACCAATTCCATATTATTAAATATTAAACGAGAACGAAATGGGAAATGTATGGACCATTTGACCATGTTTTAAAATTATGTAAACGCTTTCGGAAAGCTAGCCAAGATACACAAATGAAGGCTTTCTTTTCTAAAAGAATAGTATAATTTAAGGATTAATAAAAAGACAAACACCCCTATACACAGAGAAACAAAGAAAAAAATTTTTTTCATCCTCCAGAGAAACATATTTAAAACATTTTCACAAAATTAAACAGACATGGTTCTTTCTTTTCAAATGTAATTCTTATTTTCACTTGAAAGTCATTTGCTTTATTTATTACACATCCTGTAGCATACAGAGCTTAACTTTTTCAACCCAAAGCACAGAATTAGGGGTACTATGATAAGTACAGTAGAGGAAAAAAAGAGTTTACTATCGATCCAAACAAAGATCACTGTTAAAGAAAATTCAAGTGCCAGAAAGCACTATTTAATTTTCTTTTTTTAAAATACAGTTTTAGTTAGAAATTCTTACACAGTATTAGCAAAAGATGCATAACCTCAAAACACAACTGCAAATGCTAATTTATTAGTGCTAACATTTAATAAAAATTAATATGTTAAAGTCTTACATAGCAATGAAAAAGATTTAAAATACTAAAAATATTTCCAATAAATTTCCTTACTATATCTTAAAGAAACTTTCTGCATTATATAACTCTGAAAGCACAAGAGTATCACAAAAGAGGGTTACTGCTGCTGATGACATACTAATTCCTACAACAGAAAAACTAACTTTTCCCTTTAGAAAAGCTGGCAACCTGAAAAATTCCAACCCCAGGGAAGCAGTCTTACACATCTCTAACCTGCCAACTATAATGAGAAAATTTCTGGCAATCTTTCTTGGACCTCAGAGAAATAAAGTTAGATAAATTTATAAAAATTAAATAATAACTAAAAGCTAGAAGGTGGGAATCCTCTTAGTCACCAAAGAGAGAAGAAAAGGAAAGCTAGTTAGAAGGTGAGCACCCCTCCATCTTTTTAATCGAGCTTTGAAATGCTATGTTCACAGTACGGGGTATATTTATTCAGCTACAGTGATAGGAATACACACTTCATCCACCAACTTGTTAAATGTCATAAATCTTTACAGAGACACCAACACCTGTGCTGCTATGGCACCTGAAATTACCTGGAACAGTAAGAATTCCAATCTTTTACTTTCAATTTATCTGTGATTTTTATAGTCAGGTCTTGCGTTCTTAAACAATCTGTCACTTTGCCTTTTAACTGGAGTATTAATTATCTTATATATACAAATATATTTATATTTGTTGTTATTGATATGGGTGAATAGGTCTGCCATTTTTCCATTTATTTTTCTCTTTGTCCCATCTGTTTTTTGTATCTCTGTTCCTTTTTCTTGGTTTATTTTGGGTTAATTGAATATTTTTTAGTATTCCATTTTAATTCCTCTACTAGACTTAAACTTTGTATTTTGGAATAATTTTAGACTTAACAGAAAATAGCAAAAATAGTACAGGGAGCTATGACATATCCTTCATCCAGCTTCTCCTAATGTTAGCATCTTGCATAACTATAGTATAATTATCAAAACTAAGACATTAACAGTGGTACAATACTATCAACTAATATACAGACTTTATTCAGGTTTCTCTAGTTTTTCCACTAGTATCTTTTTCTGTTCTACGATCCAATCTAGGGTACCACATTGCATTTTGTTGTCATGTCTCCTTAGTCTATTCTGTGACAAATTCCTCAATATTTACTTGTCTTTCATGACCTTGACACTTTTGAAGACTGCTGGTCAGTCAGTTATTTTGTAGAATCACCCTCAGTACGAGTTTTCTCACGACTGAATTGAGTTTACTCATTTTTTGGGCAGAGTGATGTGCTGCACTTACCCATTCAGTTCAACCTATTTTTTACTGATTACTATGCATGTTTGGATCAATAAGATGTAAAATGAGTGAAACACTAATCCAGCAGTAGATTTAAGTATTAATGTTTACCAAATTACTTGTTGACATCTTGATTTCTATTTTTATGTTTCATCCCAAGTGAAACAGTAGGCTTTCATTTGTTAAACTGCTAAACATTTTCTAGCCCAGGAGGTAGGGTAAGAAGAAAATCAATTTTCATTTTAACTCTCACAGAGAACTAAATTTAGATTAAAGTATCTAAATCACAAAGTCATTATCTCTTTGTGGGTTATCTTTATTTGTATGCTACAAAGAGTTACACACTGTACCAAATTTTCATGTTTTTTTTAATTCAATGCTCATTTTGAGATTAGTAAGGAAAGTTAATAAGGAGGAAAAGATTAAATACAGTTGGCACTCCTGATCTGCAGATTCAACCAACCACAGACCAAAAATATGTGGGGAAAAAAACAATAAAACACAAAAATAAAAAATATTATCAATCAAAAACCAACATGGTGTACAACTATTTACATGGCATCACATAGTATTAGGTATCATAAATAATCTAGATATTATTTGAAATATACAAGACAGAGCTGGGCACAGTGACTCACACCTGTAATCCTGGCACTTTGTGGGGGCTGAAGCAGGAGGAACACTTGAGCCCAGGAGTTCAAGACCAGCCTGGGCAACATAGTGAGACCCTGTCTCTACAAAAAATTTAAAAAAAAAATTAGCCTGGTGTGGTAGTGTACACCTTCTTGGGAGGCTGAGGTGGGAGGGTCCTGGAGCCCGGGAGTTAGAAGCTGCAGTGAGCTGTGATTATGCCACTGCACTGCAGCCTGGGTGACAGAGAAAGACCCTGTCTCCAAAAAGTAAAATAAAATATATAAGAGTATGCTCACAGGTTACATGCAAATACCACTCCATTTTATTAAAGGGACTTGGATGTCCTCAGATTTTGGTATCTGGTGGTGGTAGGGGGTACCTAAAACCAATCCCCCACAAATACCAAGGGACAACTGTACAGCTAATCTGTTTGTGGCAAGAACAACCCTAACCAAACAGCCAAGGTCAGAAGAAAAAGGAATTATTATTTATTTTAATGTCCCTGAAGGCAAGAACTATTAGTTTCTTTGATATTCCCTAGAGCATTTAATAAACATCCCTGAATATAGTATTTTAAAATGTTTTAAATTATTAAATGAGGTTTTTCCAGAAAGCCTTATGTGAATAATTCCACTGCATTGTGATTATCTACTCACTTTATTCCAAATATCTTTTCAGAATATGTAATATTGACTGTCTACTACTATGTCTTCTTGTACTTACTCTTTTGTAACTGTTTTCATCTGTTGGCTTTGTCTACTCTAACAGGCTTAAAACTCCTTGAGGGTAGAAACCTTGTCGATTTCTTTCACAAAAGTGCCTACCACATTACTATACATGGCATCATTCAAAATCTGACAATATGAATAGTCAAGGCTTTATACATGAGAAAATTTAGGTGGAAAGGGTATTTTCCTCCCTCAAACTAATGAAGTATAAAATTTCAGAAGCTTAGAGCTAACAGTAAATTAAAAAGATTATAATATTTTTTAGTCTTTGTAGTTACAAATTTGAATGATTTTCCCGACAATGGTAGCTTTTTGGATAGCAAATGTTCTTTCCTTAAGACTTGTTATTATTTTCAAATGTACTACACAATTTCCCATAATTTTCAAAGCCAAATGTAACAAGATATAAATATATGTTTAATATTGAATAAAAATAAAGTGACCAAAAATTATGACAAAGATATGTTCAGTTGAACACATCTTTGCTAATAACAGAACATGCTGAATCTTATATGCCACAGTACATTATAAAAACAAATTTTCTTCTAATGAACCTCAAAGAATCATCATTTTTGAAAGATTACAATGCAAAAGTGTTCTAATAATTTAATAATTTTCCATTACTAATTAAAATTTTACTACTCCATGTATATCCATAAAGATAACAAAAAATATTACGATATCCTAGAGATTGCTACCCTAGAACTGATATATACACTCACACATACACATACGCAAAGACATTCTAAAAAATGTACTCACACAAATAAACCATCTTCTTACATCAGTCTTATTTAAATTCAAACACTTTGAGAAAAACTGAAGTATCTTGCTACATTTAGCATTTAGGCAGGAAGCAGAAGTAAAAAGTACATATTAAATTCTAATTTTTATTGTAGTAAAAACAAGATTAGAAACAGGCAGAATCTAGAGAAGAAACAGAGCTGATTATTAATCTCCACAGGGTGACTTAGCAAATGGAAAAAAAAAAAGTTCTGAACACAGAATGAGAAAGGGGAACCATCTACTTGTATTTTTCATACTCATCCTCTTTCTCCTCCAAGCTCCTGGATTTTTTTCATGTGTTAATAATAAGAAATTCAGGTGGCTAAACTGGGTTTGTGATGGTGAACTGACATTTTTGAGGCAGAATACTTAGGGGAATTAACAGAAGGAAAAAAAAATCTGGAACTCAGACTTCTCCAATGGCAATAAGATTATTTTATGATAAAAGGTCTATCCTTCAAATACTATGAAGTAGACTTTTGAAATTATTCTGACCAATAGTGATGAGAAGTTATGAAATATTTCAGTCACTACCATAAGATCACAGATATATAAAACTTGCTATTTTTACTATAAGGAGAACAAAGTATTACATGGCAATCTGTAGAAACATACCTAGAGCTCTTACACTGGGCTGCTCCTTATTTATTGATATGTAAGAACCTTTAGTTTAAATTTTACAGTGAAATAAGGACATATTTGATTCTACCGATTAGGAAAATATATTTAGAATTTCCAGAGTATGGTATCTGGCACATAAAAGACAACTATTATTATATAAATTTGTTAGCTTTAATTGCTAATTTATTCAGAAGTCACAAGTTTCCTCAGTTATATAGACTTTTAATCAACTAGATGCAAATGATATTTTAATTTGATATAAGCTAAACTACACAGTTTCCTTGCTTGTGACAAATGTATACATATGTTCAGAGAGGTAAGAGAGAGCAAAGAGTGGCAGAGAGAAAAAATATGGAGTGTTACTAACAAGAAGAAGAAAAAAATCCCCTGCCAACTTAAAGCTTAGTGCTGACATTAATTATGTTATGTAAACAATTACTTCCAACCACATAATTCGTTTTTTTCAAGCTTCATTCTGTAAATCACCTGATCAATATTGAGTTTTTCTGCTTTAGAGATGTTTTAGGAGGGGAAGGGAAAAAATCAATTAATATTTTAATTCATTAGATTCAGTAGAGCTTGCCAAGAAACCTCCCAAATAAAGACTAGCATGGATGAAGAAACGGTTTTAGAAGAAAAACTTCAGACAAATCTACAAATTCTAATCTACCTGTACAGTTATACTCACCAGAATAGTTGATCCCACTGCCTGCAGTAAATGGAACAATAGAAGTATTTTTAACTTTACCACATATTTTGAAGTTTACTCAAGATTTAGACACACAATGAAAATGTGGCAATCTTAGCTACTATACAGTATTTTGAACTGTTACAAAAATATGCAAGTGCTGAATAAAGAAATGTAATGAGTAGATTGTTTCAAATTAAAACTTGATATGGTTTTCAATAGGGGATAACTAAGAGATACACAAAGATAATTAAAGATTTTTTTTTTGAACTTCAGGAAAAGAACATTGAAATATTAATGAAACTTGTCTTGATATAACAACAAGGAATTTTTGGGTTAAGTTCAATTTCCTTTGATAACTAAAAAATTACTAAAAAAGATTAAATAGGGAGTGCATTGTAACAATCTGTACATTTATAGTAAACTGTGTTAATATCATGACACTTACCATACATATTAAAATAAAAATTGAGATAGTTCAGATATTTATAGTAGTTAATTTTTAAATTCTAGAATAATCAAATGTTTAAAAAAATCAAATTTTCTAATTCTAAACCTCCTGAATTATTATGTCAAATTTACAAACCACTCTAAACTTTATCAACAACTTACTTGGTTTGTAGAATATATTAAATGTATCAATTGATCTTACCATCTTTTCCATCTATGGATTTTGACACTTCAATATCGAAATTTTCCTGCATCTGCTGGCCCCTAAAACAATTGAGATGTTCTTGCTCAATTAAATTACTTTCTTCCTCTTCTAGAGGCTGCCAAGTGCCGTCAATAAACCACTGTCCACGCATTACTGGTATTTTATCAGCCTCTGAAAAAGAGAAATCACAGAATTATACACATTTTAAGATTCAACTTCCCCAAAAGAGACACAGTATCTACAATCTTATATTTTGCTACTGCTGTCACAAAAACAGATTTTCATGACCCAATACAATCATCTAAACTTTTATTTATGTTTATTTATTTTGAGATATTTATCTTGCTCTGTTGCCCAGGATAGAGTGCAGTAGTGTGACCACAGCTCACTGCAGCCTTGACCTTCCAGGCTAATTTTTATATTATTCTGGTAGAGATGTGGTTTTGCCGTGTTGCCCAGACTGGTCTGACTGGTCTCAAACTCCTGGGCTCAAGAGATGTGACCACCTTGGCCTCCCAAAGTGCTAGGATTACAGGTATGAGCTGCTGCGCCTGGCCCATTTAAAGTTGTAAAATCCAGATTTTGAGCCAGAGTGTATCATATTCTATGGCACATACTTTTACTTATATTAAATTATTATGCCTAAAAATCACTTTAGCACTAGAAAGATAGATGAGCAGCTATGTATATAATTGAGACTCTGAATAACCAAAATTAGTAGGCTAAGGGTTTGTTAAAACGAGTTTCATGCAAGGCTCTGATGATAGTTCCAATGTCTTAGAAAATATTAATATAAAATCCAGACTAGTGTTTAGAAATAGTGTGTGTGGTAGTAGTGTGTGGCACTTTTTAGAGCTGCCTTGGAGACTAGAGGCTTCTAGTACATATACAGGATAAATGAAACTATTATATTAGTAAATATTTCATCTACTTTAGGGAAAAAAAATCAAGAAAAACTTTCTTGGCTAACTTTTGATGAAACACTATTCCTAGAAACCCAAGACTTTTAGTTGTTATTTAAAATAAACTACAACTGTCAGCTAAACTATCTTGAATTCTTTAAAACAATTTTTTAATAAAGCAAAAATAAAATAAAAATAACAAAACCCTAAAAGTAAAAAGCAAAATGAAACAAATGGATCTAATTATGTAGAATGCTGGTGGTTTAATCATATAAAGAGAAATTATTTCAAGTGAATTTAAAACTCCGTCATTTGTACATACATATTTGGAAATAAAATATGGAGAAAAAGAACTGCAAACATCTTAAACCTTTTGCAATAACCATATTGTTAGTAATACTATTTGTATTACTAATTTGAAACTGTAGGTTAAGATGAATGTATTAATTTTATTAATATCATTAGGAACCTAGATTTTAAGCATAAGACAAAAGAGATACAAATATAAAAATCAAATAAATAAAAAAGCTTGTAATCATAAATTTTAATTAAAAACTTCAGTATGGACTAGTGATGTATTTTCTCTTTGTAAAAATGTCCTAGTAAAGGCCTAGAACTGAAGACAAACCCAGTATAAGTGAACACTCCTAATATAAAGATTGTGAACTATAAATATCATTTCCCATTAAAAGAAACCAAGAGTCCTTGAAAAAAATGGCTAACTTCAGGTTTGAGACAAGAAATATACTAGATGATCTTGAGACATCTTGTCATACCAGATTTGTACTGTGATGTATTTAAAATTTTCTATTATGTGTTTCTATTGCTACTTGCATTCTCCTATATTCTGCTATAGTGATTCTGGTATATTTAGGTGTTTGCTGTGTCATTTGGTACCTAGATACTAAAAAATATTATAACTTCATTGTGAATTATGGCTTTAACCATTATAAATATACTCTGTCATACTGAATAGTTTTTGCCTGGATTCTACTTTGTTCAGCAAAATGGAAACTCCTGATTTCTTATTTTTTCCATTTGCCTGTAATATCATATACATTCCTTTATTTTTGATGGTTGGAATCACTGTTTTATATGTCTCTTGTGTAAGGCATAGAATTGGGTTTTGCTTTATAAAGCCATTTGAACACCTTTTTATTTTAATAGATGAGTTAAGCCCATTTATGTTTACTAATATGATTGACATATTTGAACTCAACTCTATCTTTATAGTTACCATGTTTGTTATTCATACGTATTCTTTTTTTTCCTTTATGTGGTATTTCTGCTATTTTTTTATTTTTTGTACTTTCTTTTGGTAGTTAGGAAAATTTTAATTTTTTGTTCCAGTGGTTCTCTCTCTCTCTCTCCTGTGGTGGTGGTGGTGGTGGTGTGTGTGTATGTGTGTGTGTTTTAGAGTAACCCAAATCGACTTTTTGCCTACTTTACCTTTTATTATCTGGTCAATCCATTTAAAAGGTATTGTATGACTCTCACTTATTACCTATATTGTGGAGAATAATCTTAATTCTTTGTTCACCCACTTATTTTTAGTTTTATTCTTTTTACTTTGTCAGAACATATAAAAATTACATCTATGTCCCCAACACTGTTTTAAGTCTTGGATCTACATTTAAATATAGTAAATTATCACCACATATTTCCTAAATTCTTGTGTGTTCAAACTGTTTATCTGATACTCTAAAGACAGGTTGGCTAGCTTGTGCTTTATTTCTTTGAGTTTTTAAAAATGGTGCTCTACTGTAGCCTTCCTTTGAATATTGTTCTAGGCCAGGTGCAGTGACTCATGCCTGTAATCCCAGCATTCTGAGAGGCCGAGCCAGGTGGATCACTTGAGGCCAGGAGTTCAAGACCAGCCTAGCCAACACAGCAAAACCCCAGCTCTACTAAAAATATAAAAATTAGCTGGGCATGGTGGTGCATGCCTATAATCCCAGCTACAGGAGGCTGAGGCATGAGAATTACTTGAACCTGGGAGGCGGAGGTTGCAGTGAGCCAAGATCATGCCCCTGCACTCCAGCCTGGGTGACAGAGTGAGACCAAAAAAAAATATATTGTTCTTAAGGAATCTGATGTCAGCCTGATTTTATTAATAATATAATCTTTTTTCCCCTCTCAAGAGGCCCAGGAAAAAAGTCTTTAAAATCTAATAGTTTTACTAGGCTATGACTCAGAGCTGTTCTGTATTAATCTGTCCATGATGGGGCCTTTTAATATGTAAAATTTGAAATTTCCTATTATTTCTGAAAAGTGTTGAGTTATGGTTTAATTAGTTCTGTTCTAGTGATTTGCTTTTCTTCTTTAGGGACTCCAATTTTAAGTATGTTAGGTCTTCTTTTGCCTGTATTGAATTTAAACTACTTTTTACATTCTCTTGGTTGTTTTCCTTCCTTTTATCAATGGCTCTTATTAGATTTTTATTTGAATCTATTCTCCACGGGCACCTTGTAATTAATATACAGTAGTCCCCCCTTATCTGTGGGGGATACATTCCAAGACCCCCACTGGATGCCTGAAGCCTTAAATAGTATTGAACCTTATAATGTTTTTGCAATATATACATATTTATGATAAAGCTTACTTTATAAATTAGGCACAATAAGAGATTAACAACAACTAATAATAAAATCCAACAATTATAACAATGTGCTAGCATCACCACTCTTGCGCTTTGGAGCCATTATTAAATAAAATAAAGGTAACTTGAACACAAGCACTTCAAAACCACCACAGTTGATCTGATAACCAAGACAGCTACTAAATGACTAATGGACCAGTGGCATAAACAGCTGCATATCCTAGACAAAGGAATAACTCCCATCCTGGGCAGGATGGAGCAGGATGGCTGGAGACTTCATCACACCAATCAGAAAAGCATCCAATTTAAAACTTGTAATTGTGGCTGGATACAGTGGCTAATGCCTGTAATCCCAGTACTTTGGGAGGCCGAGGCAGGAGGATCACCTGAGGTCAGGAGATTGAGACCAGACTGGCCAACATGGTGAAACCTCATCTTTACTAAAAATACAAAAATTAGCCAGGCATGGTGGTACACACCTATAGTCCCAGCTACTTGGGAGGCTGAGGCAGGAGAATCACTTGAACCCGGGAGGCGGAGGTTGCAGTGAGCTGAGATCGTGCTGAGAGACAGGACTAGCTGGATTTTCTAGGCTGACTAAGAATCCCTGAGCCTAGCTGGGAAGGTGACTGCATCCACCTTTAAACACGGGGCTTGCAACTTAGCTCACACCCGACCAATCAGGTAGTAAAGAGAGCTCACTAAAAAGCTAATTAGGCAAAAACAGGAGGTAAAGAAATAGCCAATCATCTATTGCCTGAGAGCACAGCGGGAGGGACAATGATCAGGATATAAACTCAGGCATTCAAGCCAGCAACAGCTACCCTCTTTGGGTCCCCTCCCTTTGTATGGGAGCTCTGTTTTCACTCTATTAAATCTTGCAACTGCACTCTTTTCTGGTCCGTGTTTGTTACGGCTCGAGCTGAGCTTTCATTCCCCATCCACCACTGCTGTTTGCCACCATCGCAGACCTGCCGCTGACTTCCATCCCTCCGGATCCGGCAGGGTGTCTGCTGTGCTCCTGATCCAGCGAGGCGCCCACTGCTCTTCCCGACTGGGCTAAAGGCTTGCCATTGTTCCTGCACAGCTAAGTGCCCGGGTTCATCCTAATTGAGCTGAACACTAGTCACTGGGTTCCAAGGTTCTCTTCCGTGACCCACGGCTTCTAATACAGCTATAACACTCACTGCATGGCCCAAGATTCCACTCCTTGGAATCCGTGAGGCCAAGAACCCCAGGTCAGAGAACGTGAGACTTGCCACAAGCTTGGAAGCAGCCCGCTGCCATCTTGGGAGCTCTGGGAGCAAGGACCCCTGGTAACAGTGCCATTGCACTCCAGCCTGGGTGACAGAGCAAGACTCTGTCTCAAAAAAACCAAAACCAAAAAACAAAAACAATTTAAAATTGCTTATTTCTGGAATTTTCCATTTAATATTTTTGGACTCTAGTTGACTGTGGCTAACTGAAACTGCAGAAAGCGAAACCACAGCTATAAAGCTGGATTACTGTAGTCTCCCGAGATGGCTTTGCCTTTCTCTTCAATTTCTTTCCTGTGTTCAATCAAATTTTGTTGCACTTCTTCCTTTTTCACTTCTTTTCATGTCAGAGTTTAGATTTCTGCTTCTAAGTTTGTGGTTTTTGTAGTATGTTCACAGATTTGTTTGAGAATATTTTATTTGGTTGGAGCACTGAGATGCCCTTTCCCTTTGCATTTGCTTTTTTGGGGAGAAGTTTTATCAACTGAAACACTTTCTTTCAAATTTTTATATTCCTCTTAAAGTAGCTTTGTGTAGCATTTGATTCATTTCTATTCTTGAGCATAGGGTTCTTGGGTTCTTAGTTTAAGAGCATTCACTTCTGCAGATTAGTAAAGAGGAGCGCCTATAATGGACGGTGTTACGGTGGAGTTGTTGGGTGGGGGTTGGGTTGCCGTGCCTTGTTTCTCTTTCATTTCTCTAGAAGCCTCAATTTTATCCCCACTTCCTTCCTTTCCTCTTGCTGCCATGCCTCCAAGAGGTGTCGTTCTTTTCTCTGTCTCTTCTAGGAGCAATGCTACTCTGAAGCTGCTGCTTGTGGCCCCTCTCACTTTCATACAGCTTCCTGTAGCTAGTTCTATAAATTACCAAGTCCTAGGCCTGTCTTTGTACCTGGCAACGCTGAGGACTTTTTCTGAGGGTGATGTTGCCTGTGGTTTATTTTAACCTCTGTTCCCTTCTCCTATTTTCTCAGTCTCTTAAGCCTTTCCTTACCCAGCTCTTCCCACTCACAGGTTTGTAGCAGCAACAGGAACCATTGTAATGTGCTATTTCCTTGTATAAAGGTAATTAAAAATTCATGGTATCATCTGTCTTGCGGTAGTGCTGAAAGTGTCAGTTATGTATGGTTTCTGTGTATATATATGTGTGTGTGCATGTGTGTGTGGAGTCCTTTTGTTCTTACAGCTTTTGGGGAGGACATGCGGAGAGATTTAGATTTGGACAGTTGCCATTATCTTCCAGACCCAGAAGCTCATCTCATTTAACAATAATCTTAAAAGGCTATCATTCTCCCAACTTTACAAATGAATAAGCTAAGTCTTAGTGAAACTAAATAATTTGCTTAAAGGCACATAGCTACTAGTAATGTGAGAACCAAGATTCCAACCAAAGTTTGAGTTCAAAGTTCATTCAAGCTCTTTCTACTACATAATACAACCTATACTCTCAAATACAAAATGCATTTTCAGCTCTCATTTAGTTCTCACCTCCCAAGCAGTAGAGGTTCTTTACTGGTGTTCAACCACAAATAGTCATGAAACCCTTAGCTTCCTGGAAAAAAATTGAACAAAACAAAACACACACCCATTTTTCCACCTGCATTCCCTATCACAGTGAATGGAAAGCTGACAGTATTTAGGTGGCTACCCAAGGCAGAAACCTGGGAGTCATCCAAGATGCTGCCTCCTCAAGTACTTCTTACAACTGGACACTAAATGCTGTTTATTCCATCTCCTAAATCACTCTCAAATTCATCCCTTGTTTATCAGGCCTACAGTCATTATTTGAGTTCACACTAATCATTTCTTGTTTTATTTCAGAAGCCTCCTACGTAAACTCAGTATCCCTAGTTTCAACTCTACAACACTCTCACCACCATTACCCAATGCCTACTCACAAGCAAGTGTATATGTAAGTACATGCACATACATTCAGATTCCCTTCATTTACTCTCTCCTCCTTAAAACCCAGAATGTGTTGTGCTGGTTCTTACTTCTGTATCTTGCATATGCTGTTCCTTCTGTCTGGGATGCTTGTGCCTATTTTCTACATTTAGCTAGCTTTTACATTTACTTCTTCAGGAAAGCCTTTCTTCACCTTCTATGATTTCACTGAAATAATTCTGTACATGTCTGTCAGTATTTTTCTTAACTGTATTCTATTTAGTCTTCCTCCTTTCTCTGGAATTCTTAGATACAGGTGTTATGTCTTCATACATCTTGAGAACTCAAAAGATAAGAGTAACTATCATAGCTAGGCGTGGTGGCTCAAACCTGTAATCCCAGCACTTAAGGACGCTGAGGTGGGCGGATCATCTGAGGTCACGAGTTCGAGACTAGCCTGGCCAACATGGTGAAACCCTGTCTCTACTAAAAATATAAAATTAGCTGGGCTTGGTGGTAACACGCCTGTAATCCCAGCTACTCAGGAGGCTGAGGCAGAAGAATCTCTTGAACCCGGGAGGCGGAGGCTGCAGTGAGCTGAGATCACACCATCGCACCTGCACTCCAGCCTAGGTGACACAGCGAGAGTCCGTCTCAAAAAAAGAGAAAATAACTAAGTCATTATCCTAATTACAATTGCTAGGAAGAACGGTCTTTATTGAAATCAAAAGAAGAACATGGGTTCTTCTTGACTGAAAAATAATTCTAAGGTTCATTTTCTACTATGCAAATGCTTGAGTGGATCTCATGTGTGAGTAGGAATACATTCGCAATAAAGATATTTATGTGGCCGGGCGCGGTGGCTCACGCCTAGAATCCCAGCACTTTGGATTGTCTAATCCAGATCAGCCCCTGAACTATTAAATATCTAATGTATTAATGCACTGTTGCCATCAAACCATCCTTTATGTTTTCTTATAGAAAAACATATTCTAAGTTATAATTTAGACCATCAAGCATTTATTTCTCCATTAGGGTAAAGACTATATCCCATAAATCATTTTTTTTTTTTAACAGTAGCTAGGACTGGGTAGCTATTGGTGATAATGACTCTTCCTTCTTCCCTGTAGTTAACGTGCTTACAGCACAGGCATCAGGCTTTTTCTGAATTAGAAAGACAAAAGGCAGCTTGGTACCTGTGTACTGTAGACTTTGAGTTTTCCTGTACAGGTCATGCAAAAGCTGTTATGCATTACTAAGAGGAGGCTAGGTATCTTGGTGTTTTGGTAATTATCTTTAAAGTTTATTACCCCCCCCCAAAAAAATACATTAGACTCAGCAAATTAAGAATTTTTCACTTTAATGCTTGATATGTAATATACATTGAATTAAAATCCATTTTACAGAACTAGAGTTGAACAGAAATACAAGGTTTCAGCTATTCAGGTACAATTTCTTTGCAACCTCATTTCTTTACAACCTCATTAAAATTAGTCTGGTTATTGAAATGTAATATTGTGGATAATTAAGATATTCCAAAGCTAACTGTCCAATTGAAAGCACAGAACACTTCCTAAAGTATTTAACACTTCCCTTAGTAAACAGAATAGGGTAAATATAAATTTACATTTTCAAGGCATTACCTTAATTTATTATGAAAGGGAGCTTTGTCGTGGAAGCTATATATACTGCTTATATTGAAAGGATTTTGACCACAGAGTAGACGTTAAACATTGTCTGTGTCTCTACTGTCAACTTTGTCTACTGCTAATCTGTATCAGTCTTAGATGAATATAACAAGTTACACAGGGCCTGGCGTGGTGGCTCACACCTGTAATCCCAGCACTCTGAGAGGCCGAAGTGGGCGGATCATGAGGTCAAGAGATCGAGAACATCCTGGCCAACATGGTGAAACCCCGTGTCTCTACTAAAAATACAAAAATTAGCTGGGCATGGTGGCACACTCCTGTAGTCCCAACTACTTGGGAGGCTGAGGCAGAAGAATCGCTTGAACCCAGAAGGCAGAGGTTGCAGTGAGCTGAGATCGTGCCACTGCACTCTAGCCTGGCAACAGAGCGAGACTCCATCTCAAAAAAAAAAAAAAAGTTACACAGTTTAATGTGACATGAATTGAGCTAGGTAAAATTAATTGCTATATCAAAGCCTTTTCAAACAGGTCTTTTCTCAAATTACCATAAATAAAACCATTTTCTATGGTGACTAAGTTTTTTGCATGCTCTCCATGCCTATGATATTCAACACCTATATCTCTTATTCTACATTACTAATATAACTTACTTATCAATCTGCTTAAAAATATACTTATAATCTGCTTAAAAACATCTATGTCCTTATTGACTATTTTCTACTCCTATTTGTGTAAGTAACATGTGGAATAGTCTTTACAGCATCTATCATCTATACCAGTATAATTTGTGGAGCCTACACATTCTTTATTATTGCAAGACAATGGTAGACGTTCTTCACACCTATCACTAAGCCCTGCTTGACTTTAACAAAACTGGCTGCATGCTATTCATGATACTGAAAATCATGAAGAGTGCCTGAATATAAAAAAAAGATATGTTACAGTCACTTGGTAAAGAAATATGTAATAATTTAAACGTGACTTTCACTTTTTTTTTGTTTTTTGAGACACAGTCTCACTCTGTCATCCAGGCTGGAGTGCAGTGGCGTGATCTCAGCTTACTGCAACCTCCACCTCCCAGGTTCAAGCAATTCTCCTGCCTCAGCCTCCAGAGTAGCCAGGAATATAGGGGTGCACCACCACACCTGGCTAACTTTTCTATTTTTTTTTTTTAGTAGTTTCAGGGTTTCGCTATGATAGCCAGGCTGGTCTCAAAACTCCTGACCTCAAGTGATCTGCCTGCTTCGGCCTCCCAAAGTGCTGGGATTACAGGCATATGCCACGACGCCTGGCCATCTTTCACTATTTTTTAAAAAAGGGTTAGAACTAGAAGAAATTATTTATAATGCATATAGCCATTCTATATTTTCTTTTTCTTTTTTTTTTCTTTTTAAAAAAAAAAACCCCTGTACAAGCCAAAAAAAAAAAAAAAAAAAAAAAGTATGAGAAACTCTATTTTAAAATATGGGCAAAGGAGGAGAGGCCAAGATGGCCGAATAGGAACAGCTCTGGTCTGCAGGTCCCAGTGAGACCAATGCAGAAGGAGGGTGATTTCTGCATTTCCAACTGAGGTGCCCCGTTCATTTCATTGGAAAAATGAACCCACGGAGAGTGAGCAGAAGCATGGTGGTGCGTCACTTCCACTTCACCTGGGAAGCGCAAGGAGCCAGGGGACCTCCCTCCGCCAGCCAAGGGAAGCCATGAGGGACTGTGCTACCCAGCTGGGTTACTATGCTTTTCCCATGGTTTTTGCAATCTGCAGATCAGAAGATTATCTTGTGTGCCTACACCACCAGGACCCTGGGCTTCAAGCACATAACTGGGCAGCTGTTTGGGCAGACACTGAGCTAGCTGCAGGAGTTTTTTTCAAAACCCAGTGGTTCCAGGAACCCCAGTGAGACTTCACTTCCCTAGAAAGGGGGCTGAAGCCAGGGAGCCAAGTGGTCTCGCTCAGTGGGTCCCACTCCCATGGAGCCCAGCAAGCTAAGAACCACTGGCTTGAAATTCTCACTGTCAGCACAGCAGTCTGAAGTCGACCAGGGACACTGGAGCTTGGTGAGGGGAGGGGCGTCCACCATTACCAAGGCTTTAGTAGGTGGTTTTCCCCTGACAGTGCTAAGGTGCCTGGCAGGTCTGGACTGGGCGGAATTCACCACAGCGGGGCAAAGCGGCTGTCACCAGACTGCCTCTCTAGATTCCTCCTCACTGGGCGGAGCACCTCTGAAGGAAAGACAGCAGCGCCAGTCAGGGGCTTACAGATAAAACTCTCATCTCCCTCGGACACAGCACCTGGGGGAAGGGGTGGCTGTGGGCACGAGGCTTCAGCAGATTTAATCTTTCCTGCCTGCCGACTCTGAAGACAGCAGTTGATACTGACAAGGGTGATTCTCCCAGTACAGTGCACCAGCTCTGCTAAGGGACAGGCTGCCTCCTCAAGTGGGTCCCTAACCCCCATACCTCCTGACTGGGAGAGATCTCCCAACAGGGTCTGACAGACACCTCATACAGGGGAGCTCTGGCTGGCATCAGGCCAGTGCCCCTCTGGGACAAAGCTTCCAGAGGAAGGAGCAGGCAGCAATCTTTGCTGTTCTGCAGCTTCCACTGCAGGTCAACAGGGTCTGGAGTGGACCTCCAGCAAACTGCAGCAGACCTGCAGGAGAGGGGCCAGACTAATAGAAGAAAAACTAACAAACAGAAAGCAACAACATCAACAAAAAAGACCACCACACAAAAACCCCATCCAAAGGTCATCAGCCTCAAAGATCAAAGGTAGATAAATCCACAAAGATGAGGAAAAATCAGTGCAAAAACACTGAAAATTCCAAAAACCAGAAAGCCTCTTCTCCTCCAAATTATCGCAACTCCTCTCCAGCAAGGTCACAAAACTGGATGGAGAATGAGATTGCCGAATTGACAGAAGTAGGCTTCAGAAGGTGGGTAATAACAAACTCCTCTGAGCTAAAGGAGCATGTCCTAACCCAATGCATGGAGGCTAAGAACCTTGATAAAGGTTACAGGAACTGCTAACTAGAATAACCAGTTTAAAGAGGAACATAAATGACCTGATGGAGTTGAAAAACACAGTCCGAGAACTTCATGAAGCATACACAAGAATCAATAGCCAAATCGATCAAGTGGAAGAAAGGATATCAGGGACTGAAGATCACCTGACTGAAACAAGGCATGAAGAAAAGATTAGAGAAAAAAAGAATGAAAAGGAATGAACAAAGCCTCCAAGAAATATGGCACTATGTGAGAAGACGAAACCTAAGTTTAACTGGTATACCTGAAAGTGGTGGAGAGAATGAAGTCAAGTTGGAAAACACACTTCAGGACATTATCCAGGAGAACTTCCCCAGCCTAGCAAGGCAGGCCAACATTCAAATTCAGGAAACACAGAGACCACCACTAAGATACTGCTCAAGAAGAGCAACCCCAAGACACATAATGATCAGATTCTCCAAGGCTGAAACAAAGGAAAAAAGGTTAAGGGCATCCAGAGAGAAAGGTCAGGTTATCTACAAAGGGAAGCCTATCAGATTAACATCAGATTTCTCTGCAGAAACTTTACAAGCCAGAAGACAGTGGGGGCCAATATTCAACATTCTTAAGGAAAAGAATTTGCAACCCGGAATTTCATATCCAGCCAAACTAAGCTTCATAACCAAAGGAGAAATAAAATCCTTTACAGACAAGCAGATGCCTAGGGATTTTGTCATCACCAAGCCTGCCTTACAAGAACTCCTGAAGGAAGCACTAAATATGGAAAGGAAAAACCGATACCAGCCACTGCAAAAACAAAACAAAATATAAAGACCAATGACATTATGAAGAAACCACATCAAATGATGTGCAAAATAACCAGCTAGCATCACAATAACAGGATCAAATTCACACATAACAATATTAACCTTAAATGTACATGGGCTAACTGCCCCAATTAAAAGATACAGACTGGAAAACTGGATAGAGTCAAGACCCATTGGTGTGCTGTATTCAAGAGACCCATCTCATGTGCAAAGACACACAAAGGCTCAAAATAAAGGGATGGAGGAACATTTACCAAGCAAATGCAATGGGAAAAAAAAGCAGGGGTTGCAATCCTAATCTCTAATAAAACAGACTTTACCAACAAGGATCAAAAAAGACAAAGAAGGACATTACATAATGGTAAAGGGATCAATGCAACAAGGAGAGCTAACTATCCTAAATATATACACACCCAATACGGGAGCACCCAGATTCATAAAACAAATTCTTAGAGACCTAGAAAGAGACTTAAGACTCCCACACAATAATAATAGGAGACTTTAACTACCACTGTCAATATTAGACGGATCAATGAGACAGAAAATTAACAAGGATATTCAGGACTTGAACTCAACTCTGGACCAAGATGACC
Source organism: Homo sapiens (assembly GCF_000001405.40). NCBI lineage: Eukaryota > Metazoa > Chordata > Mammalia > Primates > Hominidae > Homo > Homo sapiens. The sequence continues at coordinate 53,116,376 of NC_000014.9, forward strand.
TAATAGACATCTACGGAACTCTCCACCCCAATCAACAGAATATATATTCTTCTCAGTGCCACATAGCACTTATTCTAAAATGACCACATAATTGGAAGTAAAACAATCCTCAACAAATGCAAAAGAATGGAAATCATAACAAACAGTCTCTCAGACCACAGTGCAATCAAATTAGAACTCAGGATTAAGAATCTCACTCAAAACCACACAACTACATGGAAATCAAACAACCTGCTCCTGAATGACTACTGGGTAAATCATGAAATTAAGGCAGAAATAAAGAAGTTCTTTGAAACCAATGAGAACAAAGAGACAACGAGTGAGGATTTCTGGGACACAGCTAAAGCGGTGTTAAGATGGAAATTTATAGCACTAAATACCCACATCAGAAAGCAAGAAAGACAGAAAACCAACATCCTAACATCGCAATGAAAAGAACTAGAGAAGCAAGAGCAAACAAATTCAAAAGCTGGCAGAAGCAAGAAATAGAGCAGAACTAAAGGAGATAGAGGACACAAAAAACCTTTCAAAAAATCAATGAATCCAGGAGCTTGGTTTTTGAAAAGATTAACAAAATTGATAGACTGCTAGCTAGACTAATAAAGAAAAGAGAGAAGAATTAACAAAATAGACTGCTAGCTAGACTAATAAAGAAGAAAAGAGAGAAGAATCAAATAGGCACATGAAAATGATAAAAGGGATATCACCACTAATCCCACAGAAATACAAACTACCATCAGATAATACCATAAACACCTCTATGCAAATAAAGCAGAAAATCTAGAAGAAATAGGGGTCCCTTCCAAGATGGCCAAATAGGAACAGCTCTGGTCTGCAGCTCCCAGTGAGATCGACACAGAAGTGAATGATTTCTGCATTTCCAACTGAGGTACCTGGTTCATCTCATTGGGACTGGTTGGACAGTGGGTGCAGCTCACGGAGGGCAAGCTGAAGTATGGTGGGGCGTCGCCTCACCCAGGAAGCAGAAAGGGTCAGGGGATTTCCCTTTCCTAGCCAAGGGAAGCTGTGACAGACTGTACCTGGAGAAATGGTACACTCCTCACCAAATACTGCACTATTCCCACAGTCTTAGCAACCGGCAGACCAGGAGATACCCTCCTGTCACTGGTTTGGCAGGTCCCACACCCACGGAGCCTTGCTCACTGCTAGCGCAACAGTCTGAGATCAACCTTTGAGGCTGTAGCCTGGTGGGGGAAAGGGGCATCTGCCATTGCTGGGGCTTAAGTAGCTCACAGTGTAAACAAAGAGGCCAGGAAGCACAAACTGGGCAGAACCCACTGCAGCTCAGCAAGGCCTACTGCCTCTATAGATTCCACCTCTGGGGGCAGGGCACAGCTGAACAAAAGGCAGCAGACAGCTTCTGCAGACTTAAACATCCCTGGCTGACAGCTCTGAAGGGAGTAGTGATTCTCTCAGCAGGGCATTCGAACTCTGAGAATGGACAGATTGCCTCCTCAAGCGGGTCCCTGACCCCTGTGTTGCCTGACTGGGAAACACCTCCCAGTATTGGCCGACAGACACCTCAAACAGGCGGGTGCCCCTCTGGGACGAAGCTTCCAGAGGAAGGATCAAGCAGCAATATTTGTTGTTCTGCAGCCTCCGCTGGTGATACCCAGGCAAACAGGGTCTGGAGTGGACCTCCAGCAAACTCCAACAGACCTGCAGCTGAGGGACCTGACTGTCAGAAGGAAAATTAACAAACAGAAAGGAACAGCATCAACATCAACAAAAAGGACATCCACACCAAAACTCCACCTGTAGGTCACCATCATCAAAGACCAAAGGTAGATAAAACCACAAAGATGGGGAGAAACCACAGCAGAAAAGCTGAAAAATCCAAAAAACAGAGCGCCTCTTCTCCTCCAAAGGATTGCAGCTCCTCACCAGCAAGGGAACAAAACTGGATGGAGAACGAGTTTGATGAGTTGACAGAAGTAGGCTTCAGGTCGGTAATAACAAACTTCTCTGAGCTAAAGGAGCATGTTCTAACCCATCACAAGAAAGCTAAAAACCTTGAAAAAAGATTAGATGAATGGCTAACAAGAATAAACAGTGTAAAGAAGACCTTAAGTGACCTGATGGCACTGAAAACCATGGCACAAGAACTTCGGGACCCATGCATAAGCTTCAATAGCCGATTCAAACAAGTGGAAGAAAAAATATCAGTGACTGAAGATCAAATTAATGAAATAAAACAAGAAGAGAAGTTTAGAGAAAAAAGAGTAAAAAGAAACAAACAAAGCCTCCAAGAAATATGGGACTATGTGAAAAGACCAAATCTATGTTTGATTGGTGTACCAGAAAGTGACCGGGAGAATGGAACCAAGTTAGAAAACACTCTTCAGGATATTATCCAGGAGAACTTCCCCATCCTAGCAAGGCAGGCCAACATTCAAATTCAGGAAATACAGAGAACACCATAAAGATCCTCTTCGAGAAGAGCAACCCCAAGACACATTAATTGTCAGATTCACCAAGGTTGAAATGAAGGAAAAAATGTTAAGGGCAGCCAGGGAGAAAGGTCAGGTTACCCACAAAGGAAAGCCCATCAGACTAACGGCGGATCTCTTGGCAGAAACTCTACAAGCCAGAAGAGAGTGGGGGCCAATATTCAACATTCTTAAAGAAAAGGATTTTCAACCCAGAATCTCATATTCAGCCAAACTAAGCTTCGAAAGTGAAGGAGAAATAAAATCCTTTACAGACAAGCAAATGCTGAGAGATTTTGTTATCCCTAGGCCTGCCTTACAAGAGCTCCTGAAGGAAGCACTAAACATGGAAAGAAATAACCAGTACCAGCCACTGCAAAAACATGACAAATGGTAAAGACCATTGATGCTATGAAGAAACTGCAGCAATTAATGGGCAAAATAACTAGCTAGCATCATAATGACAGGATCAAATTCAAATGTAACAATATTAACCTTAAATGTAAATGGGCTAACTGCCCCAATCAAAAGACACAGACTGGCAAATTGGATAAAGAGTCAAGGTACCATTCCTTCTGAAACTATTTCAATCAATAGAGAAAGAAAGAATCCTCCCTAACTCATTTTATGAGGCCAGCCTCATCCTGAAACCAAAACCTGGCAGAGAGACAACAAAGAAGAAAATTTTAGGCTAATATACCTGATGAACATCGATGTGAAAATCCTCAATAGAATACTGGCAAACCGAATCCAGCAGCACATCAAAAAGCTTATCCACCACATACAAGTCAGCTTCATCCCTGGGATGCAAGTCTGGTTCAACACATGCAAATCAATAAACGTAATCCATCATATAAAGAGAATCAATGACAAAAACCATATAATTATCTCAATCGATGCAGAAACGGTCTTTGATAAAATTCAACATAACTTCATGCTAAAAACTCTCAATAAACTAGGTATCAATAGAATATAACTCAAAATAATAAGAGCTATTTATGACAAACCCATAGCCAATATCACACTGAATGGGCAAAAGCTGGAAGCATTCCCTTTGAAAACCAGCACAAGACAAGGATGTCCTCTCTCACTACTCCTATTCAACAGAGTACTGGAAGTTCTGCCAGGGCAATCAGACAAGAGAAAGAAATAAAGGGTATTCAAATAGGAAGAGAGGAAATCAAATTGTCTCTGCAAATGACATGATTGTATATTTAGAAAACCCCATGGTCTCAGACTAAAAACTCTTTAAGCTGATAAGCAGCTTCAGCAAAGTCTCAGGACACAAAATCAATGTGCAAAAATCACAAGCATTCTTATACACCAATAATAGACAAGCAGAGAGCCAAATCATGAGTGAACTCCTATTCACAATTGCTAGAAGCAAAATAGAATATCTAGGAATACAACTTACAAGGGACGTGAAGGACGTCTTCAAGACGAACTACAAACCACTGTTCAACAAAATAAAAACGACACAAATAAATGGAAAAAAATTCTATGCTCATGGTTAGGAAGAATCAATATCGTGAAAATAACCATACTGCCTAAAGTAGTTTATAAATTCAATGATATTCCCATCAAGCTACCATTGACTTTCTTTGCAGAATTAGAAAAAAATACTTTAAATTTTATATGGAACCAAAAAAGAGCCTGTATAGCCAAGACAATCCTAAGCAAAAGAACAAATCTGGAGACACCACACTACCTGACTTCAAACTATACTACAAGGCTACAGTAACCAAAACAGCATGGTACTAGTACCAAAACAAATATACAGACTAATAGAACAGAACAGAGACCTCAGAAATAGCAGCACACATCTACAACCATCTGATCTTTGACAAACCTGACTATAATAAACAATGGGGAAAGTATTCCTTATTTAATAAATGGTGCTGGGAAAACTGGCTAGTTATATGCAGAAAACAGAAACTAGACCCTTTCCTTACATCTTATACAAAAATCAACTCAAAAATGGAGTAAAGACTTCAATGTAAAACCCCAAACCATAAAAACCCTAGAAGAAAACCTAGGCAATACCATTCAGGACATAGGCATGGACAAAGACTTCATGAATAAAACACCAAAAGCAACTGCAAAAAGTCAAAATTGACAAGTGGGATCTAATTAAAGAGCTTCTGCACAGCAAAATAAACTATCATCAGAGTGAACAGGCAACCTACAGAATGGGAGAAAATTTTTGAAATCTACCCACCTGACAAAGGTCTAATATCCAGAATCTACAAGGAACTTAAATCTACAAGAAAAAAAAACCCATCAAAAAGTGGGCAAAGGATATTAACAGACACTTCTCAAGAGAAAACATCTATGTGGCCAAAAAACATGAAAAAAAAGTTCATCATCACTAGTCATTAGAGGAATGCAAATCAAAACTACAATGAGATACCTCTCACACCAGTTAGAATAGCAATTATTAAAAAGTCAGGAAACAACAGATGCTGGTGAGGCTGTGGAGAAATAGGAACACTTTTACACTATTGGTGGGAGTGTAAATTAGTTCAACCATTGTGGAAGACGGTGTGGCAATTCCTCAAGAAGCTAGAACCAGAAATACCATTTGATCCAGCAATCCCGTTACTGGGTATATACCCAAAGGATTATAAATCATTCCACTATAAAGACACATGCACACATATGTTCACTGTGGCACTATTTACAATAGCAAAGACTTGGAAGCAACCCAAATGCTCATCAATGATAGACTGGATAAAGAAAATGTGGCACATATACACCATGGAATACTATGCAGCCATAAAAAAGGATGCGTTCATGTCCTTTGCATGGATGAAGCTGGAAGCCATCATTCTCAGCAAACTAACACAGGAACAGAAAACCAAATACCCCATGTTCTCAGTCAAAAGTGGGAGCTGAACAATGAGAACACATGGATACAGGGAGGAGAACATCACACACCAGGGGTCAGGAAGCAAGGGAGGGAGACCATCAGGATAAATACCTAATGCATGCAGGGCTTAAAATCTAGATGATGGGTTGATAGGTGCAACAAACCACCATGGCACATATACACCTATGTAACAAACCTGCACGTTCTGCGCATGTATCCCAGAACGTTAAAAAAAAAAAAAGGGCAAATGATACTGTGTAAATTATCCACTTACTGCCTCTCAGCTCTAAATCTACCCTTCCTTGTGTGCTCTACAATAATGGAGCTGAACTCTGTAAATAGTTCTCTCTTGCCAGCTGGTCCAATTAGGCTTTACCAGTAGATGACACTTGAAGGATGCTGGAAGAAGAAGGTGTTTCTCCTTCTGGTTCCAGTGTGCTTACCTTATTGGGTTCCTGCAGGATGCAGATTTTAATTTTTGGCAGCGTCCAGGTGCTAACAGCCGTGGCACCTTCTCATGAGCTGCTTCCCTGGCACCAACCACCCCAGACCTCCTGGCAGTTTCATAGTGAAATGTCACCTGCTATGTAACTCCCCTTGGACTACTTTTTTAGCACCTACTCAGGCAGCTTACAATGAGTTCCACAGCTAGGCACCTCCCTGGGGAAGACTATCCCGAGGGCAGATTTCTAACAGTCCCCATGGGGCAGCACTTTGTGACCACTGCCACACTCTGCAACTAGGTCTGAATCTCAACCTTGAGAGGGAATGTCTCTTCCTTGGGTGCTCTATCTCAGTTCCACAGATAGTGGCTGCTACCTGTATCTATTATTTCTGTATTCTTTACACACTTCTCTTTGCTCTGTTACTTTGTTCCTCTGCTAATAGTTTTTTTTTTTTTTTGACACAGTCTCACACTATTGCCCAGGCTGGAGTGCAGTGGTGCGATCTTGGCCCAGGTTCAAGCAGTTCTCCTGCCTTAGCCTCCTGAGTAGCTGAGATTACAGGCACCTGCCACCATGCCTGGCTAATTTTTTTTTTAATTTTTATTTTTAGCAGAGATGGAGTTTCACTATGCTTGTCAGGCTGGTCTCGAACTCCTGACCTTGTGATCTGCCCACCTCAGCCTCCCAAAGTACTGGGATTACAGGCGTGAGCCACCGTGCCTGGCCAGTAATTCTTTATGTTATACTCTCTCTGTTGAAATTAAGAGTGGTTTCTGTCTCCTGATTAAAATATAACAACATTTTTACAGAAGGAGAAACCCAAATAGTTAACAAAACTATAATGTAAAATATGCTCAGATTCACCGGTAATGAGAGAGACAGACAGAGAATTTGAAACAGTCTATTCCTAAGTATATAATCTAGAGAAATTCTGGCACATTTGTACAGAGACACAAATGTACCAGATAATTGCTGTTATTATTATTATTATTATTATTATTATTATTATTATTATTATTATTTTGAGATGGAGTATTACTGTGTCACCCAGGCTGGAGTGCAGTGGTGCGATCTCAGCTCATTGCAACCTCCGCCTCCAGAGTTCTAGTGATTCTCCTGCCTCAGCCTCCCAAGTAGCTGGAATTACAGGTGTTGTGCAACAACACCCAGCTAAGTTTTGTATTTTTAGTAGAGACAGGGTTTCACCATGTTGGCCAGGCTGGTCTTAAACTGCTGACCTTAGGTGATCCACCGACCTCGGCCACCCAAAGTGCTGGGATTATAGGCATGAGCCACCGCACCTGGCCAATTGCTGTAATTATTACAGCAATGTTTGTAATAGCAAAACAAACAAACCTGCAAACAACCCAGATGTCCAAAGAGGAAAATAAACTGTGGTATATTCATGGAATGAAATACTACTATGCACAGTAAAAACAAATCACTGGAACTATATGCATCAGTATGGTTAAATCTTGAAAACCTGTATTAAACCAAAATGCAAGTTTTAGGAGGATGCAAACAGAATGAGACTGTTTACATAAAGCTAAAACAAGCAAAAAATGCCAATGGGAATAATAATGCATGGAAATAAACAGAAATTTGGAATGGTGGTTACTTCTGGATTAAAAACCGGAGAATGGAGGAGTCAGGAGATTTTGATTGTATCTGTAAAGTTTAATTTCTTAAGGTAGGTGAAAGAGATGCTGATTATATTTTTTTACATGTTTGAAATATTTCATAATAAAGTCAACAATTAAAAATAATAAGCTGACAATACTCAGATGGGTGATAAAAATATATTAAGTTGGCCGGGCATGGTGGCTCATGCCTGTAATCCCAGCACTTTAGGAGGCCAAGGCGGGCGGATCACCTGAGGTCAGGAGTTCGAGACCAGCCTGGCCAACATGGTGAAACCCTGTCTCTACTAAAAATACAAAAAAAATTAGCCGGGCATGGTGGCAGGCGGCTTTAATTCCAGCTACTCAGGAGGCTGAGGCAGGAGAATCACTTGAACCTGGGAGGCAGAGGTTACAGTGAGCCGAGATCACGCCAGTGCACTCCAGCCTGGGCGACAAGAGTGAAACTCTGTCTCAAAAAAAAAAAAATTATATATATATATATGGTTAAAAATCAAATATTTAATTGGTAAATGGAATGAAAGGTAGTAACTTAGGATCTAGCATCAAAATGCTACCTTGCATTAGAATACCTGAATACTTGTTCATTCACTAGCTAGAAACTGTAATCTAAAAGAATAATGCAGGACAAAAGTAATTAATCATTATCCTAATAATTATTTAGCTTGGCTGCTAAGTTGGATAGTAGTTAGCAATTATATAGAATTTTATCTTACATAAAAAATACCTATACCTCAAAATATAACTGGGATCGCATTTGAAAATAACAGTCATGCTAAGAATACTAAATAATGCTTCAACAAGGGATAATGTCAATAGTATTTACAAACCACTTTGATAGAGGTAAAGAATTCCGGACAATGTAAGTATACCCTAAATACCATTTACTAATTTTGATTCAAGAAACAAGGCTGTAAGGGTTTTAAAACCTGCATATATGTCTTAGTGCTTCAGCAGTGTAGCTGTAAAATTAATGAAAAGATTTATTGTCTCTGTATTAGTTAGCTAGGGCTGCTGTACAAAATACTAAAGATTGAGCGGCTTAAACAACAGTAATTTATTATCTCATAGTTCTAGATGCTATAAGTCCAAGATTAAGGTGTCAGCAGGTCTGGTTTGATCTAAGGCCTCTCTCCTTGGCTTGCAGATGGTCATCTTCTTGCTGTGTCTTCTTATGGCCTTTCCTCTGCGTGTGTGGGTGTGTGGGTGTGTCTCTCGTGTCTCTGTGTGCCCAAATTCCCTCCTCTTGTGAAGACACCAGTCAGACTGGATTAGGGAAGTTTAGGACCTACCCTAAATGTCTCAATTTAACTTTATCACCTCTTTTATAGGTCTTATCTTCAAATACTGTCACAATCTGAGGTATCAGGGCAAGGACTCCAACATAAGACTCTTAGCCTTTTTGCAAATTTTAATTCATGGAGGTAGCTTTTATATATTCTCAATTCTTTGCATCTCAATTTGGAGAAGAGACTTTAAATCACAGGCCATTTTATATCAACTCTTCCAAGTTTAATATTTTGGTGGATCTAGGCAATGCAGAATTTTATATGCTTAGGGAAAAATTTCTCTCTAGGTACTTAGCTAAGAAAAAAAATATTTGATATAACCTGCATAGATATGGAAGAAAAACCTTGCTAAATAAAATGGAGTATACAACCGTAAAACAGTTGTCTGAATTTTCAGTGTTGATTTTAGCTTAGTAGATACAATCAATTCCACACTGATTATAGCCATTCTATCAGATTATTAAAATCAAAAGAATATGTATTAACATAGTTGAAACTTTTAATATCAGCACAGTGTCATTCAAACTTTTCTATTTTCTCTTTCTACTCTACATATTTTCCATGATTTAAACCTGTGGTTTCTAAACCTGGCCTATAGTCAGAATCACCTGAGGAATTAAATTAAAAGATGGATTTTTTTTTTTTTTTTTGAGATGGAATCTCGCCCTGTCACCCAGGCTGGAGGGCCATGGTGTGATCTTGGCTCATTGCAACCTCCGCCTCCTGGGTTCATATGATTCTCCTGCCTCAGTCTCCCGAGTAGCTGGGATTACAGGTACCCACTACCATGCCCGGCTAATTTTTTGTATCTTTAGTAGAGACAGGGTTTCACCATGTTGACCAGGCTGGTCTCGAACTCCTGACCTCGTGATCTGCCTGCCTTGGCCTCCCAAAGTGCTGGGATTACAGGCGTGAGCCACCGCGCCCAGCAAAGATGGATTTTTTAAGATTCCTTCCCAAACTTAATAAACCAGTCTCTGAAGATAGGGTCCAGAAATATGTACTTTAAGTTCTTCAAGTTATATATCACAAAACACAGTCCTTGCATAAGTGATCACTGGTTCCCAACTAGTTAAAAACAGTTAATTCTCTAAATCTGATCATTTACCCAAGGTAAAAATATTTTCAGTATTTTTATGTATACATATTTACAAATTATGTATATATATTATTGTTCTAAAATGTTTGATTCATTATGATACACAAAAATAGAAAAATTGAAAGGGTGAAATAGAAGTGAATATGAATTCAAACATTTTCATTATAATACATCTAAATGTAGTGTCTGCATACCCTATTTTACTCTTTTTGAGACAGGGTCTCACTCCCATCTCCCAGGCTAGAGTGCAGTGCAGTGGAGCAATCACGGGTCACTGCAGCCTCGACTTCCCGGGCTCAGGTAATCCTCCCACTTCAGCTCCCAAGTAGCTGGGACTACAGGCATGCGCCACCATCCCCAGCTAATTTTTTGTATTTTTAGTAGAGATGGGGTTTCATCATGTTATCCAGGATGCTCTTGAACTCCTGGGCTCAAGCAATCCATCCACCTTGGCCTCCCAAAGTGCTGGGATTATAGGCATGAGCCACCCACCCGGCTGATGTAACATCTTTCTTTAAGACTCATATCAAGCATCAATTTCTCTGGAAAGCTTTTTACTTGACGTAGAAGTGGTCATTCCCATCTTTTTTTTTACCTAGTAAATATTAACTATTTGTTGAATTAATGAAATTAAAGTTTTGAAAAAATGTATTGAAAGAAAACAATTCACGTTACAAAAGAGAAGCACAGCGTTTAGAAGATGGCAAACAAATGTCAGACTGTCAAAATAGTTACTAGTCAGGAGGATTAACTAGCTATAAATAAAACAATCACGTGAGAATTTAAGCTCTAACGGGTTGAAATCAAAAGAGAAACTAAAATTTTTTAAAAAAGAACAGAGAAAAAGGAGAAAAAGATTTGTGTAGTCAAAATTCATAATGCTAACAAGCACAGATGTAAACGCTTGAACATATGTTTTTTTAAAAAAGCAGAAGAAACACTTAAGAAACTAAAGTTACCAGACAATTGAGAAATTTATTTAGAAAATCATCAAACAGGAGGAATACATAGCAATAAAGTTGAGTGAGGAAATTTTACACAGGTTACAAAATAATCCAGGATATTAAGTATTATTGGCAACCTAAGCTTCATTATCTGCTCAAATCGTGTAAACAGTGAAGTTGCAGACTGTACAACAGTAGAAAAAGAACTGGGTTAAGGACTCAGGAGGCCTAGCCTAAAATTCCAGTTCACCCCTTAACCTCTCTGAGCCTCAGCTTATCATCTATAACATGAAGATATTGTCTCACTGCAGGGTTACAATGGGGATTAATAAAATAATGTATGTGAAAGTACTTTGTAAACTACAAAATCTCATGCCAAATTATGGCATTATTTTAATTTGTGGAATATTGTTTGAAGTTTCTAAATCCACATGCAGTAGTTACACACAGCTACATCAAGACTAACCGTGAAGAATCCTCAGCCATTTGGTAGAACTAAACACCATTTTCCCCACCAAGTCTTCTAAAATAAAAACCTTATGCCATGACAGCTGGAGAAGGAAGCCCAGAGAATCAAAAAACAAATACATACTAAGACCTGAAGGTAAGATCGCTACAGACACACAATGACTGGCAAGCTAACTCAATGCTCTGATTTACTTCCTGGTGTTATTAGTAAAAGGTAGGTCTTTTTATGTGAAAATAGATCCTTAAGAGTCTGTTTTTACATTGAGTTGTATAGTTGTATGAACCAAGACAGAATAAGAAAGGTGGAATGACATGGTTTGGCCATGTCCCCACCCAAAATCTCATCTTGAACTGTAATTCAAATTGTAATCTTCACGTGTTGGGGGAGGAACCTCATGGGAGGTGAACAGAACACGCGGGTGGTTGCCCCATGCTATTCTGACAGTGAGTTCTCACGAGATCTAATGGTTTTATAAGGGGCTTTCCCCTCTTCGCTCTATATTTCTCTCTCCTCCTACCATGTGAAGAAGGACGAGTTTGCTTCCCTTTCCACCATGATTGTAAGTTTCCTGAGGCCTCCCCAGCCACGTGGAACTGTGAGTCAATTAAACCCCTTTCCTTTATAAATGACCAAGTCTTGGATATTTCTTCATAGCAGCATAAGAATGGACTAATATATGGAGACTAAGGATCTGTCTTAGTCCATCTAGGCTGCTGTAATAAAATACCATAAAGTTGGTAGCTTTTAACAATGGAAACTTATGTCTCACATCTCTGGAGACTGCCAAGTCTAAGATCAAGGCACCAGCAGATTTGGTGTCTGGTGAGGGTCCACTTTCTGGTTCATTGTGCCTTCTCACTGTGCCCTCACATGGTGGAAGTGGGGAAGGAGCAGGGTGTTAATGCGATTCACAGGACTCTGCCGTATGACCTTATCACTTCCCAAAGGCCCCACTTCCCCAATACCATCACCTAGAGGTTTAGTATTTCAACATACAAATTTTGGGGAGATATTAACCTTCAGTCCACTGTAGGAGCATAAGAAATTAAGTGCAACAGCTGGTTCAGTTAGGCCATATGTATTATGTCAGCAAAAAAGGGCCAGAAGCCAACAGTTCTGATACAAAAGTCTATCACTTCTACCTACAGCCCATAACTGCATAATGTCAGGCCTCTGAGCCCAAGCTGAGCCATCATATCCCCTGTGACCTGCAGGTATACATCCAGATGGCTTGAAGCAACTGAAGAACCACAAAAGATAACATTCCACCATTGTGATATGTTCCTGCCCCACCCTAACTGATCAACTGACCTTATGACAATACACCCTCCCTGCCCTTGTGATAATGCACTTTGTGATATTCCCCTGCTCTTAACAAGGTACTTTATAATATTCTCCCTGCCCTTGAGAATGTACTTTGTGAGATCCACCCCTGGCCCACCTATCCCAAACCTATAAGAACTAATGATAATCCCACCACAATTTGCTGACTCCTTTTTCAGACTCAGCCAACCTGCACCCAGGTGAAATAAACAGCCTTGTTGCTCACACAAAGCCTGTTGGTGGACTCTCTTCAAATGGACGTGCATGACATTTGGTGCCGAAGACCCGGGACAGGGGGACTCCTTTGGGAGACCAGCCCCCTGTCCTTGCCCTCACTCCGTGAGGAGATCCACCTATGACCTCAGGTCCTCAGACCAACCAGCCCAAGGAACATCTCACCAATTTTAAATCGGGTAAGCAGTCTTTTCACTCTCTTCTCCAACCTCTCTCGCTATCCCTCCACCCTTCAATCTCTCCCTTCCTTAATTTTGGTTCCTTTCCCTTTCTGGTAGAGACAGAGGAGACGCGTTTTATCCGTGATCTCAAAACTCTGGTGCCGGTTACGGACTGAGGAAGACAGTCTTCCCTTGGTGTTTAATCACTGCGGGGATGCCTGCCTGATTATTCACCCACATTTCAGAGGTGTCTGATCACCGTGGGGATGCCTGCCTTGAACCTTCACGTTGGTGGCAAGTACCACCTTCCCTGGGAGGCAAGCACCACCCTCCCGCCCATGTCTCTACCCTCTCTTTTCTCTGGGCTTGCCTCTTTCACTATGGGCAATCTTTCAACCTCCATTCCTCCTTCTTCTCCCTTAGCCTGTGCAAGAACTTAAAACCTCTTCAATTCTTGCCTGACCTAAAAACCTAAGCATCTTATTTTCTTCTGCAACACTGCTTGGCCCCAAAACAAACTTGATAATGGCTCTAAATGGCCAGAAAACGGCACTTTTGATTTCTCCATCCTACAAGATCTAGATAATTACTGTCGTAAAAATGGGCAAATGGTCTGAGGTGCCCGACGTCCAGGCATTCTTTTACACATCGGTCCCTCCCTAGTCTCTGCTCGCAATGCGACTCGTCGCAAATCTTTCTTCTTTCTCTCCTGTCTGTTCCTTCAGTTTCCACCCCAAGCTCTGAGTCCTTTGAATCCTCCTCTTCTACGGACCCATCTGACCTCTCCCCTCCTCCCCAGGCTGCTCCTCGCCAGGCTGAGCCAGGTCCCAATTCTTCCTTGGCCTCTGCTCCCCCACCCTATAATCTTTCTATCACCTCCCCTCCTCACACCCGGTCTAGATTACAGTTTTGTTCCATGACTAGCCCTCCCCTACCTGCCCAACAATTTCCTCTCAAAGAAGTGGCTGGTGCTAAAGGCATAATCAAGGTTAATATTCCTTTTTCTCTATCAGACCTTCAGACCTTCCCCAAATCAGTTAGCATTTGGACTTTTTCATCAAATATGAAAACCCAGCCCAGTTCATGGCCCATTTGTTAACAACCCTTAGACGTTTTACCACCCTAGACCCAGAGGGGCCAGAAGTCCGTCTTATTCTCAACATACATTTTATTACCCAATCTGCTCCCAACGCACATCAGGACTTAATTAACCTCGCCTTCAAAGTGTACAATAATAGAGAAGAGTTGCAATTACTTGCCTCCGCTGTGAGACAAACCCCAGCCACATCTCCAGCACACAAGAACTTCAAAACGCCTGAACTGCAGCAGCCAGGCATTCCTCCAGGACCTCCTCCCCCAGGATCTTGCTTCAAGTGCCGAAAATGTGGCCACTGGGCCAAGGAATGCCCGCAGCCCGGGATTCCTCGTAAGCTGTTGTCCCATCTGTGTGGGGCCCCACTGGAAATCGGACTGTCCAACTTGCCCGGCAGCCACTCCCAGAGCCCTGGAACTCTGGCCCAAGGCTCTCTGACTCCTTTCCAGATCTTCTTAGCTTAGTGGCTGAAATCTGACGCTGCCTGATCTCCTCAAAAGCCTCTTGGACCATCACAGACACTTTGGGTAACTCTTACAGTGGAGGGTAAGTTCATCCCCTTCTTAATCAATACAGAGGCTACCCACTCCCCATTACCTTCTTTTCAACGGCCTGTTTCCCTTGTCTCCATAACTGTTGTGGGTATTGATGGCCAGGCTTCTAAACCTCTTAAAACTCCCCAACTCTGGTGCCAGCTTGGACAACATTCCTTTATGCACTCCTTTTTTAGTTACCCTCACCTGCCCAGTTCCCTTATTAGGTCGAGGCATTTTAACTAAATTATCTGCTTCCCTGACTATTCCTGGGCTACAGCCACACCTCACTGCTGCCCTTTTCCCCAGTTCAAAGCCTCCTTTGCATCTTCCTATTGTATCCCCCCACCTTAACCCACAAGTGATAGGACACCTTTACTCCCTCCATGGCAACCAATCACATGCCCATTACTATCCCATTAAAATCTAATCAGCCTTACCCGGCTCAACGCCAGTATGCCATCCCACAACAGGCTTTGAAGGGAATAAAGCCTGTCCAGGATCTTCGCCTTATTAATCAAATCATCCTTCCCATCCATCCTATGGTGCCAAACCCATATACTTTCCTATCCTCAATACCTTCCTCCACAACCCATTATTCTGTTCTGGATCTCAAACATGCTTTCTTTATTATTCCTTTACACCCTTCATCCCAGCCTTTTTTTGCTTTCACTTGGACTGACCCAGACACCCATCAGTCTCAGCAACTTACCTGAGCTGTACTGCCGGAAGGCTTCAGGGACAGTCCCCATTACTTTAGTCAAGCCCTTTTTCATGATTTACTTTCTTTCCATCCATCTGCTTCTCAACTTATTAAGCATTTTGATAACCTTCTACTTTATAGCCCCTCCTACAAATCTTCCCAACAGGACACCCTCCTGCTCCTCCAACATCTATTCTCAAAAGGACATCGCACATCCCCCTCCAAAGCTCAAATTTCTTCCCCAACCGTTACCTACCTCGGCATAATTCTTCATGAAAACATGCATGCTCTCCCTGCTGATCATGTCCAGCTAATCTCCCAAACCTCAACCCCTTCTACAAAGCAAGAACTCCTTTCCTTCCTAGGCATGGTTAGGTACTTTCGCCTTTAGATACCTAGTTTTGCCATCCTGACAAAACCATTATATAAATTCACAAAGGAAACCTAGCTGACCCCATAAATCCTCAATCCTTTCCCCACTCCCCTTTCCATTCTTTAAAAAACAGCCCTAAAAGCTGCTCCCCACTAGCTCTCCCTAACTCATCCCAACCCTTTTTCATTACACACAGCCAAAGCGCAGGGCTGTGTGGTCAGGATTCTTACACAAGAGCTGGGACCGTACCTTGTGGCCTTTCTGTCCAAACAACTTGACCTTACTGTTTCAGGCTGGCCCCCACGTTATTCCTGATACCACACATGACCCCCATGACTGCATCTCTCTGATCTACCCAGCATTCACTTCATTTCCCCATATTTCCTTCTTTCCTGTTCCTCACCCTGATCACACTTGGTTTATTGATGGTAGTTCTTCCAGGCCCAATCGCCAATCACTGGCAAAGGCAGGCTATGCTATAGTGTCTTCCCCATCTATCACTGAGTCTACCGCTCTGCCCCCCTCCACTACCTCTCAGCAAGCCGAACTCACTGTCTTAACTCAGGCCCTCACTCTTGCAAAAGAACTGTGCGTCAATATTTATGTTGACTCTAAATATGCCTTCCATATCCTGCACCACCATGCTGTTACATGGGCAGAAAGAGGTTTCCTCACTACACAAGGATCCTCCATTATTAATGCCTCTTTAATAAAAACTCTTCTCAAGGCCGCTTTACTTCCAAAGGCCACTTTACTTCAAAAGGAAGCTGGAATCATTCACTGCAAGGGCCATCAAAAGGCATCACATCCCAGTGCTCAGGGCAACGCTTCTGCTGATAAGGTAGCTAAAGAAGCAGCTAGCGTTCCAACTTCTGTCCCTCATGGCCAGTTTTTCTCCTTCTCACCGGTCACTCCCACCTACTCTCCCACTGAAACTTCCACCTACCAATCTTTTCCCACATAAGGCAAATGGTTCTTGGAACAAGGAAAATATCTCCTTCCAGACTCACAGGCCCATTCTATTCTGTCATCATTTCATAACCTCGTCCATGAAGGTTACAGGCTGCTAGCCCATCTCTTAGAACCTCTCATTTCCTTTCCATCATGGAAATCTATCCTCAGGGAAATCACTTCTCAGTGTTCCATCCACTATTCTACTACTCCTCAGGGATTGTTCAGGCCCCCTCCCTTCCCTATACATCAAGCTCGGGGATTTGCCCCTGCCCAGGACTGGCAAATTGACTTTACTCACATGCCTCGAGTCAGGAAACTATAATACCTCTTGGTCTGGGTAAACACTTTCACTGGATGGGTAGAGGCCTTTCCCACACGGTCTGAGAAGGCTACCACAGTTATTTCTTCCATTCTCTCAGACATACTTCCTCGGTTTGGCCTTTCCACCTCTATACAATCTGATAACAGACCGGCCTTTATTAATCAAGTCATTCAGGCAGTCTCCCAGTCCCTGGGCATTCAATGGAAACTTCGTGCTCCTTATCGCCCTCAATCCTCAGGAAAGGTAGAAAGAACTAATGGTCTTTTAAAGACACACCTCACCAAACTCAGCCTCCAACTTAAAAAGGACTGGACAGTACTTTTACCACTTGCCCTTCTCAGAATTCGGGCCTGTCCTCGGGATGCTACAGGGTACAGCCCATTTGAGCTCCTGTATGGACGCTCTTTTTCATTAGGCCCCAGTCTCATTCCAGACACCAGCCCTCTAGGTGACTATCTTCCAGTCCTCCAGCAAGCTACACAGGAAATTTGCCAAGCTGCTAATCTTCTCTTGCCTACTCCAGATTCCCAGTCATATGAAGACACCCTAGCTGGATGATCAGTTCTTGTTAAGAATCTGACCCCTCAAATTCTACAACCTCGATGGACCAGACCCTACTTAGTCATCTATAGTACCCCAACTGCCGTCCGCCTACAGGACCCTCCCCATTGGGTTCACCATTCCAGAATAAAGCTGTGTCCATCGGACAGCCAGCCTGAAGTCTCAAGTACTCTCCCCTACTTCCCTTAAACTCACTTGCATTTCTGAATAACAGTAATAAACCTTATGAGCCTAATACATCCCTTCATTCTATTAGGTCTATTCGTCCTTACCCTACTTTTTGCAACAGGGCTTTACGCAGTCACTCCCACTACTTGGACTGTGCCCCAAAACCTTGTCATCCCTCCTATCTTCTGTCTAGCCATACTCCTATTCACCATTCTCAACTACTCGTAAATACCCTGCCCTTGTTTACATTGCTGGTTTACACTTTTCCTCCAAACCATCATAGCGGATATCTCCTGGTACTATCCCCAATCAGCCACTCTTGACTCCCTCTTGGAGTGAACAGATGATCTTTGCTGACAGGGCACACTCCAATACTTTCGCCCTGACGAAGTCCTATTCTTTACTTTTATACTCACTCTTATTTTCATTCTCGTCTTATGCCACCCTCTACCTCTCCCCGGCTATCTCCACCACACTATCAATCTCACTCACTCTCTCCTAGCCATTTCTAATCCTTCCTTAACAAACAGTTACTGGCTTTGCATTTCTCTTTCCTCCAGAACCACCGAGGCCTCGACCTTACTCACTGCTAAAAAAAAAAAAAAAAGAGCAGACTCTATATTTTTAAATGAAGAGTGTTGTTTTTACCTAAATCAATCTGGCCTGGTATATGACAACATAAAGAACTCAAGGCTAGAGCCCCAAAACTCCCCAACCAAATAATTATGCTGAACCCCCTTGGGCACTCTCTAATTGGATGTCCTGGGTACTCCCAGTTCTTAGTCCTTTAATACCTGTTTTCCTCTTCCTTTTATTCAGACCTTGTATCTTCCATTTAGTTTCTCAATTCATACAAAACTGCATCCAGGCCATCACCAATCATTCTATATAACAAATGTTCCTTCTAATAACCCCACAATATCACCCCTTACCCCAAAAGCTTTCTTCAGTTTAATCTCTCCCACTATAGGTTCCCACGCTGCCCCTAATTCCGCTCGAAGCAGCCCTGAGAAACATTGCCCATGATCTCTCCATACCACCCCCAAAAATTTTTGCCACCCCAACACTTCACCACCATTTTGTTTTGTTTTTCTTATTAATATAAAAAGACAGGAATGTCAGGCCTCTGAGCCCAAGCTAAGCCATCATATCCCCTGTGACCTGCAGGTATACATCCAGATGGCCTGAAGCAACTGAAGAACCACAAAAGATGACATTCCTCCATTGTGATCTTTTCCTGCCCCACCCTAACTGATCAATTGACCTTATGACAATACACCCTCCCCACCCTTGTGATAATGCACTTTGTGATATTCCCCTGCCCTTAAGAAGGTACTTTGTAATATTCTCTACGCCCTTGAGAATGCACTTGGTGAGATCCACCCGCTGCCTGCCTATCCCAAACCTATAAGAACTAATGATAATCCCACCACCCGTTGCTGACTCCATTTTCAGACTCAGCCCAACTGCACCCAGGTGAAATAAACAGCCTTGTTGCTCACACAAAGCCTGCTGGCAGACTCTCTTCACATGGACGCGTGTGACACACAACACATCTCAATTCTACTCTGTGTGGCAGCCGCATGATCTGTATTAGCTCACTAAAGAGTTGTCCATTTTAACATTCCTGAACAGGAAGGCACATAGGATATGTAAGCACTGGGTTGTGCCTAATAGAGAAATACAGACGGTCAAGAATGAAGAGAGTAAATCAGTTAAACTGGAAGAACAGACTTCTACTTCCAGCAATGACAGAATAACACATAATGGATTTAATATCTCACCTTAAATAACTAGAAAATCAGACAAAATATATGTAACAATGATTTTCAGATATTGTACAAAAGACAGAAGAGGACAGTGATCACTGAAAGAATTCCTACCACTGTAATGTCAGGCCTCTGAGCCCAAGCTAAGCCATCATATCTCCTGTGACCTGCACGTATACATCCAGATTACCTGAAGCAACTGAAGATCCACAAAAGTGAAAATAGCCTTAACTGATGACATTCCACCATTGTAATTTGTTTCTGCCCCACCCTAACTGATCAATGTGCTTTGTAATTTCCCCCACCCTTAAGAAGGTTCTTTGTAATCTCCCCACCCTTGAGAATGTACTTTATGAGATCCACCCCCTGCCCGCAAAACATTGCTCCTACCTCCACCACCTATCCCAAAACCTGTAAGAACTAATGATAATCCACCACCCTTTGCTGACTCTCTTTTCGGACTCAGCCCGCCTGCACCCAGGTGAAATAAACAGCCTTGTTGCTCACACAAAACCTGTTTTGGTGGTCTCTTCACACGGACGCATGAGACAGTACAAGCTTAGTGCCAGAGTTTCCAGGCAATAGCACAGGGAAAGTTAATCCAAACAAAGCCTAGCACTCTAATTGAGTTTTGAAACAGCTAAGAGTTCAGGAACGCCAAGACCTAGAATTTGTGAGGCACAATGTAGTACAGGGCATTTTGGCACTGTAGAAAGACAGTGCCAAAGATCTCTAGAAGAGTTCCCTTTATTCTTTAGCTGAGTACTGGCTTATGCACATAAAGGAGAAAACTACCTGAAGCCAGGGAAAAGAACCACTGGAAAGGAGCAGGTGGAACAATCTCCAGAGCTCATATAAGGCAATAAATAGTTCATGTTCCAATCAGCAGTCAGAATATAAAAACCTAATCCAAGAGGCAGTGAGCAATGTCCTCAGAAAGGTAATGCCTCAGTAGTGGAGATAAATTATCCCATTAAATGCTGCTGTGACTACCCTAACAAAGCTCAAAAGAAAGCCTTGGTAGAACAAATTAATTTGAAGTATCTTAACTGTCCATTAGAATAAAACCCAAAAGTACTAAAGGAATCCTACATAATCCAAAAACATATAAAGCATATGCCTAACAGGTATCCAAAGAAGCATGAAAATTCAACACATACCCAGGAGAAAAGTCCGTCAATAAAAACATCCGGAAACAACATGGATGGGAAAACTGGCAGAAAAAGATGTTAAAACAACCATTCCTCACTCCCTAGATTCAAGAAGGTGGAGGAAAATACAAACATGATGAGGAAGAAAACAGAAGATACAAAAAAATACCTAAAATGAACTTCTAGAGATGAAAAATACAATATAAAAAATAAAACATGTAACAAATGAGATCAATAGTAAATTAGAAATTACAGAAGAAAAGATCAGTGAAATTCTTCAAAGTCATAATATAGCAACAGGACATATTCATTCAAGAAAACAGCAATAGAAACATAATAGAAACTAAAGTGAAATACAAAGAAAAAAAGAAAATAACAGGGCAGGCCAGGTGCGGTGGCTCACGCCTGAAATCCCAACACTCTGGGAGGCTGAGGCAGGTGGATCACTTGAGGTCAGGAGTTTGAGAGCAGCCTGGCCAACATGGCAAAACCCTGTCTCTACTAAAAATACAAAAATTAGCTGGGCTTGGTGGCACATGCCTGTAATTCCAACTATTTGAGAGGCTGAGGCAGGAGAATCACTTGAACTTGGGAGGCAGAGGTTGCAGTGAGCTGAGATTGCACCACTGCACTCCAGCCTGGGTGACACAGTGAGACTCTTTCTCAAAAAATAAAAATAAAAATAAAAATAAAAATAAAAGAAAATCACAGGGCTACAGGGCAATATCAAAATGTACAGAGTTGTTAAGCAATATCAAAGCATACTGACTTACATGTAGTAGGAATCCAAGATAAGGGGTAGGATGAACAGAAAAATAAATTTGGAGAATAGCCAAATTTGATGAAAGTGATAAACCCGCAGTTCCCAGAATCTCAACAAATCCCATGCAGATGAATTATGAAGAAAATCACAGGAAGACACATCATAATCAAATTGCTGCAAGTCATCAATAAAGTCAGGGGGTTGGGGGAGGAAGCTGTCAGGGAAAAAAAAGCTGAAAGTTAGAAGAACAAAGATAAAAACGATAGCAAACTTCTCATCAGAAACTATAGAAGTGAAAGACAATGAAGTGATAATTAAGTTGTGAAGGAAACAAAAATGTCCACCTAGGATTCTATATCCAGCAAAATTATCTTTCAAAACTAAGAGAAATAGAGTTTAAAGAAATTGTTTTTTTAAAAATTGACTACTTAAAGGCTGGGTGCGGTGGCCCATGCCTGTAATCCCAGGACTTTCAGAGGCCGAGGTGGGCAGATCACTTGAGGTCAGGAGTTCAAGATCAGCTTGGCCAACATGGTGAAACCTTATCTCTACTAAAAATACAAAAATTAGCCAGGTGTGGTGGTGCACATCTATAATCCCAGCTACTTGGGAGGCTGAGGCAGGAGAATTGCTTGAGCCCTGGAGATGGAGGCTGCAGTGAGCCAAAATTGTGCCGCTGCAGTGAGCCAAAATTGTGCCACTGCACTCCAGCCTGGGCAACAGAGCGAGACTCTGTCTCAAAAAAGAAAAAAAGCAAAAAGATTGTATTTTGGTGTTTATAATGATTGTATTTTGGTGTTTATAACAAATAGTAATGAAATGTATGACAATGGCAAAACGGCTATGAGGAGGGTAAATGAAAGTATGCTAATAAGGTTCTTCCAGTCTACAAGTGACACAAAAATTTTTGAACCCTTCAGAGAGCTGAGGTCACAGTGCAACTAACTAATAAGAAAAATAATATGTAAGTACTTGCTTACTTAGGGGGAAGACATCAGATGCCATACAAGCCAGTAAAAAGATTTCAGCAAAAATGTTTCAACAATTTGCTAAAGGTCCAGTGTGGGCTATAGTAAGAGTATAAAACTGCTGGGGCTTCAGACACCAGAGGAAATTACACCTTGTTGCAGGTTCTTCTCCACAGATATTACCAGGAACTCATAAGAAAGACTGAGGGAAGGGCAAGAAACCTGAAAAAATATCCCCTTCATAGTGCAGGGTTGGGAGAGGGGAACAGTGGCAGGTATGGAAAGGTCTGCCTGGATCCTTACAAGGTCTTGTCTAGATCCTTACTCCCTATCTCACCTAAGGAATGAAAGCCTTAAGCTGCTGCTAGAAAAGCAACAACTAAAGAACCATAGCAGCTGGGAAAAGGTAATAGGAGAGAAAAAAAAAAAAAAACCACACCCACACCCACACCCACACCCACAACCACACAGGCAAACTATCAGAGGCAGGAAATTGTCCTGGGCCTAGAACATTCATGGCTGGGGTCCGGCAGAATTGCTGAGAAGGCTCCACTTGTGAGACCCAGAGACACTGTGCCTAAGAATAAGGCAGAACCAGAACAACAGAGAATGTCCCTTCCCCACTCTCGCCCACACCATCATCACCAAGTTAGGGAGTAAGTTTCATCTATTTCTGGGGGAGAGTAAAAGCATGAAGAACCTTCTTGAGATAAAGGTGGAAAGGGAAAACCTGAAGCTAAGAATAAAGCAGACCTGAAGAAAAATCCTTGGCGAACCAGCCCTCTACTCGAAATGCAAGGCAATGCTATGGGAATTTGAAGCCTGTGGTGCACTGATAGTAAGTACAGCAATAATGAAACCCAAACACAGATCAACTCCCAACTAGGTTGCTCAATCCCCCACACTAAACGTCTAGCGAAATACAAGGTGTGCCTTGAGAATTACTTGAACCTGGGAGGCAGAAGTTGCAGTGAGCTGAGATCATGCCACTGCACTCCAGCCTCAGCAACAGAGTGAGACCCTGTCTCAAAACAAAAACAAAAACAAAAACAAAAAAACAAAAAACAAGGCGTGCCTATTTCTAGGCATAAATACTCTACTGCCCACCACAAGATGTCCAACTTTAAATTAAATTATAAGACATACAAAGAAGATGGGAAAAACCAACACACTGCCAAGAGACCACAAAAAAAAAAAAAAAAAATCAACAGACCCAAACCAGAAATGCCCACAGATGCTGGAACTATTAGAAAACTTAAAATAATTATGATTAATATACTAAAGGCTCTAGTGGAAAAGGTAAGCAACATGTATAATTAGATGAGAAATTTCAGCATGGAAATAGAAACTACAAGTCAAATAGAAATGCCAGAAACTAGAAAAATGGTAAGATAGATAAAGAATACCTTTGATCAACACAGCTGAGGAAAGAATCAGTAAACTTGAAAATAAGTTAATAAAAATTATGCAAATAGAAATACAAAGAAAAAAAAGAGTGGGGGAAAAATTAAACAGAATAGAGCATCCATGAGCTGGGGAACTATATCAAATGATCTAACATACATACGTAATTGAAATTCAAAAAGCTTAGAAAGGCCTGATGCAGCGGCTCATGCCTATAATCCCAGCACTTTGGTAGGTCGAGGTGGGTAGAGCACCTGAGGTCAGGAGTTTAAGATCAGCCTGACCAACATGGTGGAACCCCGTCTCTACTAAAAATACAAAAATTAGCCAAGTGTGGTGTACGCCTGTAATCCCAGCTACTTGGGAGGCTTAGACAGGAGAATTGCTTGAACCTGGGAGGTGGAGGTTGCAGTGAGCTGAGATTGTGCCACTGCACTCCAGCCTGGGCAACAGAGCAAGACTCTGTCTCAAAAAATAAACAACCAACCAAAAAAACTCAGAGAACACAAACCTAGACAAATACGAAAAAGTATCCCTAAAAACTAATATTAAAGATAGAAGAGAATCATTAAACAAAATCCAATCCCAAAGAAGGCAGGAAAAGAGAAGAAAGGGAATGAAGAACAAAGGGGACAAATAGAAAATTAGTAGCAGGATGTTCATTTTAAAATCAAACTTAGCATTAATCACACTAAATGTAAATGGTCTAAAATGCCAATTAAAAGGCAGAGGTTGTCAGAATGAATTTTAAAAAGCAAGACCCAACAGATAGGTAAAGACACATACAGGTTTAAAAGTAAAAGGACAGGAAAAGATACAAATTGCAAATACTAATCAAAAGGAATCTAGAGTGGCTATATTAGTATCAAATAAAGTAGACTTCAACAAAAGAAACATTACCAGAGATAAAGGGGGATATTTCAAAGTGATAAAGGCAGTATTTCATCGAAGGATGTAATAATCCTAAATGTATACACATCTAAAAACAGAGCTTCAAAATACATGAAGCAAAAACCAATATAACTTTATCCAGGCTAACTATATCCACAATTATAGTGGAGACTTTATCCTTCTCCTCACTGACAAAATAATACAGATCAATAAGATACAGAAGTTTTAAATTAGAAGGACAGAGTGGCAATACATAGGTAGAAAGAACAAAAGAGATTAAATAAAACTACCAATTTGCCAGAAGAAGGTTAACTCCCCTAGAATCTCTTGAAATGCATCCTTGGATTGACTGAACTGGTAATTCTCAGAGTGTAAGTGAAAACGAGTGAAGATGAGGCAGCTTCTGGCCATTTAGACTAGGGGGTTTATGAACTAACAGAATTACCAAAGTAAGGTCTTCGAACCCCTTGTAAACAGAATTTCTTCTATTAAAGAGGAAGATTGTCTGGACCTAGCTCAGATCTCTTGTACCAAATCTCCAGGGATAAGATCTGAGAATCTGTATTTTAACAATCTTCCCAGTAACTGTTACACTCAATTAAATCTGCAAACTACTGGTCACACAAAAGTGTTAGAAATTAACAACACAGGTTGCCATTCTGCAGACTACAGAATCCAACAGAGGCAATCAGAAGCTGAAGAGTATTCCGTTGTCTTCATCTTAGCTAGAAAGTTCTACATTTTCTTCAAACTCAGAGTTCAAAGAAGGAATTAAGGTGAAGTGTGAAACTTCACTGTGACTCCCAGAACTCTTGGAGTGATTAAGTAGTTTTAAGACGAGTACATGAAAATATATATAGTACATGTGTGTATGTACGTGTATATATGGTTATCAAGTATAGGCTGAAGTAATTTTGATAGAGTCAAAGCTTTCCACCCTTCCCCCCAACCCCAAATACAACAGGTTTACCACGTATTTTTTTTTAATTCCCAGAAGATAGGCTTCTATTTAAAGAGCAAATATACCAGCCTGGCTTAGCTAACACTTATTGACCTAGGTACTGTGCTAAGCATTCTGCATATATGTACTTCAATTAAATCTAAATAATAATAATCACCTGATGATAACTCTTGGAAGCAGGAATGATCCCCATTTACAAAGGAGAAATAAATTAGGCCACAGAGATTATAACTTGCCCAAAGGCATATAACTATGGTAAATCAAGGATTCAAACTAAGGGAATTTGACAACAAAGATCTGTGTATCTGTTCCCACATGGTTTTTATTGCCAATGCTGGATAAGGAATGGCTGTCACGTCCATTGACTAAGGAGAGATTCAAGATTATTTTATACTGTTAGATTTTACACTAAGTGCCAGAACCTAGCTGCCATCCCCACTACTGCTGGTTTAACTGCAGATCAATTAAGAGGATTCTCTCATAGTTTTCATGCTAAGGTCTCCATCATAAGAAGAATTGTGGGCCATTTTTTTCTTGCCGGCATGGCAAAAAAAAAAAAAAAACAGGAACATTACTGGCTTTGCCTTAACTGAAAACTGAGCAGTCTTTTAGAAAACTGTAAAGTTCTCTATTTTATCAAAAATCCTGGTAGCTGGGAGAGTCGTCTAAATGAGCTCTGGGGATAAAGTTGGTATCTCTCACATTTGGTGACAGGATCTGCATACCAACAAAAGCAGATGCTCAAGAATTTAGAATGCTTTTATGGGAAAAAATTCCTCCTCTCCCATAGGCAATAGATTTGTAAAAGAATGACTGGTGAACTTCTCCCAGGTCCAAGCCAGGAGAACTCAAGACAGCACCAATCTTTCTGGGGCCTGAGAAACCAGACAAAAATCACAGCTTCTCATAAAGGCAGGCAACAGTTACAGAGGATCTAGGGCTGTGCCCATTTGAGAGTTGATTATCAAGATGGCAGGCCAAGAATATGCCAAGTGAGGAAACAGACTACAAATTGAAACAGGAGAGCCAAGAATGTCAAGCGGGTTGGAAATTTGGAAGAATAGGCAGGAAGATGGAGAAACAATCATAGCTAACAGTTTTATAGAACTTACTATTCATCATGGGATATTTTTAAGATCTTTAAATATTTTAACTATTAAAAACAATCACAAGAGGTAGATAGTATTATCCACGTTTTATAGAAGAAGAAACTAAGACACAGGGAATTTCAGTTGCTCAGGGGCACAGTGTACAGCAGAGCTGGGATTTGAGCCAAGTCTGGATCCAGTGGTCCTTAACATTCTTGAAACACTAAACAATGTTGCCTCCCTAGAAAAACCAGTAAGAATTGAAATGGAGGTGGCAGAGATGAAACTGATGAGCTGTGGTAAGGTGAGTGGTGATTTGAAAACAAATGCTGTAAACCATGTTTGTTAGAAATGCTTGTTCCTCGGTGCAGTAAAGAAATAGCTCTTGAACACAAATTTAATTTCCTCAGCAAGGCCATTTTTACTTTCTGCAGAAAGGGTACACTTGCCAGCAGTTCTGCCATGAGAGTGCACCAAACAAAGGAGACAGGGTCATTTATAATCTGACGCGTCCACCTTACTACTGTGTCTGGTTTCTACTGGCTGGAACGGGACCTCATATTCTGTATCTGTCCTGATTGGCTAGCGACTTAGAACTTTTTAAAAGAAGCAAAGGCAGAGGACAACAAAGGAAGGAGGAAGTAACTTGTGGAATGCTGAGAAAAGTAAAAACACCTTCAAATAAGGAAGAGGAACAGGCTATGACTTAATGCTTGCTTGGACCAGTATAAGCATGCGAGGGCAAATATTTAGGCTAAATTGTAGGATCTAAGAACATAAAGTACATTGATTTCTTTATTATGGCTAGCAGATATTTAAGAAAGTTAGCACAGGTCTTTGAATAAATTTTGCTTCTAAGAGAAGTTACTCTTTATTCTTAATTAGATGGGGAGGAAACTCTTTGAAGAGGAACTTCTACTTTACTTTTTACAGGGCTCAACCTTTGTATGTGGCCTATCATACTTCTTGATGGATTATAGGTCTTTCCATAAAAGGGAGAATCCTGCCAGGCAATTAGAATTCCAAATGATTCAACCCAGTATTCCAAGATTAGGGGCATTCACTATACATGAGACATAGTAGCACCTTTCTCCCCTACCAAAACAAATAGATAATGTAGTTTACACAAAATAGCATAACAAGCAAACCAGTAAATAGGTGAAAGAATAAACTGCAACTATATCCAACCAGATATTCTAAAATATAAAGTCCTAATGTTTTCCAGTGAAAGGCAAAGAGCGGAATCATGGGTAACTTGTGCTAATCTTAAATAAGAAGCATAATAGTGATTGGCTATACAATGAGAATGTTAAGCAAAGGCAAGTATCTTTTCCTAAACCTTACAGACAGGTACACTTGTCTCATATGGTGTTAGCCATATAAGAAAGGTTCATTTCAGCAGTAGATAGCCACATTGGAAGAATATGAGTCACTGAAAGTGCTTCAGCAACCACACTGTGCTTTCTTTCCTCAGTTTGGATGCTCAACAACGTCTTTGGTTTGAAGTAGATTCTCTCTTTCCTACAACTGTCTTTTGATTTACAGCAAAGACTTTGTTTAAAAAATAAACAAACTTGGGTGCACTTAATGTTGAAACAGATACCAGATGTTAAAATGCAAGTTTTACTGAAGGTCTAAGTAGGTGTGTCAGGTACACATGAGATACCCTGGGCCTAGTTAGAAGCAATTCTACAGAATGAGAATAACAGACTCAGCCAATAAAATATGAACTAAAAGTTGCTATTAAGTAGTTGCAGTAAGTTGTAAAATCTAAGAGTGGGATTGCATTTAACTAAATGTCTACACTAAGGCTTAGAAGTAATTCTGACTCTGCTCCCTGTGCATCATCCAAAATTACTGAGCAGAGGCTGGGAGTGGTGGCTCACATTTGTAATCCCAGCACTTTGGGAGGCTGAGGCAGGTAAATCACCCGAGGTCAGGAGTTCAAGACCAGGCTTACCAACATGGTGAAACCCTGTCTCCACTAAAAATATAAAACTTAGCCAGGCGTGATGGCGCTGGCCTGTGATCCCAGGTACTTGGGAGGCTGAGGAACGAGAATTTTTTGAACCTGGGAGGTGGAGGTTGCAGTGAGCCGAGATGGCGCCACTGCACTCTAGCCTGGACAACGGAGGGAGACTCCATCTCAAAAATAATAAAAAAAATAAAGCAGAGCATTCCATGGCACGTGTTTTAAAATCTTCAGTTTTAATAAGGCTGGGTGTGATGGATCATCCCTGCAGTCCCAGCGCTGTGGGAGGCTGAGGCAGGAGGGCTGCTTGAGCCCAGGAGTTTGAGACCACCCTGGGCAACATAGGAAGACCATGTCTCTACAAGTAATAATTTTAAAAATTAGCTGGGCATGGTGACGTGCACCTATGGACCTAGCTTCTTTGAAGGCTGAGGTGGGAGGATTGCCTGAGCCTGGGAGGTCAAGGCTGCAGTGAACTATGATCACTCCACATTATTCTGGCCTAAGCGACAGAACAAAACCTTGTCTCAAAAAAAAAAAAAAAAAAAAAAAAGTTTTAACATAGTACAACTAGTTATTTGTCCCATATCATGTTTCTCAAAGGATATCCTGCATCAATGTTCAGAAAGATAGTCCACTGAGAAGGAGCCAGAGACAATTAGTAATATCAGAGAGATTTCCATTCATATAGTTAATATTACATTCTAGCACATAAAAGCTTAACTCTCCATTATTTGGAAAAGCCATCCATTCAGATGGAATTTGTATTTCTCAAGGATTTTCCAGTATCTGAGGTCTTGGAATACAGAAGTACCAATAACAATGTCATTTCCAAAGGGTGACCTGACCCCCAGCAGTCATTGAAGAGTTTATTTAAACATACAGAGCAATGATTATAAATATTATCTAGAGATAGCTTAATGTAGTAAGACATTAAAATAAACATTAATGGGCAGGGTATGGTGGCTCATGCCTGTAATCCCAGCACTTTGGGAGGCCGAGGCAGGCAGATCACTTCAGGTCAGGAGTTCAAGACCAGCCTGACCAACATAGTGAAACCCTGTCTCTACTGAAAATACACAATTAGCCAGGCATTGTGGCGCATGCCTGCAATCTCAGCTACTTGGGAGGCTGAGGCAGGAGAATCACTTGAACCTGGGAGGCAGAGGTTGCAGTGAGCTGAGATCACGCCATTGCACTTCAGCCTGGGCAAATAAGAGTGAAACTCCATCTCAAAACAAACAAAAAGGCCGGGCGCGGTGGCTTACACCTGTAATCCCAGCACTTTGGGAGGCCAAGGTGGGTGAATTACTTGAGGTCAGGAGTTCAAGATCAGCCTGGCCAAAACGGTGAAACTCCATATCTACTAAGAATATAAAAATCAGCCAGGCATGGTGGCACATGCCTGTACTCCCAGCTACTAGGGAGGCTGAAGCAGGAGAATCGCTTGAACCTGGGAGGCAGAGGTTGCAGTGAGCTGAGATCACACTACTGTACTTCATCCAGGGCAACAGAGCATCTCAAAAAAAAAAAAAAAATTAATGAATGTATAATTCAATCTTGTTCACAATCTGTTGATGCTAAAAAGCGTACATAAAATATAATTACTTTTACACAATCATATCAATTTTGCTACTGTTTTTCTTCAGTTCTCTGGTACAGGCAAGTTCCAATTTTTTACCACCTTGAATTTCACTTGTCTCCTAATCTAGGAGTATCAGAAAGTATCTGCATTGTGGTTTTCTTCCTAGTAATCTACTCAATTGTCAGTGATTCAACACTTGTTATGGGTACGATTTTTCTTTACCAATGTAGACGCAAAAGAGTAGAACTGTAGATTATATACAGTAACTATAAAAAAATTTTTCCTTGTTCTACTTTTTAACTGAACTTTTAGAGTGTATTGTGGAAAAACAGAAGGGACTCTGTATATCTGTACCCTTCATCAATGCTGACAGTTTTTTTTTTTTTTTTTTTTTGTATAACATGCACAGTTTAAATTCCACTACACTCACGAAAAAACAAAGGTCTTAGGTCAGATTCCCTAGTTATTAGGAATTCCATAACTACCTATTTCCCAATCTCTTTTGCCAATATTTTTCATCTTAGGCTTCCTGTGAATAATACATTCTCCTTCTAGTTCTCCTCCCTGACATACACTTTCCTCCCCCAGTGTCCATAATTCTCAGAGGATTCCTTGACCAGCACATCCAGATTTTTCTTGCTCTCCACAAAAAAGGATCAACTGTAGGTTCCAGACATCAAAGTTCTCAGCAAAATACAAACTATAAAGAGTTATATGGAGATAAAAGACCCAAAATACAATTCAGAAGAGAGAAGCATACTCAAGGTCTCTTTTATAAGAAAACAGTAAAAGAGGAAAGAAAACCAGAGGTGGTTGACAGGGGTAAGAAAACCACACTGATTGCTCTAAGCATTTGCATAAAGCACTTGCAAAACATGCATTATAACATTTTGGCCATACGTAAGGTGAATCAATAACTGATATTAGATCCGTTTTTAAAGTAATGGTGCATTTCAAAGGGAAAGAGAAGCCCCAAATGCCATGGTCAGGTGCCAAGTCCTGCCATCCATACATGTCACTATCCATTCACATCCTTTTTCTGTTTTAGCAGGTCACTGTGCATTCTAAAATGCACTCTAAAGCAGACTTGATCTAGGATGAGGTGGGTTCTCAGAAAACTGGGGCCTTGGTACTGTAAACCGAGCAGTCAGGGTTCCAATGCAGTCCAAGGCTGCTTTCCAGTCCAGGCTAGTGGGAAATAACACAGTTATAAAGAGTAAAAGATAAAAGTCTCCAACACTTTTTCAGGGTCAGGCACGATCCCTATAGTCCTGCTTTATTGGAGACAGAAACTGGTCAAAAAAGAGTGCCTTCTACCCCCTGGGACTCCATTATTTTCCCATGATGCCCTGTGCCACACAAAGGATTGTTATTATGAATAACACGGTCACATCTACACCAAGTTTGTAAACATTATGTAATTAAGGGAAAAGCTCTAATTTTTTAATCTCATTTTATTGGTAATATAATCTTCCCGTTGTTGCAATATACCACAAAAACAACTGGTCTATTTCTAAAGCATCTGAAACTGAAAATGGTTTAAAATTACAATAATGCAAGTAGGCTGTATAAGTATACCAGAAGGTGGTGGGTGACAGAGGGGAAAGAAGAAATCTGTGGTTTATAGTTAAGACTCCTGGAAACTACATATAAAAATTTGGTCAATTAAATAACTTTATTAGTTTAGTCAATGAATAGAAATCACACAACTCCCTAGTGCAAACTGCACACATCACTGCCATTGGAATTGAATTATTCTTTTTTTTTTTTTGAGAGGGAGTCTTGCTCTTGTCGCCCAGGCTGGAGTGCAGTGTCACAATTTCGCCTCACTGCAACCACTGCCTCCTGGGTTCAAGTGATTCTCCTGCCTCAGCCTCCTGAATAGCTGGGATTACAGACACTCGCCACCACGCCTGGCTAATTTTTGTACTTTTAGGAGAGACAGGGTTTCACCATGTTGGCCAGGCTGGTCTCGAACTCCTGATCTCAGGTGATCCACCCACCTCAGCCTCCCAAAGTGCTGGGATTACAGGCATGAGCCACCACGCCTGGCCTAGAATTGCTGAATTATTCTAAGCTCATGAAATATCTCTAGAATGTTCCATATGCCTTCCCATCTGCTATTACTGAATGCTTTGGCCACTTTCTTGCCAATGTTCCTTACAGACATTCTTTCACCTCTGATGAGGTACTGAGTAATAACAAGAAATTGTGGGCACTCAACAACTGTGCACTGGTTAACCTTACTAACCTGTATGTGAACTAAAAATAAGGTGTATAGTTTTTGTGAGACCCACATATAGTTAACACCTAGTACAATGTGCCAACCACTGTAATAAGGATGTTACATATAATAATCCTCAAAACAAGTCTATGAAGTGAGTACAAACAGGAAGAACACTGCAAACAAGAGAGTTCACTTAACCATTACTCAGCAATGATTAGTTTTTATCTAAAATGTCCACATGCAGCCAGGAGAATATCTAAACATACAATAAAACAAAAATGTTTACTACGATATTTTTTCATATGTAATAATATTGCTCCTCATTAATAGAAGACAAATTCTGTTCTCCTTTCTGATTCATGTACCCCAAATTAGTTCAAATTTTATCTGCTAGTCAAGTTCAAAAGGAAGAATAAAATAAAATCTTTCTTTTAGAATAGGTATAGCTAACTTGTTGGCCTTGACACCCAGATGCAGTGGGCTAAATTAGGCCACAAAAATCTAAATGGCCAATGGATTCATACCACCATTCTACATAGGAACTTACTGGACATTTTTTTTCAAACACTTTTATTACCACTAACCAGACAGTTTCCAAAACAGCTAAAAAGGAAAAGTAAAATGGGGGCAAGGTCAAAAGCTGCAACGTATAGTATGAGTTTTTCTATTTGAAGAAAGGCTGAAGAACCCATACGGGGACTGGACCCTCCTAGAAAGTGTGAAAACTTACACACAGAGACTTAAGAAACCAATTAAAGTTATATGAGATTTTGTGAGAAATGGCAAATTACAGGATAGACAAAAAGCACTACTGTGTTTTTATTATAGCTTATACAAGGGCTTGGACATCCACAGGATTGTATCTTGTAGAGAACTATTTAGAAAATGCTAAAATATAGATAAAAATAGGTGTTGCTCTTATGCTAGTTATAAGCTATAATTGGCCTAATGGCTATTTGCTTTAGGAAAGAAGGTTGGAGAAAGGGAAGTCCACATTACCTTTAGGTTAACTTCTGTAGGCTCCCACCAGTTTTCACCTGATTTATGACACTAGCATTCTACTGATATTCTGCTTCCAACTCTCCAGCTCAACTTTTGCATTGTCATTAATCACATGTAAGTATAAAGAACCTTCTACTGTTTGGTTCCTCATTACTCGCAGGATAAAGGCCAAACTCCTTAGCACTGCATATCTACCCTGTCTCTTTTCCAGCTATTGTCCCAAATGCGCCATTCATGTGCAGGTGCTCCCTTCACAATCTCCATCCTGTCCCTGACCAAACACCATCCCTCACATACTTTGGTCTCTGTGGTTGGTCAAAGCCCAAACCCACCTCATGTGTCACAGTGCCTGCAGGTGTAGACCTCACTTCCTTAAAATGCCACGCAGTTTCAGACCTGTGTCCTTGTGTATGTGCCCCATCTAGCTGGAATGCCCTTCCCTCTATTTCTCTGCTTCATTAAATTCATCCTGTAAGACTCTGTCTTAAATTTTCTGGGACGCTTTCCTGATACCCTCACCCTTGGATGGGTCAGAAGCTCTTTGCATACTGCACTGTATTCCCCCACTAGACTAATGAATGAACTGCTTCATCACTTTCTAGCTAAGTGGCCTTGGACAAGTTCATTAATTTCGCTGAGCCCATTTCTTCATGTATATAATGTTGGTATTAATTTGCTATCACTGTAAAATAATCAATGTCAAAAATCACTTTGTAAACAGTGAAGTACCACGCAGGCATTAACAATTTTATCAAAAACCAAGAGAGCACACAGTATTCTTGGTGAATATACTTCAGTTTAATCTAAGGGTAAGATTCATCTCTTGGTTTCCGTCCCCTCTCCAAGGATACCCTGTATTTTTATCCAACTTTCTGACTCCACTAAGTCTTGGTACTTCTATCTTCAGGAAAAAAAATCTATGATTATGTTTAAGTCATTTGAAGGAAACACCGAGTGGGAAGCTCTGAAAGGGTAAGGATTTTCCTTTTCCCCATCTTTCTTAATGCCTTCACAAGAGTACCGTTATGCACATATAAATATTCTGAATATGAAAGAACTGAATGAATATAAACATACCCTGCCTTTAGTGAGTATATAATCTAAAAAAGTGAATGATGTAACAGATCTCACTAAATCTGACCTTATAAAAATGGTAATGAATGCCTTTAGTATCATCTTAATGTGCAGTAAGAAATTAAATTTCCTGCTATTATTTTATTTGGTGATTTGACACATGTTGGAATTGCTATCTTAGTAAGTCATGCTTAACATATGAATGTTTTAACATTATCAGAATCACTGATGCAATTCAATACCTAGTTATTGAATATATATTGCACTAGGCCCTATCAGAGTACAAAGATAAAGGTGACGGGCTCTGCCGATGGTAAGGTCCTAACATACAGAAAGGAAGCTGTCATCAATCCATCTAATAGAGGGCAGAGTGTTGTATGGAGGATCTAAAGGTTGTCACAATCAATGAAGACATCTAAGTTAGGGCATTGGGCCCACGAAAATTAAAAGTGTATATTACATATTATAATACTGGTGGTCAGTAACTTCTGTGACTATTGAATATCTCCTATATATTACATACGTAATATTTGCTGCATGCACTGGCAGATATTTACGGTCACCTTCCTCCTATTCTAACTATAAACCCGTCTGTGTTGTTGTCTAATAAATACTGTTAACACTCATATCACACGTAAGTACCAACCATAGTTCCAAGCCCTTGAAGTATATTTTCTAATTTACTTTCACAACAATCCCGTGAGGTAGGTACAATTTCTCCCCTTTTACAAATGAGGAAGACGAGGCATAGAAATGGTAATTTTTCAAGGTTAAGATGCAAACACAAAAATATGTAAATGAGGACCTAAGAGACAGAATCCAGTATTCCACCGAGGGAGCGGAGCCACTTGCCAGAGCTGCTTCACGCAGTGCTTTCCACCTCTCCGAACACACCCAGTGGGAACAACCTATCTCCTTTCCCTCCAGGGATTCTTTTACTTTTCCTGAACCCATAACTAAGCTGTTGATTCTCGAGCAGATCCTCTCAAACCTTCCTACTCCAGAAGACGTGCCGCTATTTAAATCATAGGCTGTTTAGGGTAAATGAGACAGAACCAGATCCCCAGGTGGACAAAGCTGGTAGGATCACGAAATTAAACCTCGGGCTGCGGATCCGGTCCTGGATCACTTCCAGGGGATGGCAGCAGCACCCGGCTCACCCAGGAGGCGCTACCCCCGAAGGTATCCAGTCCTCCTGACCCCAGGCAGCTTGGGTTTTGCCATCTGCTCGTTTACCCTTCAGCTGCCGACGCTCCCTGCTCAATCTCCATCCTGCCCCAGCCAAACGCCAGGCCTCACGCGCCTCCCTCTTCGCGGCGACCAGTCCCAAACCCACACCGGTGCGCATCGGCCCATGCAGGGGCAGCCCGTCCTGCCCTAACCCCGGCCCGCTACTCACGGTTCCAGTACACCGGGTAGCACTCTCCTTGGGTCACATCCACCTCGTAGAGGCCGCCCCGCACGCACACAGGCTCGATGTTCACAAGCTCCACCATCTCCGGCTCGTGCCCCGTCGTACTCTGGCAGAAGCCGCAGGCGCGGTCCTCATCGTCATCTTCTCCGGAACTGGAGGCTGGGCCCGTGGGGGAGCACACATGGTCGCCGTCCCGGTCCCCGCCCTGGGGCCGGGCACCCGTGGTCTGCAGCAGGGTCCGGAAGGCGAGCTCGATGCGGAGCGAGTCGTAGCCGATGAAGGGCTTCCAGGTCTTCTTGTCCTCCTTGTAGAACCAGCGTACCTCCTCCGGGCCCAGCTCCGTCACTACCTCATAGCGGTGCCGGGCCGCCGGGCCGCCAAGCCGGGTACGTTTCCTTTCCCCGGGGGACCCTCCTGTCGCGCCGCCGCCCCCCGAGTTCGTCGGGACCAGCGGAGGCTGCTGCGGCGGGTGCAGCGACAAGGAGCTGCCGCCGCCGCCGCTCTCACCCTCGCTGTAGTAGCGCAGCGAGGAGCCCGACTCGGCGGAGCTGAAGTCATAGTTCTCGTCACTGAGGCAGGGGTCCAGCGCGAGGTGGTGGTTGTGGTCGTCGGTGCCCGGCGCCAAATGCAG
Organism: Homo sapiens; assembly: GCF_000001405.40. Taxonomy (NCBI): domain Eukaryota; kingdom Metazoa; phylum Chordata; class Mammalia; order Primates; family Hominidae; genus Homo; species Homo sapiens. The sequence continues at coordinate 53,152,907 of NC_000014.9, forward strand.
CCCGGGTTCCCCGCGCAGCAGGGCCAGGGGCACGTCGCCGTCGTCCGGGTCCCCGCCGGGCAGGTGCTCGAAGCAGCAGACGCCGCCGCCGAACGCTGGCCTCGCGTCTGAGCCCAGCTCCCAGGCGCCGCCGCCGCCGCCTCGGCCGTTATGCTCGGGGCTCCGTGGGGACCCGCGGCCCGGGTAATTCATGCTGTGGAGACGCCGCCGGCTGTCCGGCGGCGCGCGGAGCCGTGACCCCCAGCGCTTCCGCCACACATTCAACGCCGCCGCCCTCTCCACCCGAAGTTTCTAATCTTTCAAATCCCGACCCGAGCTGCGGCGGCAGCGGCGACCGCTCCGCCCCCACGAGACCCGCAGCCGCCGCAGCTGCGTTCTGCCGCCGGCCCCATTGTCACGCAGCCCGACGTAGGCGGTGCTTCGGCCCCCGCCCCGCCCCCCGGCCGCGTGCGCCGCCCCGGAAGCCCGGGCTGCACCGGCGCCGCGCGCGGGGTTCCCCCCTGCCCCTCTGGCTGGGAGGGCAGGGTGGTGTCAGGTCGCCCGCCGCTCTTGGGCCTCCTCGGCTCCCTTCCTCCTTCCTTGCGGTCTTCATGCACAGCTGCCTCGGTCCCCCGCTTCTGGAATTCACAGCCCAGATGTGGATAGGCTTTACCCCACTCATCCTTACAATGTGGGTCATGAGCCCAGAGCCTTAAGCTACGTGTTAGGAGGGCCCCAGGATGTAGGATTCAGCATTGCTCTTTTTGACCTTAGGCCCTACTGCGGCCTCGCCTGGACGTTTTGTCACCTGGCCCTGGTGCCTCCAGACAGAACCAGGACGCATAGGTGGGTGGATACGAGGGCACTCCACCCCACACCCATCACTCACCTTGGTGTCACCACTCCCACTGGGAAACTGGAATCTAAACCTTGCTTCATATGCCATCTCATATTATTACTTATCTTTTGATGCTTGGATTTCCTGTTTTCTCAACCTCATTGCTAGGCCCTTGATGGAAACCAAGTCCATGTCAGCCTCTCCCACACAGTGGGTGCGCAATCAGTCTTAGTTGATTATAATGATGTCAAGTCCAACCAGCTGTGGTAAAGAGTGTTCGATTGAGAGGTAGAAAACAACCAGGTTCTAGATTTAGCTTTGCTAACCATCCACAGGCAAATCACATAATCTTCCTGATCTTTTTGGTTTCCTCATCTGTAAAATTAAGATTCTTGGACCAGATGATATCTAAAGTTCCTTCTAGCAATGGAATTCTATGAACTTTAAGGTTTCTTCCAGATTTTTATGCATCTCTGATTCTGTAACTCATATTCTGGGATCAAGTTGAATACAGAGGCTCCCTTATGTGGGTCTTTTTTATTTAAAAAAAATTATTTTGTAAGCACATCACCCTATGTTGAGAATCCAGAGAAAAACCATCTCCAACCTCAGTGTTTTCATTTTAAGAATAGACAGTCTTCACTATTTCTTTTACTCTCTGGTGGAATCAGATTGGTAGGGCAATTTTTCTTGCTCCTGAGATGTAACCTGTCAGACATTATTACTCTGTCATTATTTAAATCAAGACTATCTGAAGTTTGTACAGGGCCTTTGTAGGAATTTGAAAAAAGGCATTGCTTCCTGTGGGCAGATACAGAGCGGTGTTGGAGTTGATGGCTTGTCAAGTAGAATACAGGCTGGATTTTCTGCCCCAATTAGTGCCCTTAGCTGGTTAACCTTGTGCAGTGAACAACCTATCCAACTGTATACTGCAGCTCTGACTGAAAGCATCTAAGATCAGGACCCTCTTTACCACTCAAAAAAAATTTCTGAGTGCCTGCTTCCCAGTTGCTCCTCCAGTATTTCTATTGACAATATGCAGCATATGATATTGGGTATGGGCTTTGGTCTGTTTACTAGCTGTAAAAGCATTCATTCTACAGGGTTTGAATAGGTGTCTGGCCACCTATATGCCAGGCACCTCTATGCTAACTTCTACTATAAGAGAGAATGGGAGAGAGTTCTTTCTTTCTTCAAGGAACTTACAGCCTAGAGGGGGATACAGACAAGTAAACAGATACATTATATTATAGTACAGTATGAAAAGTACTATGAAGGGGATTATAAATAAGGAATATCACAACATTTAAAATATCTCTATTCCTTTATGTTTCTTGATAGAATGTAGCCTAACTATATAACTATCTGGTCAGATTATTTTGGCCAGATTTTAACTCTTGACTACACAATTTCCGTTAACATTATCCTCTGTTAAAAAAAAAAAAAAAAAAAAAAAAAAAAAAAAAAAGAAGTACTAAGGCCGGGCGCGGTGGCTCACGCCTGTAATCCCCGCATTTTGGGAGGCCAAGGCGGGCAGATCACGAGGTCAGGAGATCGAGACCATCCTGGCTAACATGGTGAAATCCTGTCTCTACTAAAAAAAAATACAAAAAATTAGCTGGACGTGGTGGCGGGCACCTGTAGTCCCAGCCACTCGGGAGGCTGAGGCAGGAGAATGGCGTGAACCCGGGAGGCGGAGCTTGTAGTGAGCCGAGATCACGCCACTGCACTCCAGCCTGGGCTACAGAGCGAGACTCCGTCTTGGAAAAAAAAAAAAAGTACTTTCTGCTTTGCATTGAATGAATGTTTCTATTACTTTTAAGTGTGCTTATTTGGTTATTTTGAGAAGATTATCCTCTTGTGGTTCACTGGGGAAATGCCACACTCCTTTTAGGTAGAGTGATCATTTTTGAAGGAAATGTTGATTCTCAACACAACCCAGGTGGCAGAAGAAGGGAATCCTAGATTCTCTGCTGACCTGGTTATCTTGGTCTAGAGCCAGGTGTGTGTAATCTTTTGGCTTTCCTGGGCCACATCGGAAGAAGAAGAATTGTCTTGGGTCACACATAAAATACACTAACACTGATGATAGCTGATGAGCTTAAAAAATCACGAAAAAATCTCGTACTGTTTTAAGAAAGTTTATGAATTTGTGTTGGGCCACATTCAAAGCCATCCTGGGCTGCATATGGCCCATGGGCTGCAGGTTGGGCAAGCTTGGTCTAGACCTTGTTGAGGGGAGATGTCAATCAACATTTGTGGGCTGAGATTGCTTCTGCCCCTTGGAAGTGAGCTTGGGCTATGGCAGACCCATATACTGGGTCCCAGGCTGACAGTGCTCAGAAGATATTTGAGAGCACAATATCTAACTTCATGTGACTGCATGTGTTTATTTCCTTTTTACTCCCTAGCCATCATAGCAAGGCAAAGGTCATGATGTTGTTTTTCTCAACTTTTCTGCTTTAAAAAGTCATGTTTTATCTAATGCCTCCTGTTCCTGCTCTCCTTTTGTTTTCTAGATCATCTTCTCAGGTAATATGATCCTGACCAGAGGGAGATGGGTTGGGGCATCTATTCTAGTCCCCACCTGCCAGAATAGGTGTCAGGTGGCTCCTCACCACTCTACATCATTAGTGTGTACAATGGACACAGCATTATCTGAACTTCCATGGCTCTATGTAAAGCATTCCATTGTATTTTAATAATTACGCAAGACAAGGCCTCTTTCACATAAGGCAAATAAGTGTGATTGATTCAGACTTCTGGCATTACTGGGCCATGCTGCCGCAAGAAACAGGTGCATGTGGAATCAAGCCTGACGGAGTTATTGGTGTGCAGAAAAAAAAAAAGGTAAGCCAGTTGGTTTGTACTACAAAAGACTAAAACAGCTCGTCTGTGTATCCTACCACCTTCCTGTCCCCATTAGGCATATGGCAAGAGCTATCTGGTAACAACGGCCATCTCCTCCCGCGTCTCAAAGATGTTTTCGTGCAATTGTGTGCTGTCTTTCCCTTTTCTTCTTTTCTTAAAGTTTGTCCCTGTTATTCATTTTATTATTTTAGAGATAGGGTCTTGCTGTTGCCCGGGTGAAGTATAGTAGGCCAATCCTAGCTCACTGCAGCCTTGAACTCCTGGCCTCAAGTAATCCTCCTGCTGCAGCCTCCCCAGTAGCTAGTATTACAGGCACAAGCCACCATGTTGTTCATTTTAACCTGTCTTCACGTTTGTAACATTAGGGAATGCTTGATGCCAAGTAATTTATCCTGAGCCAACATCCCACACCTGCACTTGAAATAGCTTCATCCAAAGTGTATGATGGAAGACCCCTATTTAGAATGAAAGAAAGAGGGCAGACATAACCATGCCCCCATCTGCTGTATCTCGTGTTCGATAAGCCATCCACCACAACTTAAATTTTATTTCACTTTTTATTTTTAGGATTACTACTTATCTGGTTTTTAAAGATGAGAGTGTTTTATCTGATGCCCTGACCAAATGAAACAACAACCTAGACTGAAGCAGGGAACATTCGCTGGACATTTCAGGCACTGTGCTAGGCTCTACAGTGAAGCATTCACAGTCTAGTGGTGTCTATAAATAAAACCAAAATGCTAACTTTTAAATTCCTATGAGGAATATAATTGTAATGCCACTATAGCTGCATCACTACCATGGGGTCATTCTCTCCCTACAGACAGATCAATAAACAAAATCAAATTACAATCCAAAGGAAGCAAGGTGGGCAGAAATAACGTAGGGATTCATGATGAATAAAGTCATTAATCCTTCCATTTATTCATTCAACAAATATTTATTGTCTAGTGCTATTGTGTTTTTATTTTTAACTGAAATTACACTTAAAATTTAGAATTATGAAATGCATTTATTTAAAGATTTATAAGAGGCCTATCCACAAAACCATACTTACCAAAACCCTATAAAAATGTTTTCTATTCCTTTTGGAAATAAAGGTCAGTGGTGGTGAAGGTATATATTCAAATGAAAGAAAGTATAAATCAATACAACATTGATGCATACTCTGTGGAGGCAGCCACAAAATCCTCATCAGCTTGTTTATATCAGACAGATTTGGCCATCTTCCTGCCCTTTCATTATAGAAAAGTGAGTTGGGCCATAGCTATTGGCTGCTGTGAGGCCCACATTATGCACCCATTGTAGATGTATTTAATGACTTCTGCGCTCTAGGATTTTTTCCTACCTCCACAGGTAAGTTGAAAGTACATATTTGTTCACAGACTCATATGAGCCTTCAATAAAAAGTAATTGATAATCATAATATGGTGCTGAGCAAGACTTAGAGGCAGCACCTTGCGTATGTGTATTGTCATATATAAGTTAAAAAGGAAAGAAAAGAGAAGCTTTGTTCCAATAAGGATTTATTTCCACTAATGTAACTGTCAGTAATTTGCTGAGCATTTAAAAGACTGAACAGCAGAATTGATTTACTGTTTTTGCAACTGCTGCTTAAAAAAGTATGTTTATCCTTACATCATAAGTCAGCAACTCATTTAAAGTTTCAGCTTGAATAAAATATGATTCTAGGCCGGGTACGGTGGCTCACGCCTGTAATCCCAGCACTTTGGGAGGCCAAGGCGGGTGGATCACAAGGTCAGGAGTTCGAGACCAGCCTGCCCAACATGGTGAAACCCCATCTCTACTAAAAATACAAAATTAACTGGTCGCGGTGGTGCGTGCTTGTAATCCCAGCTGCTCGGGAGACTGAGGCAGGAGAATCACATGAACCCAGGAGGCAGAGGTTGCAGTGAGCCGAGATCATGCTACTGCACTCCAGCCTGGGCAACAAGAGCGAAACTCCATCTCAAAAAAAAAAAAAATATATATATATATATAATAATCATACATATAATAATCATTATATATACATATATATGATTCTAGACTCACAAGCTCCCAAATTCTTTTTGTGGGTCTCCCATTGGGTTACTTGAACCATACTAGATAGCCATTAGGATAATACCATTAATAAATGTAAATGGCATGGTAGAAAAGCAAAATTCTTCAGAAATTTTATCTTCAAGATTCAGCAACATATATTTTAAATATGAGAAATTAGTAACAATGGCCCTGCATTTGTGACTCCTTCACTTCTAAAGTTTAGAACATCAGATTCATACTAATTCTTAATCATCTGTAAGAACTCACAAATAGTCCTTCATTTGATTATTCATATTACTCTGCTTCTGAGGTTAACAATTATAAACTTTGATCACTCATATGACTGTACTTCTCAGGTTAGAAATTATAAACCTCTGGGCCAGGTGGATCATGCCTGTAATCCCAGCACTTTGGGAGGCTGAGGCAGGAGGATCACTGGAGCCTAGAAGTTCGTGACCAGCCTGGGCAACATGACAAAACCTTGTCTCTACCGAAAACAAAACAAAAAACAAAAACAAAAATTTCCCAGGCGTGGTGGTGTGCCTATAGTCCCAGGTGCTCAGGAGGCTGAGGTGGGAGGATTGCTTGAACCCGGGAGGCAAAGGTTGCAGTGAGCCGAGATCATGCCACAGCCTGGGTGAGACTGATATCTCATCTCAAAAAAAAAAAAAAAAAAAAAAAGAAGGAGAGAGAGAGAGACAGGTATTAATTATAAACCTTTAGAAGATATAGAGGAACAGTGTATTCATTTCCTAGGGCTGCACTGCATGGTTTAAAACAACAGAAATGGCCAGGTGTGGTGGCTCACGCCTGTAATCCCAACACTTTGGGAGGCCGAGACAGGTGGATCACCTGAGCTCAGGAGTTCCAGCCAACATGGCAAAACCCTATCTCTACTAAAAATACAAAAATTAGCTGAGCATGGTGGCAGACACCTGTAATCCCAGCTACTTGGGAGGCTGAGACAGGAGAATGGCATGAATCCGGGAGGCAGAGCTTGCAGTGAACTGAGATTGCACCACTGACTCCAGCCTGGGTGACAGAGTGAGAATCCTCCTAAAAAAAAAAACAAAACAAAAAACCATGCAAAACAACAAATATATGTGAGAAAATTGGAGAAAAGGGAAAGTTGAGGTTAGAAAAATAAGCAATCAGGAATAAAACATACAGGGCAAAGCCCTATATATTTGTAAAATAGAGATGGGCCACAGATTCTGAGCTTTCCAGCAGATTAGCTATGTGATTCATAGTCTCAATCAGATGAAAGTTAGTTACTGATATTTGTTCTTCATATGTAAGCAAGGGAATAAAGCATTATTCAGTAGAGGGAATTACTTATTTTCATCTTTAGAATTTTAGACGAAATATAAATTAATAAATATATGTATTTTTTGAGGGAGAGTCTCGCTGTCACCCAGGCTGGAGTGCAGTGGTGCAATCTTGCCTCACTGCAACCTCTGCCTCCTGGGTTCAGGTGATTCTCGTGCCTCAGCCTCCCGAGTAGCTGGGAGTACAGGTGCCTTCCACCACACTAGGCTTTTTTTTCTTTTAAGTAGAGATGAGGTTTCACCATGTTGGCCAGGCTGTTCTCAAACTCCTAACCTCAAGTGATCCACCCACTTTAGCCTCCTTAAGTGCTGGGATTATAGGTGTGAGCTACTACACCTGGCCTGATAAATATATTATTATAATACTTTGCTACAGATATTCTTCTCTTTAATTTCTCAGATAAGTCATAGATGTTTCAAAAAATATTTTTGGGAAGCCAATGGGAGAGAGATTATCTTTCCTAAAACCTTACTGACATAGATACAGGTATTAGACAAGATAATCCAAAGTGTATTATCTCTGTTTTGAAAACCAAGCAAGAACAAAAAACCAAAACCAGAAAAACTAAAAACAGAAAACTATTCTATAGTAGAAAATATCTTGATCTAAGAATGAAAATAGCAGAATGGTTAAATAGCCTATTGTACATCATGACTATGGAACACTATGGAAAGAAGAGCTAAGCTGGGCACGGTGGCTCATGCCTGCAATCCCAGCACTTTGGGAGGCTGAGGCGGGTGGATCACCTGAGGTCAGGAGTTCCAGACCAGCCTGGCCAACATGGTGAAACCCTGTCTCTACTAAAAATACAAAAAAATTAGCCGGGTGTTGTGGCGGGTGCCTATAATCCTAGTTACTCAGGAGGCTGAGGCAGGAGAATCGCTTGAACCTGGGAGGCAGGGGCTGCAGTGAGTCGAGATGACGCCATTGCACTCCAGCCTGGGCAACAAGAGCAAAACTCTGTATCAAAAAAACAAAAACAAAAACAAACAAAAAAACAGCTAGAAAGAATGTACTGGCACAGAAAGAACTCAAAGACATATTATTTATTAGGGGAAAATGTCAAGTTACAGAATAACCCATGGTTTGATCTTATTTTTACATTAAAAACACAAACATTCCCACACTGTGTGTGTATATACATATATGCATATATTTTTATATGTTTACCTACATATATGCAAGTTGTTGATAAAAGGATATGTTTGAATGGATATGTTCCAAACTATCCACCTAGTTAATTCTGGATGGTGAGGGGGAAATAAAGGTAGACCTTAAGTTCTATATCTGAACTTTATATGATGAGCACATATTTCTATGTTACTTGTAGAATTAAAAATAGCTTTTAAAAATAAGTAAAATAGGCCAGGCGTTGTGGCTCACGCCTGTAATCTCAGCACTTTGGGTGGCCAAGGAGGGGTGATCACTTGAGGTCAGGTGTTCAAGACCAGCCTGGTCAACATGGTGAAACCCCGTCTCTACTAAAAATACAAAAATTAGCTAGTTGTGGTGGTGGGCACCTGTAATTCCAGCTACTCAGGAGGCTGAGGCAGAAGAATTACTTGAACCTGGGAGACAGAGGTTGCAGTGAGCTGAGATTGCACCACTACACCCCAGCCTGGGCAACAGAGCAAGATTCTGCCTCAAAAAGAAATAATAAAATAAAATAAGTAAAATAAAAGGGAAAATATAATTTAATGTTGACCACACCTACCTGCTTTTAGAGATTTCTCTTCAAGCAGCCCTCTCCTTTCTGGACTGTATCAATTTAGACAATTAACACATTTGAATAAAATCACTGTCTACAGGTGTCATACAAATCACATGCAGATGACAGACAGAGCTAGGTTCAGTTTTCAGTCCTGTGGAAGACTGACTGTGAGCTTTGAGCCTCAGATTCACCATCAGTTACATGGGAATAATAACAATGCTTGCCTCACTTTGTTGTGGTAAAGATTATTTAAGACAAAATGAGCTAATGTGTATGAAAGCTCTTGTGGTACCTCCCATGACTGTCACTTGCCATAGCTGACAGCAAACATATTATGCAACAAAAGACTTCCTATTTTTCAAAAGTATTTTCCCCTTGCTTTCTTTTTATCTATAAGTCTTACAAAGTAGAATTGGTGAGATTCAGCATCTAAAACACCTTACTTATTTGCATTTCTTTCTATTCCTCTGATACGTTAGTTACTCAGCCTTGTTCATCTCAGAACTGTTGGCCAATCCAAACAGAGATGAGGAAAAGGGACTCAACCTCTCAGTCCTCAAAGGGCCTGTAATTACCCATGTTCTCTTCTCTGAAGCTGTTCATAAACCCTTTTTGGCTTCTCCATGTTAGTGCAACTTCTCGGAAAGGCCACAGACCTGAATTCTAGATCATGTGCAGTCCTTGTTGCAACTTTGTGCTCTCCCCTACTTAATAGTACTGGCCTTCTTAATACCAGTGGAGCAATCCATGGAGTTTTAAAAACTAAAATTTAGCAACTCTTTTTTTTTTCTTTTTTTGAGACGAAGTCTCGCTCTTGTCCCCCAGACTGGAGTACAATGGCGTGATCTCGGCCCACTGCAACCTCCACCTCCCGGGTTCAAGAGATTCTCCTGCCTCAGCCTCCCAAGTAGCTGGGATTACAGACACGTGCCACCACGCCTAGCTAATTTTTGTATTTTTAGTAGAGACAGGGTTTCACCAGGTTGGCCAGGCTGGTCACGAACTCCTGACCTCAGGTGATCCGCCCACCTCGGCCTCCTAAAGTGCTGGGGTTATAGGCGTGAGCCACCGCGCCCGGCCAATTTAATACACTCTTTAATGTGCTTTGTTTGAAATCTTCTTTTGAAGAATCCAGGAACCCATGAGATTCTTTGGTGCCTACAAATTCTGATCTCCTTTAAAGGTCATGAAAACTGTGAGAACCCCATTAGAGCTAAATGAGTTTTAAGGTAAGTGAAACTTCCTTGGAGTTTTCTGATTGATGACCTAGTAGTCTAAGTCGCAGGTGAAAACATAGAATTCTTAGGGAGAAAAAAGATGCAAATAGAATTTTATGCTCAGTAGCATGTTTCAGCTCTTATAAATAATTGTCAGGCAATATTTTCCTACTTGTAAAATGAGGGACATGAAATGATCCTTCTCTCAAGAGTGATGAGTTATTAGAGTAATTGACAAAAGGTCAACTCCAGTGAAGACATATGTATTGAATGTCTACTATGTATCAGCCAAGTACAGTCATCCCTCAGTAGCTGTGGGTGATTGGTTCTAGGACCCCCTACAGATGCCAAAATTTGTGAATGCTCAAGTCCCTTATATAGAATAGCACAGTATTTGCATATAACCCATGCATATCCTCCTGTATACTTTCAATCATCTCTAGATTACTTAATAATATAATACCTGTATTATAAAACACAATGTAAATGCTATGTAAATACTTGTTATACTGTATTATTTAGGGAATAATGACAAAAAAAGGCCCGTACATGTTCAGTACAGATGCAAGCATTGTAGGCCTACCGCATTTTTTATCTGTGGCTGTTTAACTCTGTAGATGCAGAATCCATGGACACTGAGTGTTGACTGTACTCTTTCAGGGACAATAATAGACTGACCCTTATAGGACTTACAATATGGTGGAAAATGTAGAAAATATGCTGTTGTAAAGTGTGAAAGAAGCCCTAAGAAGGGCCTTGAAGGGTGCTATTATGGTATTTAGAGGGATGACCAACCCATCAGTTGGGGGTGAGGATGGGAACATTTAGTTGTAGAAGCCATCCCAGAAAAAGAGATACTGTCTTCATCTGTTTTATTTTGCTATGACTGAATGCCACAGATTGAGTAATTTATAAAGAAAAAAATTAGAATAAAAAAAGAAAATGAAATTTTAAAAATATGAAGAAAAAAGAAAAAGAAAAGAAATTTATTTAGCTCATGGCTCTGGAGGCTGGGAAGTCCAAGAGCATAATACCAGCATTTGGCGAAGGCCTTCTTGCTGGATCATAACGTGGCAGAAAACATCACATGATGAAAAGAAAGAGCATGCATGTCAGCTCAGATATTTCTCTTCCTCATTTTATAAAGCCTGAACAGTCCCATCACGGGCCCCCACCCTGATAACCTTATCTAATCTTAATGACCTCCCAAAGCCCTACCTCCAACCAACATGAATTTGGGGAATAAATTTCCAATATATGAAATTTGGGGAGCACATTCAAACCACAGCAGAGGCCTAAGCCAGGACTTGAAAGACGAATAGAAGATAACTGAAAAGGGGAGTGGAGGTGGAATGTAGAAGAATATTCCAGGCAGAAAGAATCATGTACCTACTGATCCAAAGTCATGAAAGAGCTAGACAAACTGGAAAATAGAGAGTAAGCCAGGAATGATGAGCAGGTGTAGATTACTAGAAAAGTCAAACAATATAAAACAATAATTATCTAGAGCCAGGCACGTTGGTGCATGCCTCTAGTCCCAGCTACTTGAGAGGCTGAGGTGGGAGGATTGCTTGAGCCCAGGAGTTTGAGACCAGCCTGGGCAACTTAGCAAGACCCCATCTAAAAATCATCTAAATATAGCAGATGCCATAACATATTTAAAGGGTGGGCTTAAGTCCCTAGCAATAATCAGAGCTATGGCCTTCCTTAAATCAATTTGATTGGAAGCACTTTGATAGCTCCTCCAGCATCTAGCACAGGGCCTTGCACATAATTGCCACTCAGTCCATATTATTGAATGAGGGCACTTCTAGGTATTTGTTTCATTCCATGACCTGTACTGATATCATTATTCTCATATAGTCCTATCAAGGGCTCATCCTCGGTCATTGTGCTGATTTTGATGGAAAGGACATCGCAAGGCTCAACCTGCTTTAAAACACTTCCTCAGTAGGGCATTTCTTTCCTACATGGTTTGACATACATTCATAACAAAGGTAGGAACACTGTCCTTGTTTGTTTATTTTTTTATTTATTGAGATGGAGTTTCACTCTTGTTGCCCAGGCTGGAGTGCAATGGCATGATCTTGACTCATTTCAACCTCTGCCTCCTGGGTTCAAGCGATTCTCCTGCCTCAGCCTCCCAAGTAGCTGGGATTACAGGCATGTGCCACCATGCCCAGCTAATTTTGTATTTTTAGTAGAGACAGGGTTTCACCATGTTGGTCATGCTGGTCTTGAACTCCTGACTTCAGGTGATCCACCAGCCTCAACCTCCCAAAGTGCTGGGATTATAGGCATGAGCCACCGCACCCAGCCTGTATGTGTATTTTTAAATGTGTGCAGCTGGTATGACCAGGCTTTTCACTAGATATAAATGAGGTCATATTAACTTTCTAATGCTCCAAATATAACTTGAGCCCCCACTTAATTGATTACTAGTCAAATATTTCCCAAATATTCCTGTCGTCCCCCAAAGGATAGCTTATATCTGCTTACAGTGTGTCCACTACAGTAATCATCCAAGCCAACCATGTTCCTTTCCTGCTAGTCTAGCAACACTGTGTTCACCCATATGCCCTGCCTGTCCTCCAAGTAGCTTGAAGGAATCTCATTGTTGCCTTGGTAATGATGCTGTACCCTCCTGATATTGGTGGTGGCCTTGCCAAGAGCATGGTCTTCTGATTCCCTCTGGCTCCACTATCCAGGTGCCAAGCTGAGCAGGGAGGAGTGGACACCCCCAGCTCTGAGCCATGCCTTTCACCTGAAATTTCAAGTGATCCTCCTGCCTCAGTCTTCTGAGTAGCTGGGATTACAGGCTTGCACTGCTACACCTGGCTAATTTTTTGTATTTTTAGTAGAGATGAGGTTTCACCACGTGGGCCAGTCTGGTCTTGAACTCCTGACCTCAAGTGATCCACCTGCCTTGGCCTCCCAAAGTGCTAGGATTACAGGCATTGAGCCGCTGCACCCGGCCAGAATCTGCAACTCTTAAATGACAACTTCCTCACTTCTATCACCCAGGTTTCAAAAATCTTAGGGCCCAGGCCCAGCTAAAGCACTTTAGGCACAAAGGAAACTCTGCCATCCAGAGGGGAAAAGGTAAGCTCCTTTGCTATTAACCTAATAAACTCTGAATTATTTAGCAGACTGGTAAAGGCATGAAGGGTCTAAAGTCTGAAGACCAGCCAATGTCAGAGTATTAAATCCCTGAGACTGGAAAACTCTAGGTAGTTTCATAGGAATCTGGTAGAAAATGGGAAGAACAAAGGATGAGAGGGAAAGCTTCCAAAAACAGATTCTAGACATAAATTATATGCAAGACAAACTCTGACCTATCAATTAAGCTCTAAACTTTTTGACTTTCTAACATCACCCATAAGTTAATATCACAACAAACTCTGAAAGTGTTGTCATAAATATGACTGACACAAGATTACAAATCTCAATAAATAAAGAGGTCCTATTCACAGACTGGAAATCATAATAAGCTTCCATTAGAAAATGGCAGAAATTATGAACGTAAATTAACAAAAGAGGAAATGAAAACTTGAAAATTGTTAAGAGAATAGGATAAAGACTTCATCTGGTACAGTAGCAAAAAATGTAAAGTAAAACAATAATTGCATGCCACTTGTGCCAAAGTTTGTACCTGATCAGGGAGGATCCCTAATGGCATGCTCATGAGAGTAGAATTTATTCTGTATGAATAAATTTTAATGTATGAAAACATTAAAGGATATTTTATCAGGAGAGTAACATCATATCAGCCACCCCCCACCTTTTTTTTAAGGAAAAGGAAGATTAATTAGTCAATGCGATGTAGGATGAATTAAAGAAGATGAGACTGGCCTGGCACAGTGGCTCATGCCTGTAATCCTAGCACTTCGGGAGGCTGAGGTGGGCAGATCACCGGGTCAGGAGATCGAGACCCTGTTCTGGGTAACACGGTGATACCCCGTCTCTACTAAAAATACAAAAAATTAGCCGGGCATGGTGGTGGGTGCCTGTAGTCCCAGCTACTCGGGAGGCTGAGGCAAGAGAATTGCTTGAACCTGGGAGGCAAAGGTTGCAGTGAGCTGAGATTGTGCCACTGCACTCCAGCCTGGGTGACAGAGCAAGGCTCCATCTCAAAAAAAAAGAAAAAAAAAAAAGATGAGACTGCCTGCCATAATTGTAAATATGAGGGAACATTTCCAGAAATGGTCTGTGTAGACATACCGTTGAAGATCTAGCTTTGGATAAACCCATAAGAAAGGATTGAATTACATGCTAACTTCTTCCATTCACTATACTGTCTCTCACCAGACCTTGCTTCCTGATAAGGGATGCCATTATACCACAAGACTTTCTATAAAATGATATAACACAACAACATCCAATAACTCATTTTCAAATTAAATAGAGGTGTCCTTTTAAAGAAATTTCTTTCACAAATATTAGCAGGCACCAGCATCAAGAATTAGAGCACTTCTATTTTCAAAAGATGCTTTTTTTTTGGTCCATGAAACATGAGGAACAATTTTTTTTCTCACCCTGCCTTATGGTGCTGAGAGGAACAATTTTATCAGCCCCCTTAAAATGGCTATGCCATCCTTTTTTAACGGTCCTGCTTTATTGCAAAGGTAGTCTAATGAAATGAGACTTCCTTAAGTTTGGCTTTTCCCCAAAGACAAAGAATTTTCTGATACTTATTTTTTAGAATATTTCAACTTTATCTTAGAAGATCTCTTTTCCTAAGTGGACATAAATATTGTTTCCTTCTATCAAAGAAATAAGCGAACAGCAATTCTGTTTAACTGGCAATAACATTGAGCAAAAACTTATTTTGCCTGCTCAGATTTCTTCTGTTTACTTTCTGTTTTAACTGTGTTCCCCAGAGCTCACTAAGACATGGTGATGCAATGATGGTTTACCCTTTCCCCAACTAAGGCTTGCTTTCACCCCAGCCATCAGTGTACTCAAGTGACAAAAGAATTAATTTTAAAAAATTACTTATTGTTATTGCATGGAGGCCTTTTTCAGAACTCCACCAGGCAGAGCTCTAGGTATGGAGAAACAGAATATTTGGATTATAGTAACTTTCTCTTTCTTATTGTAGGTAGGTGCTTTGGGCCTTGCTGGTCCTAGCTCTCCTTGGCAGTGTCCTTCATAGACAGAAGGAAAAAACGTTAGTCTTCTTGATAGAGATCAGGGAAAGCGGGTGTGTTTCAAGATGTGTAGCTAATAGCAGCATGTGGGAATGAAGGAATGGAATAAGTACGGGACAGGAAATTAGGAAACCTGGATTCCAGACTCAGCTCTGCCACTAATTAGACATGTGACCTCTGGCAACTCTTTCACTCTCACAGGGTCTGATTTTTTCTCATCTGTAATATGAGGAAATTTGTTACCAGTGGCAAATCTGTACACATCTGCAGCAACCTCAAGTCTTGTCTCCTCAGAAGAAAGAATTGAACTGAGGGGCATAAGGCAGAAGGAGAGACTGAGGCAAGTATTATTTGTTTGTTTATTTATTTATTTATTTATTTATTTATTTATTTATTTATTTTTGAGACGGAATCTTGCTCTGTTGCCCAGGCTGGAGTGCAGTGGCCCAATCTTGGCTCACTGCAACCTCCCCCTCCTGGGTTCAAGCGATTCTCCTGCCTCGGCCTCCCAAGTAGCTGGGATTACAGGCACCTGCCACCACGCCAGGGTAATTTTTGTATTTTTAGTAGAGACGGGGTTTCACCATGTTGGCCAGGCTGGTCTCGAACTCCTCACCTCAAATGATTCGCCCACCTCGGCCTCCCAAAGTGCTGGGATTACATGCGTGAGCCACCGCGCCCAGCCGAGGCAAGTTTTAGAGCAGGACTGAAAGTTTATTAAAAAGCTTTAGAGCAGGGAAAAAAAGAAGGAAAGTACACTTGGAAGAGGGCCAAGCAGGCGAGTTGAAGGACAAGTGCACGCTTTGACCTTTTGACTTAGGGTTTTCTATGTAAGTATACTTCCGGGGTCTTGCCTCCCTTCTGCCCTGATTCTTCCCTTGTGGGTGTGCTGTCCGCATGCGCAGTGGCCTGCTAGCCCTTGGAAAGGAAGCATACGCAGTGTTTACTGGAGTTGTACGCATGCTCACTCCAGGCGTTCTTCCCTTACCTGCCGAATGTCCCTAGGAGGTCATATACCAGTTAAACTGCCCCATTTTGCCTCTTAGTGTACATTGTGAGCCCACTCAACCAGTTCCTGAGATACTACTGGGAAGCTGCTGATCACCAGTTTCAGGTTTTTTCCATCTGTTGGGAAACTGCCTATCCCTTGTGCTCGCTGCAACCAATTATTATTTTAGGGAGACAGTTAACCGCCTGACCATCACCCGATGATCGCCTGATGTTCATGGTAGGGGGTGGGGAGGGTGCTGCCTCCTGCCCTGCTCATATCTGCCTGACTACCTAGTGTAACAAACTGAGCTAAAAGTCATTTTTAGCTACAGCCTTTTTTTTTTGAGACAGAGTTGCGCTCTTGTTGCCCAGGCTGGAGTGCAATGGCACGATCTTGGCTCACTGCAGCCTCCGCCTACTGGGTTCAAGCAATTCTTCTGCCTCAGCCTCCCAAGTAGCTGGGATTACAGGCGCCTGCCACCATGCCCGGCTAATTTTTGTATTTTTAGTAGAGACAGGGTTTCACCATGTTGGCCAGGCTGGTCTCGGAACTCCTGACCTCAGGCGATTTGCCGGCCTCAGCCTTTCAAAGTGCTGGGATTACAAGCATGAGCCACCGCGCCCAGCCTATAGCCTTTTATAATTGTTTTTCCAACCCCCAAATCAGCATCCATGACTACATAAACTTTTTGGCCGTTTGACCAAATGGGGACATCTGGCATACTGCTATCAACCAATATGTAAGTAATTGAACTTTGATATATCACGTCAACCCAGAGGAAACTACAGCTATTGAAGTAGCAGGAGTGTCCCGGGGGACTGGGAGAGGGTGGATGTGGCCTACAGACCACTTCCATGATCTCATGTATTATCTCTTTTTTATACTTCTGTATTTTCACAATTATCTGATTTTTGTGTTTTATATTATTTTATATTCTTCTTCCAACCCTGACCCCTTTCTTTCCTTTACAGTGTTTGAGCTTTAGTGTTCTTGCAAAAGAATTTTCATAAGTTGGGGTCTGAAATAAATGTATTATAATTCTTGCTAACTGAAATACGTTCCCAGCCAACTTCATTCATCAGCTCACACTGGGCAAAGCCTCTGGAGCGTGAGGTGGGAGGTGCTGCTTCTGCAGGAGTTCCTAGCACTGGAGTCCTAGGGATAGGACCCTTACACATGTTATCTCAGTACATGGACCCTGTGGTTCACCTGGTATAAGGCAGAGGCTCTCAGTGTACTTCTATGTCCAGCTTGTGCCTTGTCTTCTTGTTTCTTAAACATGTGTTTCTATTTAGTCACATTGCACCTTGTTCTATTAACCAACATAGTGGGTGTACATTTCAGGCTACACATTCAATTGTACAAGAAACATCCTTTTTTTCTCTATTCTGCCAGGTAGTTGAAAATTAAGCTCAGGGTCTGAGTTCTGGGATGTTCACCAGTACCAAGGAGTCAGAATGGAGGTGAGGAACTGGGAGCATCTGTTTTATGTTGTCATCATTTATCCATTCTGGCATCTGCCAAAATTGTCAGTGTTCCTGTCCGATCTTTGATGGTGGATCAATGGATCACTGTTTTGTCTTCCTTGTCCCAAGCGCAAGGCTTCTTCAGGCCTGCTAGCCTTCTCTCAGCTACATTTGTAGTATTTTTTGAGTGACATAGTGACCTATAGAAAATGCGAGGCCCTCTGAGCAGGGGGAAACATCATGTAGCCATTTACACTCTGTCATATCCAGCTGAGTGGGGAGAACTGAAAGACCTAGCAGGCTCCTTAGGTTCTACCTTGAGACAGTGAAGATGGAATGTCTTAGCTGCTAGGGCTCAGGGAAGGGTGAGTGGAACTAAGAAATACTGGGTAGGGTAGGGGAAGAAGGGATGGGAGGAAGGAGAGGAACTCTAGGTTAATAGCTCAAAATATTATTCGACTACACAAATATTAATGGGTCTATATTTTGGGTTCCTGATTTTGGGTGTAAGACAATAATAAGCCTGTAAACTATTTGACTTACTCGTTCTAAAGATGTAGCTAAGATAGGATATTGTTTGAAAAACTTCAGTGCTGTTCATATTAATAGCAGAATTGGAAAGCAGTGATGTTGTCTGGTGCCTCTAGTTTCCTTTTTGTCTCTCTCTCTTTTTTTTTATTGCTTTCTCTTCCCCAGGCATTATCTTGGTCTCTTTGGACCCAGGGTTAAAAATGGAGATATATTCATTCATACTAAAATGTTCTGTCTTGTAAGTGTTTAAATTTTAGCTGGGCACAGTGGCTCACACCTGTAATCCCAGCACTTTGGGAGGCAGAGGCGGGTGGATTACCTGAGGTCAGGAGTTCGAGACCAGACTGGCCCACATGGCGAAACCCTGTCTCTACTAAAAATATAAAATTAGCCAGGCATGGTGGCATGCACCTGTAGTCCCAGCTACTTGGGAGGCTGAGGCAGGAGAATCGCTTGAACTGAGAGGCAGAGGTTTCAGTGAGCCAAGATCGTGCCACTGCTCTCCAGCCTGGGCGACAGAGCGAGACTCTGTCTCAATAAATAAATAAATAAATAAATAAATAAATAAATAAATAATAAAAGAAATACTTAAATTTAAAAAAAGGCAGCCCCCACATTTAAAATAAAGGAATGGATCATTATAGATGGGATTGAAGATAATTGGAGTGTGCCTGAGATTTTTCTGGGAAGAGAAAAAAAAAAGGGAAAAATCCAAAAAAATAAAAGATAATTGGAAAGGAGAGATTTTTATCTATTTCTCACTATTGGAGTAATCACTGCATGGTTCAGAGTAAAGGAAAGGGTGCTCTCTCTGATTTCCCTGGAAGCCTGGAACAAATGAGTTAAGGGAGGGACAACTCAGAGAAGGGAGCAGTTGCAATACAGAAGAGCGCTGGTATACAAAGGTACCTATCAGGCCATCAGGGGCAGAACTGCAGAACAGCTATCAGAAGGAGCCTGTCAGAGTCAGGTATTAAACAGGGCTGGTACATGGAAGTGTTAAGACAGGTTGAGAAGTAGGAAGACTGAGGGTTTCTCAGGTAAAGTCCAAAAGAGGGAATGGGAAAGGACATTTGATGTATATATGCTTGGCATGTGCTGTGGGTTTAAAGATACTGAGCCAGAATGGTTAGAGCTCCTGATGATGATGAAGGAAGTGGTCTCTTTAGTGTTGTTGAAAAATTCTTACCATGCAAATGTGCTGTTTATTGCTTTTTGAAATACAGTCAGAATTGATTTTCAACTGTAGCTGTTTGGTATATACCTTTAGGTATTTATGTCTTAAATTAATACCTTTCAGATGTAACTTTTTTTTTTGAGACTGAGTCTGGCTTCTGTCACCCAGGCTGGAGTGGAGTGCAGTGGCACAATCTTGGCTCACTGCAACCTCCGCCTCCCGGGTACAAGTGATTCTCCTGTCTCTGCCTCCCGGGTACAAGTGATTCTCCTGCCTCTGCCTCCCGAGTAGAATAGCTGGGACTACAGGCATGTACCACCACGCCCGGCTAATTTTTGTATTTTTAGTAGAGACAGGGTTTCACCATGTTGGCCAGGCTGGTCTTGAACTCCTGACCTCAAGTAATCCACCCACCTCGGCCTCCCAAAGTGCTGGGATTACAGGCTTGAGCCATCACACCCGGCCTAACTTCTTTTTAAAAAATTATTTTTTATATATACATATATATGTGTGTGTGTATATATATATATATATATATAAAATAAATGTTGTCATCATTTATCCATTCTGGCATCTGCCAAAATTGTCAGTGTTCCTGTCCAATCTTCGACGTATATATATGTATATATGTATGTATTTATTTTTTTTTGTAGAGATGGGGTCTTACCATGTTGCCCAGGCTGGTCTTGCACTCCTGGGCTCAAGCAATCCTCCTGCCTTGGCTTTCTGAGTAGCTGGAATCACAGGTGTACACCACCATGTTCAGCTAATTGTTGTATTTTTTGTAGAGACGGGGTTTTGCCACATTGCCCCGGCTGGTCTGGAATTCCTGGGCTCGAGCGATCCACCTGCCTTGGCATCACAAAGTGCTGGGATTACAAGCATGAGCCACTGTGCCCAGCCCAGATGTAACTTCTAATCACCTATATTCTCAGTGCAAAAGTTGTAAACAATGTTACCTCTAAGATTTTCCAACATGGTTGAATCCTTTCATTCCACCTTGGCTCAGCAGAATGGGCCAAGCCCAGTTACACAAGGAATTACTTCAAATTTTCTTGGGCTACCATTGTCCTGCCTGACTTGCCCACATCTGGTTTAATGTCTCCTTACTAGATTTGGCTAGTCTCATTGCATCTGTATCTGTTTAGCCAGCTGATTGGTCAGGATTCTGGTCCTGACTACCCTCCAACTGATTGACTGGTCAGGATTCTGAGCTTTGGCACCATTCTCCTGCCTTCCTGATTGTAGATTTTCACTCTAGGCCAGATATTGGCTGCATGTCTCAAGCCTTAGGACCTCCCCTTGGTATGTTATTGCCCAGGCATGAGGACCTTGATATAGCTAATTGGGTTGATGGCAGTCAGAAGTGGGAGTACAGGCTGGGTGCAGTGGCACTTTGGGAGGCCAAGGTGGGAGGATCACCTGAGGTCAGGAGTTCGAGACCAGCCTGGCCAACATGGCGAAACCCCGCCTCTATTTAAAATACAAAAATTCACCAGGCGTGATGGTGTGTGCCTGTAGTCCCAACTAGTTGGGAGGCTGAGGCAGAAGAATTGCTTGAACCTAGAAGGCAGAGGTTGCAGTGAGTGTGAGATTGCACCAGTGCACTCCAGCCTGGGCAGCAGTGCAAGACTCTGTCTCAAAATAAATAAATAAAAAAAAAATAAGTGGGAGTAGAACACAAAGAAATATGTTTTAACTATGCTCTAATTTTCCCCACTTGGTGGCTGGGTACAGTGGCTCACGCCTGTAATCCGAGCACTTTGGGAGGCAGAGGTGGGAGGATCACCTGAGGTCAGGAGTTCGAGACCAGCCCGGCCAACATGGTGAAATCTTGTCTCTACTAAAAATACAAAAATTAGCTGGGCGTGGTGGTGGAAGCCTGTAGTCCCAGCTACTTGGGAGGCTGAGGCAGGAGAATCGCTTGAACCCGGGAGGTGGAGATTGCAATGAGCCGAGATCCTGCCACTGCACTCCAGCCTGGGTGACAGAGCAAGACTCCATCTCAAAAAATAAATTAAATAAATAAATAAATAAATAAATAACAATCTTCTATGCTTCCGTTCTTCTACGTGACAAATCAGCAGAACATATCTTCAGAATCAGGTACTTCTTAAGCGGTAGTAGCCAAAGGGATTATTTGCTGATGGTTAGCAAAGCTTGCTTGGGAGACTTTTCCAAAGTGAAGGGATGGTTGAGATGAGCTAGCTTCAGACCCAGGAGAAATGGATCCACTGAGACAAATGTACACATTATGCCTAGATTTGGATTTTTGAAAAAATGACAGGAAAACAAACAAACTAACAAGTCTGGGTCAAACAACTAGCCAAACACTTAAGAATTGCTGAGGGGGTGGCCTTTTCTGAGAAACACTTGAGCACAAAGGTTAATTAGAAAGACAGTTTCACAAACGCAGCCCGGTCTTGCAGAGAGCAGTCTTACCTTGTACCTAGCAAGGGGCAGATTGGCACAGTGGACAGAGCCTGGGCTTTGGAGCCAGAAAAGCCCGAATTGGATCCCTGGCCCCTTACATTTATGGCTTTGTGCTCTTGTACAAACCATCAAATCTTCCTCAATCTCAGTTTTCTTCAAGCATAAAATAGATTATCTCAGAGGTTATTGTAATGATTAAAGGCAATGCGTATAAATCTCTTGGCCAATAAATGGTTGCTCTTATTTCAATGAAGGTCAAATTCTAGTGACTCTCACAGTCACTATGAGGCTTGTTACCTGGTTATATGGATAATACACATATATTTCTGGATTCCAAAGCACGACTCAGGATGCTTTGTGATTGCCAACACGTTCCACCAGAGGCCTGTTTCCAGACCTTTCTTATTTTTGCCAAGTAGAGATAAATGCTGATGGAAACTGTCACCTGTCACATTCCCAGCCCCCAGGCATCTCCCTAATCTCTCTGTTTCTCTGCAAGCAGGGCTGTCAGGGAAGGCAGATCAAGAGCTCAGACAACAAGGGACTACAGCTTTGGCCTCACTCCTTTGTCCATTCAAAGAGATGTACCAGATGCTTAGAGCTGGCTTGGAGGAACAGGCTAAAGGAGCCCAGATAGTTTAATAGTAAAAGATCCCCGTACACATCGGTTTTAAGCAAAAGACTATATGTTTGTATGATAAAATATTACCACTTAATTGTGGTCCTGGCCAGAATTAATCACAATTTTAATCAGCAATGCTGCAATGTAAGTAAGAAGGGGGTCCTGGGAAAATGCTCTGGACTTTTAAAATTTATCTCAGTGGAATGTGTAGAAAAACTTCTGGGTGTTACTGCTGGCATGGATTCTCACTTACTACATGGGTTCTCATTTCCTCATTTAATCCCCAAATTTATTTCAAAATATGACTTTGCCTCCCGGTAGTGACCATCAGAGTAACAGTGATTTCATAAGGTCAGTCTGGAAATCAGAATAAGTTTTGTTTTCACTGGTGAAATTGGTGAATTGTTTCACCAATTCCTCGATTGTCTTGCAGTCAGTTCAAATGAACGGTTTGTTCATTCAGTGCCTCAATTGCCTCAAGTCAGGGTGTTATAAATAAAGTTTCGGTGCTGCAAAATAAATAGCACTCAAATATAAAACTTTCTTTTTAATTATCAGCAAGGCAAGTTACTCCTACAGAAGGGTGCGCCCTTACAGATGGAGCAATGGTGAGCGCACACTTGGACAAGGGAGGGGAAGGGGTTCTTATCCCTGACGCACATGGCCTCTGCTGCTGTGTCGTTCCCCTATTGGCTAGGGTTAGACCGCACAGGCTAAATAATTCCGATTGGCTGATTTAAAGAGAGTGATGGGGTGAGTGGTTTGGTGGGAAAAATGGTTATGACAGAGCAGGTAATCGGAATGAGTCAGGGTGGAAAAGGTAATTGGAATGAGTCAGGGTAGAGCAGGTAATCGAAAAAGGTTGCTTTGCGAGGAAGTTAAGTTTAAAAGTAGAGGGCAAAGAATTGAACATACTAACATATTGATTCTTTGAAAAGAAATTTAGAATGCATATCTAACAACCCCTCCTCTTGCATTTCCTCACAACTCTTTCTTTTCAAACTTTTTAACATGTCTTGGCTTAGTGTTCTACTTGATTTTCTAAAAGAAGCTTCACTGGATAAGGTGGAGGATAGTTAAGGGAGGTTTTAGTAAGTGTCGTTTTTATGAGCCTCTGCACCAACCCACAGATGCATGGTGTGACACAACACCAGACAAGGATAAGTATACCCATTACGGCTGTGAGGGAAGTAAGAATTGAGGCTATTATTCTTTTCCATTTACCGAACCACTTTTCTAGCCATTCTGTAAAGGGGTCATTTACCCCTGAGTTGATGGCTAACTCATTGGATAGAGCAGTCAGACCTTGCAATGCTTTTGTTATACTTCCGTTAGGGGCGGTGTTGTTTCGAACGAAGGTGCAACATTGAGTTTTAATCATGATGCAGACTCCTCTTTCTGCTAATATCATGTCTAAGGCTATCCTATTTTCCCAAGCCATCTGGCTAGTAGCCCCTAATTGCTCAGCTATTCTTTTAACAGCACCTCTAGTGTAGTTAATAAATCACTGTTGGTTGTAATAGATGTAGTTTTTCCAATTTACATTTTTATTAATTGTCACCCAACAAAATATTGACTCAAATCCTGCAGCTATTTGATTTGGGCTTTAAATTGATTTGGTATTCCCCGTGGGACTCCAGTGGCATTTAAATAGGCGTGAGAGTTGAAAGACCCATAAGGGGCTTCTCTCGCTTTATGATGTCTTATTTTCCCTTCCTCTAGTTGATGAAATGCCAGGGTAAAAAGGATAGCCAATTGGACTAAAGCACAGATGCCACTCCAGTTATTTGGCAGAGTGTTCAGTAAAGGTCCACCACAATACCACCACACATCCACTCGGGGATGAACAAGGGCTGACTGATTGATAAGCTCTTGAAAATTCTTAAGCTCACCACACCCCTTCAGGTCTCCAAGGAATGCTAAGTTTCCTCCCTGTCATGAGAGACACAAAGTGAACTTAGTGTTGGGAGATGGAAGCTGGATGGCCCTTGGGGGCTGACCTGCTGGGTGCCGGATTTTGGGATATAGCAGAGACAGAGGATGGCATGACTTGTTACTTCAAGCTGTAGAATCCTGGAAAAGAGCTACCATGCAGCCCACGCCCAGTCAACTGGAGGACCACCCTAGTGGAAAGGGGACAATCTGGGCCTCTGGCCTGCGGTGTGCACAAACATAACAATTGCTTTTGTTTAACGTGCAGATGGAATATTTGATCCATTCCAACCAGGCATTTGCATCTTGATATCCTGTCTTAATTGCCAAAATTTGTTTTAAGTCTTTAACTTCTATGATAGCTGTCTCGGTCTTGTCTTGGTCTTGTTGTTAAATGGAGGAGGAGCAATTGTTCCGTTGTGAGAGGTTTTGGAAGAAGGCTTAGAGAAAGGTACAGGTGGTGGGGGATCAAAGAAATGCATTTCAAAGAATCCAATAGGGTCTGTCTCTGAAACCTCAGCCCCCATAGCATAAAACCAGCTTAAAGAAGGGAACCAGCTTAGAAAAGGGGAAGAACTTTGAGGGTTTGAGATAATAACCTCTATAGGATTGCACTGGTTTAGCTGACAGTTGGGGGGTGGGGTGGGGGCAGGGTGTCCCTCTAGTAAAATGAATGCATGGTTTTAGGAAATTATAAAAACAGATTGGGGCAGTCCATCCTTGCTCTTTAGTGGTCCACAGAATGTTGGACCAACTATGGCATAAAAGCTGTACATCTGGGAGCAAGACTGCTGGTTGACACTGGGGTCTTTATTAAAATCTCCCCGGATTAAATGGTCCCAATTCACTAATGCCTAGTCTGAGGAGTCAGGAGGGACAGAGTTACTTTTCTGAAGCAGAGAGCTGTCTTTGAGTTGGCAAGTCCCCACAGGGTATAACAAGGCAAGCATTACATGCAATAGTTTGAGGTGAAATTGACTTGGTTATATTAATAACTAGATGGTCAGCAATAGAGCGAGGAAAGAAGAAAGAGTAATAGAATAGATGAAAGAGAGTTAAATTTTTCTTAGCTTTAGTTTGGTAGGGTTTTCCCCTGGGACTATGGCCCACGACTCTGGAGGGGCAGCACTTTTTTGACTCAACTGTGATGAGTCCATCCCCTTTTTGTTGTACGAACAGCCGTCTTGGTGTTTAGCAGCACAAGGTAGGGTCCTTCCCAGGCTGGCTCGAGTTTTCCTTCTTTCTACCATTTGATGAGAATGTGATCCTCAGGCTGGTGCTAGTTTACCAGAAATTCTAGGGGTGCTACCTGTGCTAAAAGACTTTTAGTTTTGAGGGAAAGGAAAATGGAAGATAAACCAAGTATATAATTTCTAAGAAATTGACCTTTTGTTTTAAATGTGGGGACATCAGCAGTGGACTTTATAGTCCTTGGTGCCTTCTTACTGAGAAATTTCCTTTAGCACCTATTTTTATTACTTTTTAGACCAAAGAAAGCCAAACACCGTTTTATATTTGACAATGCTTCCTGTATGATTTTTATACCAGATAAGCTAAATTTCACCTTTATATTAGTGTGTTATTAATGTTAAACTTAATTGTAATAAAACCTTGTAGGCATATTTATTCAATTTTTAATGTCTGACCATAAGGTAAGATTTTTATAGTCTCTTTTTAACCTTTTATAATTTTTGTTAAAGAGCAGGTTAGTGCTTTAAGAAAAACTTTTGTGCTTTTATTTTAATGTCCAGTTCACAGAAAAACTGGATGATACCCCTTTAACTTTGGCCAATATGTTTACACACAGAATTTCCTTTACAATTAACATTTCAAAACTTGTTTAAACCTTTAAAACAAATTTTTTAACCTTTTAATGTAGGTAAAAATCCACATTCTTATGCCTCCTTATAATCCTTTTACCAAAGATATATTTTACTTTCCTTATACACCTTGCACATAAACTGTTTCTTCATTAGTTTTACATTCAGGAGGCCTAATTACTTTTAAATTATACAACATTTCTTGCATAAATTCCCTGTTATAACTTTCTTTTTTCACAACTTTTACAGACAATTGTTTGACATGCCTCAACTTTTTGACTTGTTGCAAACATCCCTTTCTTTAAACAACCAGTTAATTTATTTTAGGACAAGAACTTACCATATAACATTCCTTTTTATATAAATTATCCCCCCGACTATTTTTTCTCGAAGATGATAACCTTTCTTTTCCAAAGCGAACTTCCTTCATGTCTGTGGACTAGGCTGTCTAAGGCCACGGATTAGAAGTTAGGATAATACATGTTACACGGTTGACTTTTAGCAAACTTAACTTTTGTAAAGTAAAGTTACTTTTGTAAGTTTGGGATTTCAATTATTCTTTGCTATTAATAAGACCTTGTTCAGTCCATATGAACTTATAATTGGTATAGATGGCTCTTTCCTAATTCTGTAAGTACTTTAAGGCTTGGCTGAGTGCAACCAGCTGGCATGTTTGAGCAGACCAATTATTAGGTAATTTTCCTAACTCTGCTTCTACAAGAGTTTCCATATCATTTACTGAATACCCATTGTGTCTTTTTCCCTCAATCACCCGGGAGGGAGGAACCATCTATTGTCTTGTTCTGAAGGGAGTTCCTCCTAGGTCTGGTTGGACCTTTGTAAGGTAATTAAGATCCCTGTTAGGAAACCTGCAGGGTTAAGGGAATTTTCAGTGGTTAATGTTAAATCATCTTTTTCTAACAGAATAGCCTTATACTTTAAGGTTCTTGAGTCAGTAAGCTACCTTTTTGCTTCTTTTTTTCTTTTCTTTTTTGACTTAGGATGGTTCTGACCTGATGAGGTGTGCTCACAATGAGGTTTCCTCCAAAAGTTGTTTTTCTACTTTCTTCTGTTAGCAAAGCTGTTGCCGCTACAGATTGAATGCATTTGGGCCATCTGCGGGTTACTGGGTTAAGGATTTTTGATTAGGAAGGCTATGGGTTGTCAGTGGCCTCAGTGCTTTCGGGCTACGCCCTTGTTTACACTGACAACAAAGTGGTATTGGAGTGTTATAGGGTCATGGAGAAGACCTTCAATTATCAATTATAGGTTTTAAATTTACCCTGGCTTTTAAAGGAATAGGGTACACTGTTTTCTCTTTACTACTTCTATCTCTCTCTTTCTTTCTTTCTTTGACTTTCTGTCTCTCCCTCTCTCTCTTTGACTCCCTCTTTGTCTCTCTGTCTCTTCCTCTGTCTCTGCCTCTCTCTCTCTTCGACTCCGTCTTTGTCTCTCTCTCTTCTTCTCTCTCTCTTCCTCTCTCTCTCTCTGCCTCTCTTTTTCTCTCTCTCTTTTCTCTGTCCTCTCTGCTGGTCTTTCCCTGCCTCTGCCAGCCGCTTATGCTGCTGTTCTCCCCTCTCCTTCGCCTTCCCCTATGAGAGCAACCGGCGGGAGTGGAGCTATTCTTTCTTCCCCTGAGAAGAAAGGAAAGGGGAGTTCTGAATATTTTTCTTACTACCAGAGGTTTGTGTGAGGTTCAACCCCCTCCATGGGGATTTCTCACCTCTTTTTGAGGTTAAACCCCCCCCATGGGGATTTCTCACCTCTTTTTGAGGTTCAACCCCCCGCATGGGGATTTCTTACCTCTTTTTGAGGTTCACTCTCAGCATGGGGATTTCTCACCACTTTCTGAGGTTCAACCCCTCCTCATGGGGATTTCTCACCTCTTTTTGAGATTCAGCACCCCCCAATGGGGATTTCTCACCTCTTTTTAACCTCCAAGACATCCTGACTAAGGAGTACTTCACCGCCCCCTGCAGCTTTCTTTCCCTAGTCCCGACTAAGGAATGCTTTACTGCCCCTGCGGTTTCTCTGTCCTTGGTATGTCCTAACCAATGAATGCTTTATCGCCCCCTGGCTTTTTCCTTAGTCCTGACCACCAAAGAAATACTTTACTGGCTCCTGTGGGCTTCTCCTTCCTTGGTCTGTGCACAGAGCCATCGCGGCAGTATGTGAGGATACTTTAAGCTAGGTTGCTGGCCAGTTTCTTTCCATGTTGCTGAGAGCTCAGGTTATTCCTCACACTGGGTAGGTCTTGATTTCTCACCCCTGAGGCTGCCACAAGGGGGTGGGGCACACCTCCTCACGAGAGAGAACCAGAGACCACCCCTGGAGGGGAATGTAATCACAGGCGAGCCCCCAAATTGTTATAAGTAAAGTTTTGGTGCTGCAAAACAAATAGCACTCAAGTATAAAATTTTCTTTTTAATTATCAGCAAGGCAAGTCACTTCTATAGAAGGGTGTGCCCTTACAGATGGAGCAATGGTGAGCACACACTTGGACAAGGGAGGGGAAGGGGTTCTTATCCCTGATGCACATGGCCTCTGCTGCTGTGGCATTCCCCTGTTGGCTAGGGTTAGACCACACAGGCTAAACTAATTCCAATTGGCTAATTTAAAGAGAGTGACGGGGTAAGTGGTTTGGCGGGGAAAAATGGTTATGACAGAGTAGGTAATTGGAATGAGTCAATGTGGAGCAGGTAATCGGAATGAGTCAGGGTGGAGCAGGTAATCGGAATGAGTCAGGGTGGAGCAGGTAATCGGAATGAGTCAGGGTGGAGCAGGTAATCGGAATGAGTCAGGGTGGAGCAGGTAATCGGAATGAGTCAGGGTGGAGCAGGTAATCGGAATGAGTCAGGGTGGAGCAGGTAATCGGAATGAGTCGGTGGAGCAGGTAATCGAAAGACATTGCTTTATGAAGAAGTTAAGTTTAAAAGTAGAAGGCAAATAATTGAACATACTAACATATTGATTCTTTGAAAAGAAATTTAGAACTCATATCTAACAAAGGGACAGAGAATATTAGGATCACTGTCACCACAGACATTATCATCATGAGGAGCATTTGAAACTGCCATTGTGAAAGTATGACAGTAAGAGAAATCTGACGTAGTTAACTCCATCTTGCTTCTCACCTTTGAGTCGTCCTTGATTGTTCCTGAGCATAGGCCAAATTAACCTTGGGAGGAATTTAGTTTATAGTTTAACCTTTAAGCAAGGATGATAACAGCCCTTCCCAAAATTAAACTGCCTTTGAAAAAGCAATGAAAGGCCACGAGGTTAGGATTATGAGAGGGGTCTGCACTCTGCTAAGAGGTAGATGTAGTTTCTAATCCCTTACCATTCTGGGCTCATGTGGCCAGAGGTCACAAGGTTTGTGACCTTCCCAATTGCTCCTGTAGATAACATCACTGTTGTAGAACCTAATATGGGTGTTTTTGAGATGTTTTTCAAACTGAGTACACTTAAACTCCACTGATCCTGTGGCCCAAACCCAGAGATGGACTTGGTGCATGAAGATAGTTTTCCACACCCCTATGATTTCATCCCAACCAATCAGCAGCACCATTCCCTAGCACTCTGCCCACCAAATTGTCCATATAAACCCCTAACATCTGAGCCTTTAGGGTGACTGATGTGAGTGATAACTCCAGTTCTCCCATGTGGGCTGGCCTTGGGTCAATTAAACTTTTTCTCTACTTAATGCCATGGTCTCAGTGAATTGATTTTGTCTGTTCAGCAGGCAGGAAGAATTTGTAGGACGATTACATGTTTATCATAAATTCACCACTGCATGATGCCACATCAAGGAAAATGGGCAGAATAATTAACCATGAATGAAGACTGTGTAACCCATCAACATTTTCACAGAGCCCTGCAGACCTTTGTGCAAATCCTTTAACAGAACCTTGGTAGGATACTACATTGCAACAAAGACAAATTATGTGGATAAAGGGGCAGGAGAGTTGGTAATATTCTAAAAGTTAATTACTATATATATATATATATATATATATATATATATATATATATATTTATTTATTTCTATCTCCTTACCTTTAAGATCTTCATAAAAGGAAAGTGGGAAGCACTGCACTGTAGTTCAGTGGTGTGGTATAATATGAAATACAAGCAGTATCTTTGATCTTTGTCTCCAGTTCCTGACACACTTGGAATTTCCTGAGTTACAGAAATGTCTTTTGTTATTCATAGGGAGCCCCTTAGATAACGAGGAAGTTTATGCTAATAAAGTGATTTAGGGTAGGGCCCCTAGATAGCCTCAGGATAGGGCCAAATCACCAGAAAGACCAAGCGATTAGAGGATTAGAGGGTTGGAAGTTTCAGCATCAACCTCCAGGAAAGGGGGTGGGGCTGGACATTAAGTTCTAAAAACTCCCCAACAAGGATTGAGCTTCAGATAGCTGAACAAGTGGAAGTTCCTGGAGGGTGGTGCCCAGGAGAGGGCATGGAAGGCCTGCACCTCCCCCAACACCTCACCCCATGATTCTCTTCATCTGGTGTTCCTTTTTATCTTTTTAAAATATCCTTCATCAATAAACTGGCAAATGTAAGTAGTGTTTCCCCGAATTCTGTGAGCTACTCTTGCAAATTAATTGAACCTGAGGAGGGGCTAGAGGGAGCCCTGACTTATAGCTTGTCAGTCATCAGTATAGGTGACAACCTACTACTTCAGATTGGCATCTGAAGTAGGGAGCAGTCTTGTGGGATTGAGCCCTCAGTCTGTGGGATCTGACACTATCTCTAAGTAGACAGTGCCGGCTTGAGTTAGAACACACCCAGCTGGAGACACTACTGGAGAATTGCTTGGTATGTGGGGAAAAACCACAACACATTTGGTCATAAAAGTGTTCCATGAGTGTGTGAGAAGGAGAAAAATAGCTTAATTTTCCGTTTTAGAAGTGGTTTCTAGATACTTTTATTTGTAATGCTTGTTCCTTGGTGCTGTAAAGAAATAGCACTTGAACACAAATTTAATTTCCTCAGCAATGCCATTTTTATACTTTCTGCAGAAAGGGCACACTCGCCAGCAGTTTTGCCACGAGAATGCACCAAACAAAGGAGACAGGGTCATTTATAACCTGATGGTCCACTTTACTGCTGTGTCCAGTTTCCATTGGCTGGAATGGGACCTCACATTCTGTATTTGTCCTGATTGGCTAGCAACTTAGAACTTTTTAAAAGAGGCAAGGGCAGAGGAGAACAAAGGAAGGTGGCAGTAACTTGTGGAATGCTGAAAAAGGTAAAAACACCTTCAAATAAGAGGAACAGGCTATAACCTAATGCTTGCTTGGACTAGTGTAAGCATGCCAGGGCAAATATTTAGGCTAAATTATGGGAGCTAAGAACATAAAGTACACTGATTTCTTTATTACGGCTAGCAGATATTTAAGAATGTTAGCACAGATCTTTGAATAAATTTTGCTTCTAAGAGAAGTTACTATTTATTCTTAATTAGATGGGGAGGAAAGTCTTTGAAGAGAAACCTCTACTTTACTTTTTATGCTTTGTTTTTTACGCATCGGTTATATTTAAAAACAAAAATTGGAGGGGCAATTATAATTTGCCAACTTTTAATTTCATCAGATAAGGAAATTAAAAAAGGGATTTACTAGAAACAATTGATATAATTTTATGAAGAGACAGTTTAATACCAAAGTGATAAAGTGGATATAATTCCAGAATAAACAATGGTCTTTCAAACTGAATAATAGTGGCTAACATTTATTGAACACATAGGCAAGATGCTGATCTAAATTATTTGAATGTACTCTTTTACTCACACAACATTATGAGATGGGTACTGTTATTGTTCCCATTTTATAGATAAGGACATTGAGGTACAAAGAGGTAATATGTTCTAAGTCATATAGTAATGTCAGAATTTGGATTTATTTCTCCAAAGTCCATGGTTTTAAAAACTATGCGATAATCTTTAATAAGGCCTTATACATTTAGCTTCCCTAAAAAAGTGGTTGGTTATGTTTTAATTTGTTTGTATTGCCATAACAAACTACCATAGACTGGGTAGCTTATGAACAAGAAAAAATTTTTTTTTTTTTTTTGAGACAGAGTTTTGCTCTTGTCACCCAGGCTGGAGGGCAATGGCGTGATCTTGGCTCACTGCAACCTCTGCCTCCCAGGCTCAAGCGATTCTCCTGCCTCAGCCTCCTAGTAGCTGGGATTACAGGCATGCACCACCATGCCCTGCTATTTTTTTTTATTTTTAGTAGAGATGGGGTTTCACCATGTTGACCAGGCTGGTCTCAAACTCCTGACTTCAGGTGATTCTCCTGCCTTGGCCTCCCAAAATGCTGGGATTACAGGTGTGAGCCACTGCACCCGGCCAAGAAATTTATTTCTCATAGGTCTGGAGGCTGGAAGTCCAAGATCAAGGTGCCTGTAGATTCAGGGTCTGGGAGGGCCCATTTCCTGGTTCACAGCCTGCTGCCTTCTTGCTGTGTACTCACATAGTGGAAGGGGTGAGGTCTCTCTCAGGTCTGTTATACAAGGGCACTCATCCCATTTTTTAGCGGTGTGACTCCATGATTTAATCATCTCTCAAAGGCCCCACCTCTTAATACCATTACCGTAGGGGTTAGGATTTCAACATATGAATTTAGGGGGAACACAAACATTCTGACCACAGGAGTTACATAATTTATTTTTCTCATTTTGACATCAACGGGTATAAAAAAGTGGTCTCAGACCTGCACTAGTTTGAAAATCAGGGTCTCTCCTGAAGAACGGGCAAGAGATTGGCAGTGATCTTGGAAGGCCAGAGTAAGCCTGGACCTTAGCTATGAGGGGCCTCAGATTAAGACTCTTGATGTTATCCTCAAACATTGTTATTCATACAGACACCTAGAGACACCACCTGATTTAAAAGACAAATCATTCAACAAACTTCTGGTATATCATTATCAGAAATATCACCCATAGTACAGTATGACTTGTTTTTCAAAGTAAATTTTATAATTATCTTCTGAGAAATACCATTCTACTGGCATTGGAACCACACTGTGAGGGAGAGAGTACTTCTTTCCCACTCCTGTTTCCATGGAAGGAATAGATGATCCACTCCCTTCCCCAGCAGAGAAAGGCATGGCAGGACACATTTTATCTTCTGCTCTCTCTCTCTTCCTTCAAGGAGATGTGATAACTTACCTGACTGGTGAAGTCACTTAGCTCAGTGCCTTTTGGGTTTGTCTTGCAGAGCCAGTCTATACCTAGAATGCCTACATTTTCTGCTCTTCTCTGTGGTCTGCCTGCTGAAGCATCTCTGCCCATAAGGAGAGGCAAATTCAATTTGGGGAGGGGTGTTAATAAGCCCCTTTGGTTTTATATCTAAAGTCACATTATCCAATGAGTTTTATCTGTTTTAAAGTTAACAATTTGATATTTATTTTTCTGTCTTCTGTGTTTTATTTCTGATTTGATTACATATTTTGGAAGGGAATAAAGTAGCTGTTATTTAAGCCCTAAACTCCAAAATGATGTGGCATCATACACTTGTGAGAGGGAGTTGGGAAGGGGCCTTAAGAGGCCATCTGAAACATGCCTAAGCTAAAGACCTTTTCAGAATAATCATCCTTATTTTTTTATTTTTTTTTTTATTTTTAGCACTTACTATGTCATAGGCACTGAACCACAAGCCTTCTGCAGGAATGATCTCATTTAATTCTTACAGCAATCCTATGAGATAAGTAGTACTGATATTACCATTTTACTAATTAGAAACTTGAAGCTTGGCGAGGTTAAATAATATGTCCAAAGTTGCAGAATGATTCAGTAGCAGAGGCTCATTGAGGGGCAAACAAGATCAATCCAATCCCATTCCTGTGTGAAGAAGACAGACATTAAACAATTAACCAAATAAATAATTGATGATAGCTGTAATGAGTGCTATGACAGGTGCTGAGCCAAGGCATAACTTCTGTTCTGAGGGTTCAAGGAAAGCATTGTTCCCTGACAAAATGACATTCAGTCATGGACTCCCACAGTGCTTAGGAGCTGGCAAGGCAAAGGCTTGGGTAGGATGGTTGGGATGAAAGTAAGAATGAGGAGTGAACAGTATTCTAGCTGGGAGGGTCCAAAGTGGGAAGGGGCATGGCAGACCATGGAACTGAGAGAAGGCCAGCAGGCAGGCTGCAAAGAGGGTGAGGGAGGAGGCAGCACCAGATGAGATTGGAAAGCCAGGTTGGGGTGTCATGATAGAGGCTTTGTAGCCATGAGAAAATGTTGGGCCAGGCCAGGTGTGGTGGCTCACACCTGTAATCTCAGCACTTTGGGAAGCCTAGGCAGGAGGATTGCTTCAGGCCAGGAGTTTGAGACCAGCTTGGACAACATTATGAGACCTCATTTCTACAAAAGATAAAATTAAGAAAAAAATTAGCATGGTGACATATGCCTGTAGTCCCACCTACTTTGGTGGCTGAGTCTCCCACTTGGGTCTGGGAGATCGAGTTAGCAGTGAGCTGTGATTGTGCCTCTGCACTCCACCTGGGTGACAGATCCTATCTCAAAAAATAAGCAAACAAAACAAAGAATGTTGGGCCGTATCTTAGGAACAAAGCAATGCCATTGAAAGGTTTCATAAAGTCAGTGGCATTTGTGCTTATTTCTCTCTGAATGTCCTCCTGCTATTTTCTGAGCTTTGAATTCTGACTACATTAGAGAGAAATTTTCTGTTAAGATGCTAGTCTCTCTTTAACATCTCGTGTGTGTGTGTGTGTGTGTGTGTGTGTGTGTGTTTTATGAACTACTAATCTCCCTCTTAATAAAGGACAGGGTATATGAAGACTATTCAATAGTTGTCATCCTTGGCTGCACCTTCAAATCACCTAAAAAAAAATTTTAAACACTGATACAAGGCCATACTGAAGACCAATTAAATCTGAATCTCTAGGCATGGGAGCCACACATCAGTAGTTTTTAGACCTAGCAGCCTCTGTAATTCAATTTAACAAATGTTTATTGAACCCCTAAATCCAGGCCCTGTGTTAGATGCTGCACAAAGATGAATAAGTGTGAACAGCTGTCAACTATTCCAAAGTTGTAGCTGCTACAGCTGCTATAAAAGGCAGCGAGTCTGAGGCTGCCCCAGGAATCAGGAGGTAATTAAAAGCATCCTTGAAGTCAGTGAAAATAACAACGCATGCGATTACATGTCCGCAGTGTCTCTCCTGGTCTATTCACTGCATTACCACTTGAAAACCTCAGAAATCAGCAACTCCAAGCCAAGAGAGTGGATACTCATTCTCATGGTATCGTGTGTGATGATTCAGATGAGTCCAGGTAACCTGCTGCTTGCTTGCCTGGGAGAGTTAGTTGGAGAAAGAAGGCAACACATCCAGTTATTCAAATATTTATTGAGCACCTATGTTGTGCTAGACACTGGGGCTACAAATCTTATCCACCTTTCCCAAACTCGTTGTTCACAGAAAACAAGGAATCTAATCTGTTTTTTTAGTTTATTGTATAAGAATGACATGCCTTCTGATTGTATTTCAAAAGGCTGATCTGTGGATAAAAATAGGTAATAAATATTCAAGTGCTTTGGGAAAAAAAAGAATTCATGATGCATCATGAAATTCTGCATCTTGAATCATGAAACCATAACCTTCAAGGTTGGCTATTTATGCTATTGATTTTGAAACATATTTTCAGAGACCAGGAATGATTTCTTTTTCTCGTTTTATGAATTTTCTAGCATTGTATCAGGCAGAATAAGGCATTTAACCAATGTTATTTTGATTATGATTAAATGACTATTCAAGCTAGAAAGGATACATTTTTTTTTCTGAACAAACTTTAACAAAAAAAAAGACATTCCATTATGAAACAGAACAAATGTTGAGGCCAGTACAGATTTGAAAGTTTTAAAAGAATGTAGAATCATGTCTCATTTTTAAAGCTCTAGATATAGCCTAAGTTTGCAATGGCCTCTGGGAGCTTGAATTCTAGGATTTCAACCAGAATAAGATAGGAAGACATCTTTGTTTAATAAATATTCAAGTTTCCATTTAAGTGCCTTAAGTGCTTCTCTTACTTGGCTCCACTTTGAGATAACGTGAGAGAAAATAAAGACATATTTCATAGCTTAGAGATTCTTAGATGGGAGGTGGAAAGAATCCAGAAGTCTATCCAGAATGACCTAGAGAATTTCATTGGAGAGCACCTGCCAGGCCTGGGATGGGGTGGTGGTGTGGGGTATAACTGGGGATGGGGGACTGGCATGGATGCTTTTCATTTTCTTTTACTTTTTTTTTTTGAGATGGAGTCTTGCTCTGTCACCCAGGCTGGAGTGCAGTGGCGTGATCTCGGCTCACTGCAACCTCCACCTCCCAGGTTCAAGTGATTCTCCTGCCTCAGCCTCCTGAGTAGCTGCGACTACAGGCACCCGCCACCACACCCAGCTAATTTTTGTATTTTTAGTGGAGACGGGGTTTCACCATGTTGGCCAGGATGGTCTCAATCTCCTGACCTCATAGTCCGCCCACCTCAGCCTCCCAAAGTGCTGGGATTACAGGCATAAGCCACTGCGCCTGGCCCATGGATGCTTTTAAGAAGCTCTCCTAATGGTTCTGATGCCTATTCTAGTTCAGAACCACTTATCAAGTCCAATTACTCTGTTTTATAGATGAAGAAACTAAGACCCAGAGATCTGAAGTGAGCTATTCAAAGTCTCACAGCTAGTTAGTGACAGAACTTAATATTATGCTTTCTATTATACCACATAGATTTCTATATTTCTGCTTACATTGCTATTGCCTCAGTTCCACTGGCACAGCCTTTGCTCTGTAAATAATTCAAACGTATTTCTTCTCAGGTGTTGTATAAGAGGAGAACTTAGCTCTGAATGGACTAGTATACCTGATCACCAGCAGCAGTTAAAAGGTATGATTATATATGCCTCAAACAATCATCTAATAAAAGATAGGAGTTTAATGGTCTTCAAGGATCTAGAATTAAAAGGAAACTGAAAAATCATTCACTTGGGGTGTATGTGTGTGTGTCTGTGTATAATATGTTATATATATTTATATAGAAAATTATATATATATATATAATTTTTAACGGGGACTGAATCTTGCTAAGTCCTCAGGACTGGTCTTGAACGATTCTCCCGCATCAGCCTCCCAAAATGCTGGGATTACAGGTGTGAACCACTGTGCCCAGTTTGTTTTTTCTTTTTTCGTGGAAAGTACACACTCAAAAAGGGGGAGTGTGGGTGTACTCAAGAGAGAGTCGCCCACTTGGTTTAAAAAACAGAACTCTGTTATAATACAGCCTTTTTTGTTCTACTCTGACTTTAGAAGTGAAATATACTTATGTTAATTAAATAATATCAAAAAACCATAACATTATGTTTGAAGACCACATTTAAAATTTTCTCCTTTTTTTTTTTTTTTTTTTCAAATAGGTTCTTACAGGGTCTTGCTCTGTCACCCAGGCTAGAATTCAGTGGCATGATCGCTTCTCACTGCAGCCTTGACCTCCCAGGCTCAAGCCATCCTCCCACCTTAGCCCTTGGAGTAGCTGGGACTGCAGGTGCATGTCACCATGCCTGGCTATTTTTTTTTTAAGTTTTTATAAAGAGAGGATCTCACTATGTTGCCCAGGTTGGTCTCAAACTCTTGGGCTCAAGTAACCCTCCAACCTTGCCTCCCAAAATGTTGGGATTACAGGTGTGAGCCACCATGCCTGGCCTAAAATTTTCTTTATAATATAGTAATGTGGTATAGGCACTTTCTTCCCACCTGCTGCTAAAAATTGGGAGATAATTTACCCTCCATCTCAATTTTAAGTATGATCAGAATTATATATCTAATTGAACTAAATACACATTGAGTAGAAAGTTATGTCACAGTTCGAATTTCACTCATATTCTGACTTATATCCATTTTGAAATACTCGAGATTAGTATACACAACACTATTTATTCTAGTGTTAAATATGAATAGTTCCAGTGAAACTGCAAGTATGTTTGTTTCAACAGCTCCGGTTTATAAGCTGACTAATGTGTTTTTGTGCACCTCTTGGCTCTGCTCTTTCTAAAACTGCAATTGCCCAGCTGGCTTAGCACAGGGGTAGGCTGAAAGAGCAGTGTGGGTGGGAGGTGTGTGTGTGGGTGTGTGTGTGTGTGTGTGTGTGTGTATGATGGAAAAAGAGACAAGGTTAGAATAGGGAGTTCCACTGAACTACTGTGAGTAATCAGTTATGCTACTATGACTTCCAGGTTCCCATTCAGTGAATAACCCTTTACTTTCTTCTGTCCTATGCAGCTTTCTCCTTTTTATTTCTTAGAGATACAATGTTATACCACTGATGTTAGCTTAAATTATTCGTAGTACCATAAAAAGCATTAAACACCAAGTAACAAAGGGCCAAATTTCCAGATGCTCAAAACCTTGAGAAAAATAAAATCCATACCATGAAGCTATCTGTGATTCCTTCCTCAAAGTATGACCCTTCCTGGACCCTTATAGAACTTTGCCTGCGCCCTTGTAAGGCCACATGCCATCTTCTGCTTTGTACCCTTAACTCCAGAATACAATATAATTGTGTTGCAGCCAGTATGTATTTCCCATAGTCCCTAATCTGATTCCTTGTACATAGTAGGCACTCATAAAGGAGTGTCAGAAGACTGTATTTTTAAGATTAACTTGGGGAGGGGGGGTCTCTATTGATAAAGGAAGTGGCATAAAACATTTATGAAAGGCTTAAATGTACTGGTTTCATTAAAGAGCTATTCTCACATTACATAGGCATCAAATAGATGATTCAAGAGGGAACAGGTTTCTTTCAATTGGTACGTCATGTCATGGGGCTTTGAAAGGAGATACACTTAATAATCTAGAAAGCTCTTAAGAGAAGCTCCCTAGCTCTTTAGGAAAGTTAAAAATAGGAAAGGTGAAGACCACAATGAAAACGTTTATGGAGGTTCTCTTTACCTCTATCTCTGATATATTAAATAATGTTCCAATTTGACAACCTCTCAGAGATAAAATAACCTGGCTCCAACTATCAACTCCCTGAGGTTCTCTACCTCCCTGGTTCTAAAAGTAAGGTTCTGAACCAACAACCAACAGTTCATTCCCTGTGGGAATTTGTGAGGAATGCAAAATTTCTGGCCCCATCCTGGACTTAACTGAATCAGGAACTCTGGGGTGGAGCCCAGCCATCTGATTATGACAAGCCTTCCATGTGGTTCTATTGCAAGCTAAAGTTTGAAAACCACTGCTTCACCCTGACCCTTCCAGACTGCAGTGCACTAGTAGCTCTGGTCACCTGGGAAATGCTCCCTTAGGCCTTAGGCTCTTGAACAGAGGAGAAAATAAATGTTTGTGAAGAGGGAATGAAGCTTACCTTCTTTTTTGTCCTGTTAAAATAAAAATACCCTGTCTCTCCACTAAAATAACACCTTAATTATGTATTCTAATCTTAATAGGGATTTGCCAATTCAGCTGAGAGCTAGAATAGTGCTTAGTTGAACACTGACTTGATCTGGTATGCACTGGACTGAGCCAGCCTAAATTGACGTTTGTCTTCTGTCAGGGAGGAAGGAAGAAGGTTTATATATGATCGATTGTGTTACTACACTCCTTCTTCCAGGCCAGAAAGTAAGATAATCAATCATATAAACTATTTTTAGAAGTGTGTTTAATTTACATAAGAGAAAATATCAGACTTGCAAGAGGCCTTAGAAACCTATGATGATTTTTCTGCTCTCCTCATTTTACTAAGTTCTCACAGCTAGTTGGTGATAGAGTCAGGACCACACACCAAGTTGTTATCATTCATAAAGGAGTGCTTGTTCCAGGGATTCTAACGAACAGCCTGCAGTGCCAGGAATACCTTTTATCACTCAACATTTATTTACATTTCAACATTTTCCTTATGCTAAAGGGATGGCAAGTCTAAATTTAAGGTAGACCAAAGATGAAAAGCTAACATCTTGCCCTCAAGGAATTCACAGTCATCTTAATATCTGTTGAAGTTCTAGTTGAAGAGCTAATTATACTCATTCATTGTTTTGTCAAATAATCCCAGAAAAGTGGCTAAAAATCTGTTGGATTGAAACCACCTTTGCAAAATTATGACAGAGACAATGAAAGATCTAACTTAATTGGCTTCATCTTGTTTCTAACCTCCAAATTGTCCTTGTTCATTCCTGGGTGTAGGCTGAACTAACTTTGGGAGAAACTTAGTTTATGGCTTGTAGTTTAAAACAAAGATGATAACAGCCTTTTCCCAAAGCAGACCTCCTTCCTGCCCGGGGAATAGATTGACTTTGTAGGACTTACTTTAGCCTCATCTGATTTTGTGGTCCCCACTCAGGAACTGACTCAGCACAAGGCAGCTTCGACTCCCTATGATTTCATCCCTGACCGTCAGCACTCCTGGCTCACTGGTTTCCCCCAACCCACCAAGTTGTCCTTAAAAACTCTGCTCCCGAATGCTCGGGGAGACTGATTTGAGTAATAATCAAACTCCGGTCTCCTGCACAGCTGGCTCTGCGTTAATTACTCTTTATTGCAATTCCCCTGTCTTGATAAATCAGCTCTGTCTAGGCAGTGGGCAAGGTGAACCCATTGGGTGGTTACAGTATTAGTTATAATTATTTTGGTTGCAAGAAATAGAAACCTACCTGAGCCAGCTTAAGCAATTGATTACAGCGGGATCAAAGAAAGATGAACAAGCAGGCCTCAAAAGGGTAGGAACTGGGATGTGGAGCATTGTAATGTGCCTAGGAAGTCCCCTTTCTGGGTCTCCTTCTGCTCTGCCTCTGCCTACTCATGAATATCATTCTTTCAGGGAGCAGCATGGTATTTTTCTGTCTCACAGAATACATGGGAGTAAAAAAAAAGCCACAGTCAGTCATGAGTTTGTATACATGTATGTATTTATTTATTTATGAGACAGAGTCTTGCTCTATTGCCCAGGCTGGAATGCAGTCATGCAATCTCGGCTCACTGCAACCTCTGCCTCCTGGGTTCAAGTGATTCTCATGCCTCAGCCTCCCAAGTAGCTGGGATTACAGACATGCACCACCACACCCAGCTAAATTTTGCATTTTTAGTAGAGATGTGGTCTTGCCATGTTGGCCAGGCTGGTCTTGAACTCCTGCCCGCAAGTGATCCACCTGCTTCAGACTCCCAAAGTGCTGGGATTACAGGCTTGAGCAACTGTGGCTGGTCAGTCATGAGTTTTATATGTTGAGTATAGAAATGCCCACTGAAACGCTCAATAGTCTTCTTCTCTTTCTTCTTTTTTTTAGAGACAAGGTCTCATTATGTTATGTTGCCCAAGCTGGTCTCAAACTCCTGGGTTCAAGCAATCCTTCTGCCTCAGCCTCCTAAGTAGCTGGGACTACAGGCATGAGCCAGCATGCCCAGCTTTCTTTTTTTATTTTTAACTAATTTTTAAAAACTAAGTTTAAACTAAAAAGGAGAAAAGAGCTTTATTGAGATATAATTCACGAATTCACATAGCATAAAGTTAACAAAGTATACAATTGAGTGCTTTTTGGTAAAATTGATCCTTATTATTCATGGATTCTGAATTTGTGAATTTACCTATGAGCTAACATTTATTTGTAACCCCAAAAATCAAGATGTATCACACTTTCCTAGTCATTTGAAGATGTGTGCAGAGTGGCAAAAAATTTGAGTCACTGGATATGCGTATTCCAAGCTAAGTGTGAGCAAGACAATGCTCTGCCTTCTGGTTTCAAGTCATACTATAGACAAGGGTCCTTTTCATGGTCAACAGAACCAGAGGAGCTGTTACCTGGACATTCTGATAAAAGAATTGCTATATATGATTATAAGTAGCAAAACTCATTTAATTTATCATGCAAAAGTAACTATTTACCAATTCACACTGACTTCTAAATTAAAGTGAGTTAAGGATGGGTTTACTTTTTCTAATTTAACAACTCAAGGAATTTTATTTTTACATTCAAAAAGTTTTCTTTGGGCTGGGCGCTGTGGCTCACGCC
The DNA here is from genome assembly GCF_000001405.40 of Homo sapiens. Lineage (NCBI taxonomy): Eukaryota > Metazoa > Chordata > Mammalia > Primates > Hominidae > Homo > Homo sapiens. The sequence goes on from NC_000014.9 coordinate 53,195,044, forward strand.
TGTAATCCCAGCACTTTGGGAGGCTGAGGTAGGTGGATCACGAGGTCAAGAGATGGAGATCATCCTGGCCAACATGGTGAAACCCCGTCTCTACTAAAAATCCAAAAAATTAGCTGGATGTGGTGGTGCGTGCCTGTAGTTCCAGCTACTTGGGACGCTGAGGAAGGAGAATCGCTTGAACCTGGGAGGCGGAGGTTGCAGTGAGCTGAGATCGTGCCACTGCACTCTAGCCTGGCAACAGAGCAAGACTCCATCTCAAAAAAAAAAAAAAAAGTTTTCTTCTTTTTCCTTTTTCACTAGATAATCTTCCTTGAGAATGAACACTTACATGGTTCTGACTATTGGCCAGGTACTTTTCTAAGTGCTTTATTTGCTCATCGGATATTTTTTAAGTGTCAGGTAGTCTTTTTTTTTTTTTTATTTGAGACGGAGTCTCACTCTGTCGCCCACACTGGAGTGCAGTGGCGCGATCTCGGCTCACTGCAAGCTCCGCCTCCTGGGATCACGCCATTCTCCTGCCTCAGCCTCCCGAGTAGCTGGGACTACGGGCGCCCGCCGACACGCCTGGCTAATTTTTTTGTATTTTTAGTAGAGACGGGGTTTCACTGTGTTAGCCAGGATGGTCTTGATCTACTGACCTCGTGATCCGCCCACCTCCGCCTCCCAAAGTGCTGGGATTACAGGCTTGAGCCACCACCCCCGGCCAGTGTCAGGTAGTCTTCTAAGTGTTTTGGATGCATCAGTGAAAAAGAAAAACAAAAATTTTTTTGCTTTTGGGGAGTGAGCAGATTGACAGTAAACCATAACCACAGTAAATGAGATATAATATGTTAGAAGGTGAAAAGTGTGATGGAAAAAATAGAGTAGGTTAAAGGATATCAGGAGTTGAGTTTACTCCCAAGAGATGGCATTAATCAATTCCTGAGGGATCTGCCCCTATGCCCGAGATTGCACCACTGCACTCAGCCTGGGCAAACACCACCCACTAGGCCCCATCTCCGAACACTGGCAATAAAACTTCAACATGAGTTTTGGTGGGGACAACCCATCTTCAAACCATAGCACCATCTTCAGACACGTGATGCTCAATCATGGCAACCCACAAGGGTAATGAAGAGGTGGATTGATCACGTCCCAGATGTTAAGCATCGCACCCTGCAGGTCAGGCTTAAAAATGACTACAAGAGAGAACACAGAAGTGAAGCCATCTATAGACAAACAGCATGTCTTCTACATTAACATGACTTTACCATTTAATTGTTTTAATCAAGATAGCTTTATTATTTCAGGATACTCTTAGAAACATAAAAATCGCAATTAACTATATTTTCCATTTCAAGAACTTTGTTAAAATTTTATTTAAATAAGCATCATGATAATTTGCTCTCCAAGAGTTTCTAAAACCTTTGCTTTAAAACCCCTACCTTGCTACGTACACAAATTATGATTATAACGTGATTCTTACCCAGTATTAATCAAACCGCCCCCTATTGGAAGACCTGTCTTAAACTCAATCTGTAAGCCCCAAAAACGTCCTGACTTTGCATTTCTGCTCCAAGATACTACTGATAATTTATCTCACTACTAAGGTAGTGCTCTCCAATACTGCAGTAATTAATAAACCTCAGCTTTGCCTTATCAATAGATTAGTTTGGTTGTATTCTGAGGGAGCACATATTCAACAATATTTGGCCTGGGCACCTGCCAGTCGGACGACATGCTGGCTGTGTCACGGGAGCAGGTCCTGGAAACCCTGCCGTGCCTAGAAATACCCTTTAGTTAATGGATTGTGGGAGAGGTAAGGGTGGCTCCAAGGGTGGAGGAGAGTTGGGGTGGGTGGGTCTGGTGGGTGGAGCAGTGTTTTGGGCAGCATCTGTGTACCAACTGGCTTAGAAGTATTTCAGTGCTTTGACAACTGGCTAAAACATTATCCTGGCTATAGTTGGTGGGTACCAGTTAAATATTGATCCTTGGTGAAATGATCAAAAGAGCAGATGGGAAAAAGTATGACTCATGGATGCCAGCATGTATAGATACCTATTCTAGGGAATAGGTGTATTTGTCTATTGAATGCCTTGCCAAACTCTAAACCCCCTGAAACTTAAAAGTAACCCTGGGAAGTAGGACATCAAATTGGTGAAGATTAAGTTTTGCCACTTGGTTGAATATAAATTCCATGTAGATATTATATCTAGCTCTAGAGAAATAAAGTGACATTCTTAAAAATACATTTCAGTTTTTTGGACTGAAATTTAGAAGTGCTATGTATACATTTTTTCTTTATATAAGTGAGATCACACTTTTTCCCACTTAAGAAGTCTATAATATAGCTTTTCAGTGACCTACCTCATTTTTCAATATGGTTGCATAGTATTTTGCGTAGTGTTTTATGGTATGAATGTACTAGGTTTTATATAACCACTTCTATGATGGACATTTACATTATTGTAGTCATATTGCCATGGGAAACACTGCTGTAAAAAATATCCTTTTATATACATCTGAGGAAAAATTCCTACAAGTAGAATTTCTGAATCATTTATTGCCTAATTACCTATCAAAAAGGTTGTATCAATTTACTTTTCACACTAACAATGTATGAAAGTTGTATTTCCTGTTATTATTACCAACACTAGGTGCAATAGTTAATGTTAGGTGTCAACTCGATTGGATTGAAGGATGTCTAGATAGCTTGTATTTGTGGTGTGCTATGGGGAATGAAGAAAGTAGTGAAGAAAGTAGTATTTCCCACCAGGGCAGAGAGAGGTGGCAGCAGCTAGCAGGATACAGGGGACTACAGGGAAGTGGGCTGCAGAGTGGACACACCAGAACAGCCTACCTCCTCCCCATTTCCCCTACCTCAAACACACCCAGAGAATGTAAGCTCCATGAGGGCAGTACTTTTTTTTTTTTAACCTGCTTTTCATGTTATATTTCTAGTGCCTAGAATAAGAGCTTGACACATTGAGTAACAGTAGTTACTCAATAAAAAGTTGTTGGAATGAATGAACAAAAATCCTAGCAGAGGTTCTGAACCACCTACAGTGCTTGGAATGGGGGTTTGAGCTGGAGCATTTGGATGTTAAAGCAAAAGGTGAACCCAGAAAGATGGAGACTTGAGAATCTAGTGTTCATTTATCAGCCCTGAATCTTGGCTGCTTCAGCTCTGGTCTCTTATGTGAGATGTCTGTTGTGTCTATCTGAATTTATTCTCTATGGATAAGCAATTTGTGATACTGCAGTGATGGAGAGCTCTTTAAAATCCCTAATTGCTTCCTAAATGGAATCTCAGCTACAAATGGATCTTTCAGTGCATATTACCATGACATTTCCTATGTAAGTCTGTAACCACCCAATGGGTTCATTTTGCCTGCTGCCCAGATAGAGCTGATTTATCAAGACAGAGAAATTGTAAAGAGAAAGAGTTTAATTCACACAGAGCTGACTGAATGGGAGACTAGGGTTTTATTATTACTCAAATCAGCCTCTCCTGAAATTCAGAGGTAGGGTTTTTCAAGGATAGTTTAGTGGGCCAGGGAATGGGTGCCACTGATTAGTTGGGGATGCAATCACAGGGGTGTGAAAAACAGCCCGCTTCTGGGTGGGGGCCACAGGATGGTTTGGTGGGTCTGGGTGGAGCCATCATCCTCAGAAATAGAAAAATCTGAAAAGACAGCTCAAATGGCCAATCTTAGGTTCTATGACAGTAATGTTATCTGCAGGAGTAATTAGGGAAGTTGCAAATCTTGTGACATAAATAATAATGGCTGATAATCGTTTATGTCCACACCAAAGCAGAATTCAGGCTCCTCTCATCCTCCTAACTTGGTGGTCTGTCACTAGCTTTACAAAGGCAGTTTAGTTTTGGGGGAGGGCTATTATCATTTAAACTATAAATATCTCTCAAAGTTAGCTTGGCCCAAGCCCAGGAATGATTAAGGGAAGTTTGGGGGTTAAAGGCAACACAGGGGTTGGTTAGATGATATCTCTTTCAGTGTCTTAATTTTCTCACTGTTATATTTGCAAAGGTTGGTTCAAGTCTGTTAAATCAATCCCTCAGGGATGTTACACTTACAATGTGGTGGGTTTGGGGGCTCAAGAGTGGCATCTCAACAAGAAATGGCCATTGTAAGTCCTACAAGATGAGAATTAGAGACCTGATGAAGAAGTCTTTCAGAATCTTGGATGCCACCACCATAGCTGTGATTCAGGTGATCATCAGTGATATGGGTTGGCTGTATTCCCATTCAAATCTCAACTTGAATTGTATCTTCTAGAATTCCCACGTGTTGTGGGAGAGACCTAGAGGAGGTAATTGAATTGCATCATGGGGATTGGTCTTTCCCATGCTATTCTCGTAATAGTGAATAAGTCTCATGAGATCTGATGAATTTGTCAGAGGTTTCCACTTTTGTTTCCTCCTCATTTCTCTCTTGCTGCTGCCATGTAAAAAGTGCTTTTGCCCTCTGCAATTATTCTGAAGCCTCCCCAGCCATATGGAACTGTAAGTCCAATTGAACCTCTTTTTCTTCCCAGTCTTGGGTATGTCTTTATCAGCAGCATGAAAATGGACTAATATAGGAAATGGTTACCAGTAGAGTGGGATGTTGCTGAAAAGATACCTGAAAATGTGGAAGTGATTTTGGAACTGGATAACAGGCAGAGGTTGGAACAATTTGGAGGGCTCAGAAGAAGACAGGAAAATGTGGGAAAGTTTGGAACTTTCTAGAGAACTTTCTAGAGACTTTCTTGAATGGCTTTGCCCAAAATGCTGACAGTGATATGGATGTTAAGGTCCAGGGTGAGGTGGTCTCGGATGGAGTAGAAGAACTTGTTGGGAACTGGAACAAAGGGGACTCTTGTGATGTTTTAGCAAAGTGACTGGTAGCATTTTGCCCTTGCCCTACAGATTTGTGGAACTTTGAACTTGAGAGAAATGATTTAGGGTATCTTGTGGAGGAAATTTCTAAGCAGCAAAGCATTGAAGAGGTGACTTGGGTGCTGTTAAAGGCATTCGGTTTTATAAGAGAAGCAAAGCATAAAAGTTCAGAAAATTTGCAGCCTGACAATGTGATATAAAAGAAAAGCTCATTTTCTGGGGAGAAATTCAAGCCAGCTGCAGAAATTTGCATAAGTAGCAAGGAGCCTAATGTTAATCCCCAAGATGAGGGGGAAAATGTCTCCAGGCTATGTCAGAAAACTTCACAGCAGCCCCTTCCATCACAGGCCCAGAGGCCCAGGGGGAAAAAGGGGCTTCGTGGGCTAGGTCCAGAGTCCCTGTGCTCTGTGCAGCCTGGGGACATGGTGCCCTGTGTCCCAGCTGCCCCAGCCATGGCTGGAAGGGGCCAACATACAACTTGGTCTGTGGGTTCAGAGGGTGGAAACCCCAAGCTTTGGCAGCTTCCACGTAGTGTTAAGCCTGCGGGTGCAGAGAAGTCAAGAACTGAGGTTTGGGAACCTCTGCCTAGATTTCAGAAGATGTATGGAAATGCCTGGATGCCCAGGCAAAAGTTTGCTTCAGGGGTGGGGCCCTCAGGGAGAACCTCTGCTAGGGCAGTGCAGAAGAGAAATGTGGGGTTGGAGCCCTCACATAGAGTCCCTACTGGGGCACTGCCTAGTGGAAGAGGGCCATCATCCTCCAGACCCCAGAATGGTAGATCCACCAACAGCTTGCACTGTGCACCTGGAAAAGCTGCAGACACTCAATGCTAGCCCGTGAAAACAGCCAGGAGGGAGATTGTACCCTAAAAAGCCACAAGGGTGGAGCTGCCTAACACCATGGGAACCTACCTCTTGCATCAGCATGACCTGGATGTGAGAGCTGGAGTCAAAGGAGATCATTTTGGAGCTTTAAAATTTTACTGTCCACTGGATTTCAGACTTGCATGGGCCCTGTTACCCCTTTGTTTTGGCCAATTTCTCCCATTTGGAATGGCTGTATTTACCCAATACCTGTACCCTCATTGTAGCTAGGAAGTAACTAGCTTGTTTTTTATTTTACAGGCTCATAGGTGGAAGGGACTTGCCTTATCTCAGATGAGACTTTGGACTGTGGACTTTTGGATTAATGTTGAAATGAGTTAAGAGTTTGGGGGGGATGTTGGAAAGGCATGATTGGTTTTAAAATGTGAGGTCATGAGATTTGGAGGGGCCAGGGGCGGAATGATATGGTTTGGCTGTGTCCCCATTGAAATCTCAACTTGAATTATATCTCCCAGAATTCCTACATGTTGTGGGAAGGACCTGGGGGAGGTAATTGAATCATGGGGAGTGGTCTTTCCTGTCCTATTCTCATGATAGTGAATACGTCTCAAGAGATCTAATGGGCTTATCAGGGTTTCTGTTTTTGCTTCCTCCTCATTTCTCTCTTGCTGCCACCATGTAAGAAGTGACTTTCACTCTCCGGCATGATTCTGAGGCCTCCCCAGCCATGTGGAACTGTAAGTCCAGTTAAACCTCATTTTCTTCCCAGTTTTGATATGTCTTTGTCAGCAGTGTGAAAATGAACTAATACAGTCAGTGACCAAATAAAGCTATGAATGTATTGCATAGAGGTAACAAAGTGTGAAATGCATCTGTAGGACTATTCTACTAAGGTTAGGAACTGCTGAGGAACTTGGTGGGTTTGGGCTTGGAATGGGGACTACTTTTCTAAGATGGCCAAAATATTTGGGGACAATTATCTGGGGAGAAAGTGGAAAGAAGGTGGGCCAGGCACTTGACCTCTGATTTTTGGACACATAAATCTCTAAATCATCTGAGTTTCCGTGAGGATATACATAAAATGGAAGTAATAATGCATACCCCTGCTGCATTTTGGTGAGGTTTAGAAGTAATTTATTTATAAATACCTAGCTGAGTGCTAGGTACACAAGAAACACTTAATAAATTATAGCTATTAAGATCATAAATGTTTTTCAGATTTGCTTAGAAATGGCTATACAGTAGGGCTATACAGTAGGCAGTTCAGTAAAGCCCAAATAAAGGGCTTGTAGAGGGTTAGAGTATTACCATATTAATGTACTGTAAACTAAAAAGTATTTGAGACAAGTCTCAATCAATTTAGAAGTTAATTTTGCCAACGTTAAGGACATGTCTGTGACACAATCTCAGGAGGTCCTGAGAACATTTACCCAAGATGGTTGGGTTATAGCTTGATTTTGTACATTTTAGGGGGACAGAAGTTACAAGCAAACATTAATCAAATCAAACCGTAGGTGGACTCAAAGATTTTCTGATTGGCAACTGATTGAAAGAGTTAAGTTGTTATTTAAAGACCTGAAATCAATAGAAAGGAATGTCTGGGTTAAGATAAGGGGTTGTGGAGACTAAGGTTCTTATTACGCAGATGAAGTCTCCATGTAGCAGGCTTCAGAGAGAATAGTTGGTAAATGTTTCTTATCAAACTTTAAAAGGTGCCAGACCCACCCCACAGCCACAGTCCACAGGCACACCACTGCTCCCTGAGGCAGCCTTGGCCCTGGCCTGGGCTAGGGCAAAATTAGAGAATTTTAAAATTTTGGGAAAATGGCAGATAGGAGGCAGGACTAACTTGCAGCTCCCACTCAGACAGACAGAGAAGCGTGTGGAGACCCATATCATGAACTTTTGCTCCAATAACTACTACAGGAACATACCAGGAAAGCCAAGATAATCCACAGACCCTTTGAACTTCAACTTCAGGCTCCATGGGACAGCCAAGGAACTCCAAAGACAAAGAAAATAACTTCTTGGGAGCTCTGTGGCCCCACCCACCTCCTGATCCTCCCTGTACTGCCACAGCTGATGTGCTCTTGAAAGCACCACCTCCTGGCTGAAGGCCAACCAACACAAAACCAATGCAACACAACAAAAATACTACCAAGCACCTCACAGAGTCCACTTTACTCGCCTGCTACCTCCACTTGAGCAGGTGCTGGTATCCATGGCTGAGAAACCTGAAGATGGATCACATCACAGGACTCTTTCCAGACACTCCTCAGTACCAGCTTGGAGTCTGGTAGCTCTGCTGGGTGGCTAATCCAGAAGAGAAATAACAATCACTGCAGTTCAGCTCTCAGGAAGGCCTAAATCTAGGAGAAAGTGCAGAGCACTATGTCAAAGCAGCACCCGGTGGGACAAAATAATCTAAACAACAGTCTTTGAGCCCCAGATCTTCCCTCTGACATAGTCTACCCCAATGAGAAGAAACCAGAAAAACAATTCTGGTAATATGACAAAACAGAGTTCTTTAACACCCCCAAAAGATCACAGTAGCTCAACAGGAATGGATCCAAACCAAGACAAAATCTCTAAATTGCTAGAAACAGAATTCAAAAGGTTGACTATTAAGCCAGTGAAGGAGATACCACAGAAGGGTGAAGTCCATCTTAAGGAAATGAAAAAAGTAATATAAATGGAAACATCTCCAGTGAAATTGATAGCCTAAATAAAAAACAATCACAACTTCTGGAAAAGAAGGACACACTTAGAGAATTGCAAAATCCATTGGAAAGTCTCAGCAATAGAATTGAACAAGTAGAAGAAAGAACCTCAAAGCTTGAAGACAAGGGTTTTGAATTAAGCCAATCCTACAAAGACAAATAATAAAGAATAATAAAAAAAAATGAACAAAGCCTCCAGGAAGTTTAGGATTATGTTAAACAAGTAAACCTAAGAATAGTTGGTATTCCCAAGGAAGAAGAGAAATCTAAAAGTTTGGAAAACATATTTGAGGGAATAATAGAAGACAACTTTCCCAGCCTTGCTAGAGATCTAGACATCTAAATACAAGAAGCTCAGAGAGCACCTGGGAAATTCATTGCAAAAAGATCATCACCTAGGCACACAGTCATCAGGTTTTCTAAACTCAAGACGAAGGAAATAGTCTTTAGAGCTGTGAGGCAAAAGCATCAAATAACCTATAAAGGAAAACCTTAACAGATTAAGAGCAGATTTCTCAGTAGAAACCCTACGAGCTAGAAGGGATTGGGGTCCTATCTTTAGTCTCCTTAAACAAAACAATTATCAGCCAAGAATTTTGTATCCAGCAAAACTAAGCTTCATAAATGAAGAAAAGATAGTCTTTTTCAGACAAATGAATGCTGAGAGAATTTGCCACTACTAAGCCAGCACTACAACAACTGCTAAAAGGAGCTCTAAATCATGAAACAAATCCTCAAAATACACCAAAATAGAACCTTCTTAAAGTGTAAATCTCACAGGACCTATAAAACAATAATAATAATAATAAACTACAAGGTATTCAGGCAATAAATAGCATGATTAACAGAATAGTACCTCACATCTCAATATTAATGTTGAATGTAAATGGCCTAAATGCTCCATCTAAAAGGTACAGAATGGCAGAATGGATAAGAATTCACCAATCAAGCATCTTCTGTCTTCAAGAGACTCACATGACACATGACTCACATAAGGAATTACATAAACTTAAGGTAAAGGGTTGGAAAAAGATATTCCAGGAAAATGGACACAAAAGCAGGCAGGAGTAGCTATTCTTATATTAGACAAAACAAACTTTAAAAGTACAGCAGTTAAAAAAGACAAAGAGGGACATTATACAATGGTAAAAGAACTAGTCCAACAGGAAAATATTTCAATCCTAAATATATACGCATCTAACACTGGAGCTCCCAAATTTATAAAACAATCACTACTAGACCTAAGAAATGAGATAGATGGCAACACAATAATAGTGGAGGACACTAGACAGGTCGTCAAGACAAAAAGCCAATACAGACACAATGGATTTAAACTATACCCTAGAACAAATAGACTTCACAGCTATTTACAGAACCTTCTACTCAACAACTGCAGAATGTATATTCTATTCGTGAGCACATTGAACAGTATCCAAGATAGACCATATGATAGGCCACAAAACAAGTCTCAACAAATTTAAGAAAATCAAAGTTATAGCAAGTACTCTCTGTGACTACAGTGGACTAAAATTGGAAATCAACTCCAAAAGGAGCCCTCAAAGCCATGCAAATACATGAAAATTAAATAACCTCCTCCTGAATGACCCTCGGGTCAACAATAAAATCAACATGGAAATTAAAAAATTCTTTGAACTAGGCCAGGTGTGGTGGCTCACACCTGTAATCCTAGCACTTTGGGAGGCTGAGGCGGGCAGATCACTTGAGATCAGGAGTTTGAGACTAGCCTCGCCAACATTGTGAAAACCTGTCTCTACTAAAAATACAAAAATCAGCTGGGCATGGTGGCAGGCACCTGTAATCCCAGCTACTTCAGAGGCTGAGGCAGGAGAATTGCTGGAACCTGGGAGGTGGAGGTTGCAGTGAGCCGAGATTGTGCTATAGCACTCCAGTCTAGGTGACAGAGTGAGGCTCCATCTAAAAAAAAAAAAAAAAAAAAAAAAAAAAAAAAAAAATATATATATATATATATATATATATATATATATATATATATATATATATATATGAACTGAACAATAATAGTGACACAACCTATCAAAACTTCTGGGGTACAGCAAAGGCAGTGCTAAGAAGAGAGTTCATAGCATTAAATGCCTACATCCAAAAGTCTGAAAGAGCACAAATAGACAATCTAAGGTCACACCTCTAGGAGCTAGAGAAACAAGAAAAAACCAAACCCAAATGCATCCGAAGAAAAGGAATAACCAGGATTAGAGCAGAACCAAATGAAATTGAAACAAGCAAACAAAATATAAAAGAGAAATAAAACAAAAAGCTGGTTCTTTGAAAAGATAAGTAAAATTTATATACCATTAGAGAGATTAACCAAGCAAAGAAGAGAGAAGATCCAAATAAGCTCAATTAGAAATGAAACAGGAGACATTACGACTGATACCATAGAAATACAAAAGATCATTCAAGGCTACTATGAACAGCTTTATGTGCTAAACAAGAAAACCTAGAGGAGGTGGATAAATTTCTGGAATATACAACACTCCTAGATTAAATCAGAAAGAAACAGAAACTTTGAACAGACCAATAACAAGCAGCGAGATTGAAAAAGTGATTAAAAAGTTACCAACAAAAAAAGTTTAGGACCAGATGGACTAGCAGCTGAATTCTCTCAGACATTCAAAGAAGAATTGGTACCAATCCTATTGACACTATTCCAAAAGATAAAGAGGGAATCCTCCCTAAGTCATTCTATGAAGCCAAATTGCCCTAATAACAAAATCAGAAAAAGACATAATAAAAGAAGAAAACTACAGACCAACCTTCCTGATGAACACAGATGCAAAAAATCCTCAACAAACTACTAGCTAACTGAATCCAACAGCATATCAAAAAGATAATCTGCCTTGATCAAGTGGGTTTCATACCAGGGATGCAGGGATGTTTTAACATCCACAAGTCAATAAATGTATACACCACATAAACATAATTAAAAACAAAAATCACATGATCATCTCAATAGATGCAGAAAAAGCAGTTGACAAAATCCACCATCTCTTTATGATTAAAACCCTCAGCAAAATGGACATTAAAGGGACGTACCTTAAGGTAATAAAAATCATCTATGACAAACCCACAGCCAACATCATACTGAATGGGGAAAAGTTTAAAGCATTCCCTCAGAGAACTGGAGCAAAACAAGGATGCCCACTTTCACGACTTCTCAACATAGTGCTGGAAGTCCTAGCCACAGCAGTCAGACAAGTGAAAGAAATAAAAGGCACCGAAATTGCTAAAGAGGAAGCCAAACTGTTGCTGTTTGCTGATAACATGATTGTATATCTAGAAAATCCTAAAGACTCATCTAAAAACTTCCTAGAACTGGTAAATGAATTCAGCAAAGTTTTAGGATACAAAATTAAAATACACAGTCAGTAGCTTTGCTATACACCAATAGCAGCCAAGCTGAGAACCATATCAAGAACTCAACTGCTTTTACAATAGCTGCAAAAAAATAAAATACTTAGGAATATACTTAACCAAGGAGGTGAAAGACCTCTACAAGGAAAACTACAAAACACTGCTGAAAGAAATCATAGATGACACAAACAAATGGAAACACATCTCATGCTTATAGATGGGTAGAATCAGTATTGTGAAGATGACCATACTGCCAAAAGCAATCTACAAATTCAATGCAATTTCCATTAAAATGCCACCATCCTTCTTAACAGAACTAGAAAAAGCAGTCTTAAAATTCATATGAAACCAAAAAAGGCCACATAGTCAAAGCCAGACTAAGTAAAAAGAACAAATCTGGAGGCATTACATTACCAGACTTCAAACTACACTATAAAGCCACAGTCTCTAAAACAGCACGGTACTGGTGTAAAAACAGGCATATAGACCAATGGAGCAGAATAGAGAGCCCAGAAATAAAGCCAAACACTTACATTCAACCAATCTTTGACAAAGGAAGCAAAAACAAAAAACAGGGAAAAGACACCCTATTCAACAATGATGCTGGGATAATTGGAAAGCCACATGTAGAAGAATGAAAATGGATCCTCATCTTTCACCTTATACAAAAATCACCTCACGATGGATCAAAGACTTAAATCGAGTCCTGAATCCATAAAATTTCTAGAAGAAAACGCTGGAAACACCCTTCTGGATACTTGCTTAGGCAAAGACTGCACAAGCAAGAACCCAAAAGAAAACACAACAAAAATAAAGATAAACAGACGGGACTTAATTACATAAAAACTTTTGCACAGCAAAAGAAATAAATCAGCAAAGTAAACAGACAACCCAGAGTGGGAGAAAATCATCACAATCTAGACACCCAACAAAACACCAATCTCCAGAATCTACAAGGAACTCAAACAAATCATCAAGAACAAAACAAACAATCACATCAAAAAGTGGGCAAAGAACGTGAATAGATAATTCTCAAAAGAAGATATACAAATGGCCAACAAACATATGAAAAAATGCTTAACATCACTATTTAACAGGGAAATGCAAATCAAAATCAAAATGCGGTATCACCTTACTGCTGCAAGAATGACCATAATCAAAAAACCAAAAATAATAGATGTTGGTGTGGATGTGGTGTAAAGGGAACATTTTTACACTGTTGGTGGGAATGTAAACTAGTATAACCACTATGGAAAACTGTGGAGATTCCTTAAAGAGCTAGAAGTATATCTACCACTTGATCCAGTAATCCCACTCCTCTGTATCTACACAGAGGAAGAAAAGTCATTGTACAAAAAAGATACTTGCACATGCATGTTCATAGCAGCACAATTCTCAATTGCAAAAATATGGAACCAGCCCAAATGCCCATCAATCAATGAGTGGATAAATAAAATGTGATACACACACACACACACACACACACACACACACACACACACCTTGGATGATATGGTTTGGCTGTGTTCCTTCCCAAATCTCACCTTGAATTGTACTTCCCGTAATCCCCATGTGTTGTAGGAGGAACCAGATGTGTGGTAATTGAATCATGAGGGTGGTTACATCTATTGTTCTCATGATAGTGAGTGAGTTCTCACGAGATCTGATGGTTTTAAAAGGGGCTTTTCCCCTTTTGCTTGGCACTTCTTCCTGCTGCCATGAGAAGAAGGACATGTTTGCTTCCCCTTCCACTGTGATTGTAAGTTTCCTGAGGCCTCCAAAGCCCTGCAGAACTGAGTCAATTAAAGTTCTTTCCTTTGTAAACTACCCAATGTTGGGTAGTACTTTATGTTTGTCCTGTTAAATTAAATCTGGTCAGATTTGGCCTATTGGTGCAGACAGTTGTGACCTTTTTGTGATCTAATTCAGTTATTTACCATTAATGGCATTTCCTACCTTCAAATTGTCTGAAAATTTGATCACTGGGCCACAAATACCCTCATTCAAGTTGTCAGTAAGAGCTTGAAGTAGTTAGGGACAAGGTCGGTGCTCTGGGGAATGCTTTTGGAAATCTCTGTCCGCGGTGACTTTGACTCATAACTCAGCATTCTTTGGGTTTGGTTCTATGTGTACTTTTGAGCAGTCGCTTTATTCATCTTGTCCATAAGGACATCATGACTGCTGAAATGCAGATTTTTAGTACCTATAGCAGTTCTGAGATTTTTACCACATTACGAATCTTAGGAAAAAATGTTTGTCATGAGTGTTCTTGAATTCAGTGTAATTCCTTGTGATCACAATTTTCTAAGTGTTTAATATATTTAAAATAATTCTAGAGATTTTCCTAGAATCAATGGTGGATTTATTTGCCACCCATTTTGTTTTATATAATTTATATTCTTCCCTTTGTTGAAAATCAGTGGGGGAAAAGATATTCTCCAGATTTCTGGCACCTGTTCTCTTTTCTGTGGGATGCCATTGCTAATCTTAGAAAAGTTTCAGAAAAAGGATAAAACTGGAAACCAGATTTCAAGGTGCTGAGTTAATTAGAGGGGAATAAAAGCTGGATCTTAGGTTTAATAATGCTTTTCCTTAATATGTACAAAGCATTTTTGTGTTTTGAGTTCAGCCATAAGAATACAAACTTCAGTCCGTTAGGAAATTTATGTGTAGAGAACCCTTTGGCCAATTCCTGGCACTTCTCCTTTCCGTCAGATGGTTATATTTCACAATAGCACAATTTATTGAATTTGGCACATTGTCATCTTTTTTTTTTTTTTAACATGAATACAAATCATGCTGTTTCAAATATCTCTTTGACAATTACAATTGCCTGGAAATGTAAGATTATCAGAAAAGGTACATCATAAGAGTTGTACCTAATGAAGAATTTTAACTATTAGTCTTCTAAAGGTTATTATTTCAGTCTTTTATTTCTTTTATTAATCTAGTACACATTTATTAAACATTTCTTTTGTATTATGAGTGATACTAAGTCTGTATGTGTGAAAGTAATTTTGTTTTTTTTCCTTTTTTTTATTATTATTTTATTTTATTTTATTATTATTATACTTTAAGTTTTAGGGTACATGTGCACAATGTGCAGGTTAGTTACATATGTATACATGTGCCATGCTACTGTGCTGCACCCATTAACTTGTCATTTAGCATTAGGTATATCTCCTAATGCTATCCCTACCCCCTACCCCCACCCCACAACAGTCCCCAGAGTGTGATGTTCCCCTTCCTGTGTCCATGTGTTCTCATTCTTCAATTCCCACCTATGAGTGAGAATATGCAGTGTTTGGTTTTTTGTCCTTGTGATAGTTTACTGAGAATGATGATTCCCAATTTCATCCATGTCTCTACAAAGGACATGAACTCATCATTTTTTATGGCTGCATAGTATTCCGTGGTGTATATGTGCCACATTTTCTTAATCCAGTCTATCATTGTTGGACATTTGGGTTGGTTCCAAGTCTTTGCTATTGTGAATAGTGCCACAATAAACATACGTGTGCATGTGTCTTTATAGCAGCATGATTTATAGTCCTTTGGGTATATACCCAGCAATGGGATGACTGGGTCAAATGGTATTTCTAGTTCTAGATCCCTGAGGAATTGTCACACTGACTTCCACAATGGTTGAACTAGTTTACAGTCCCACCAACAGTGTAAAAGTGTTCCTATTTCTCCACATCCTCTCCTCAATCTTTTATTCTTAAAGGGTAAGAGGCTTGTGAGAGGTTTACTTAGTTCCTGCACTCAGCTTTGGTTTGACCAAATGCATAACTGAGCTTCTCTTTATCATTCTGAGACTCAGCTGCAGCAACACTAGAGTTGGCAGTGTTGGCCGAGTACCTCTTCCTAGTACTGTACGAGATATTTTAATTCACATTTTGGCAAGAGGAGATTCCAGCATCTGCTGATTGAAACCCAGGATTCAGGGACCTGAAATGGATTATGTAGCCCGTTTCTAGTACAATGTTAAAACAGATCACTCCAAGTCTAGAAAGTTTTGTATTATCTGGGCTGCTTTTTTAAACACCAAGATCAAAGTTAACCCTATAAACATTCCTTACATTATGGCACAGATGTCTTTGTGAAGAGTTGGTAGAAATTGAGTAGAAGACTGGATTATATTTTATAGGAACTCTGGTGACTTACTTATAAGTTAAAGGTATGCTATTAAGATCTTTATTTTGTTTGAAAGAACACTCTCTAATATATCTTCTGTGTAGCTGTGGATTTTTATTTGATAATTTTTCTTAAAATAGATTTTTTTAAAGTCACCTGACTCTGCTTCTTTAAGACAGACTATAAAAACAACGGAAACCGGGCACGGTGGTTCATGCCTGTAATCCCAGCATTTTGGGAGGCTGGGGTGGGTGGATCACCTCAGGTCAGGAGTTCGAGACCAGCCTGGCCAACATGGTGAAAACCCGTCTCTACTAAAAATACAAAAATTAGCTGGGTGTGGTGGCGGGTGCCTGTAATCCCAGCTACTTTCAGGAGGCTGAGGCAGGAGAATTGTTTGAACTTGGGAGGCGGAGGCTGCAGTGAGCCGAGTTCGCGCCATTGCACTCCAGTCTGGGCAACGAGCGAAATTCTGTCTCAAAACAAACAAACAACAAAAAACAATGG
The DNA here is from genome assembly GCF_000001405.40 of Homo sapiens. Taxonomy (NCBI): domain Eukaryota; kingdom Metazoa; phylum Chordata; class Mammalia; order Primates; family Hominidae; genus Homo; species Homo sapiens. The sequence goes on from NC_000014.9 coordinate 53,211,504, forward strand.
AGCACTCTGGAAGTCAGCTTTTTAGGACCACATGCTGTGACATCTGACACTTGGCATCCTTAATGTTGAGGGCACTTTCTTTGGGAGGTACATTGGCCTATTTCTAAGAAAAATATATATCATAATTATTGTATAAAACAGTTACTGATCTTTTTTTTTTAAAGATGGTAGTAAGTTGAGAAAATTCAAGTAAACATTAAGTAAACTTTAAATATTAAGTAAAGCTTTATTTTAAAAGCTGTTAGAAGTTTCTTTTCTGGCTGTTTAGATAATGCTGGGTAAAGACATTATTTTACAATAAGTAAGTGATTTGAAGAGAATAAAATGATATATTTGGTATAATCAACATTAATGCAATCATAAATAATAGAAAACTCTCATGTTTGGAACACATAGTTTAGATTTTAAGGTAATTTGAATATATCATGTGTGATTACTTAGAGATCAACTATTCTCAGCCCTGGCTGTGCATTAGAATTACTGAGGAACATTTTAAAAATACTGATGTCTGGGTCTCACACTCGGAGATTCTGATTTAATTTGGGAAGTGGATCAGACTCTATATTCTCAGAGATCCATGGGGAAATTCTAATGTATAGTCAAAGCTGGGAACCACCAGTATAAAACCTTGCAACTTAGAGTGTGGGCCATAGACAGTGTTAGCCTCACCTACAGCTTATTAAAAATACAAACTCTCAGGCCCCACCTTAGACTTTCTGAATCAAAGTCTGCATTTTAAGGTGAGGTAAGGTAGCTGACACCTGTAATCCCAGAACTTTGGGAGGCTGAGGTGGGCAGATTGCTTGAGGTCAGGAGTTCGAGAGCAGCCTGGCCAACATGGTGAAACCCCGACTCTACTAAAAAAAAATACAAAAATTAGCCAGGCGTGGTGGCGGGTGCCTGTAATCCCAGCTACTCAGTAGGCTAAGGCAGGAGAATTGCTTGAGCCTGGGAGCAGAGGTTGCAGAGAGCTGAGATTGTACCACTGCACTCCAGCCTGGGTGAGAGTGAGACTCCGTTTCAAAAAACAAACAAACAAGCAAGTCTGTATTGTAACTAGGTTGCAGATTCATTTGCAACATGTTTTTCATAGCACTTTGACTTTAAAAGTGCTTTCATAGTCATTTTTCTGTTCATTTGTGTATTTTGTGTGTGTGTAGGGGGGGTCCATTTATTAAGTATCTGGTGGGAGTGGACACTGTTGTAGATACTGAGAAACATAAAAGTAGGAATAAGATTTGGGCCTCCCTTTCAAGTAAGTTGCAAAGGAGTGGGGTGGAGGTGGGGTAGAAACAGATCTGGTGAGCAGATTGGGACCAGAGATGTAAAACAGCTGTGCTATGGAGCTATTGATAGCCTTTTGGGAGGAGAAGGAACAGGGGATACCCCTCCCTTCTCTACCCCATCTTCACTCAGGGAGTGGGATTTGAGCTGAGTTTTTCAAATAGAAGTAGGCATAGGACTGGTGGTTCCTAAAATGTGATTCCTGGCCAGCAGCATCTGCATCCCCTGAGAACATGTTAGAAATGCCATTTGTTGGGCCCTTTCCAGACTTAATGAATTACAAACTGAGGGTAGGGACCAGCCATCTGTTTTGTATTTTTTTTTTAACATGCCCACCATGGGGGGGAGGGTGGGGGGGGATTATGATACACATCACCCAAGTTTGAGAACACTGGATGCAAGCATTTTCCATACAGAGAAGAGAGGAAGGAGCATTGCACACCATTGAAAAAGTATCCCCCAAATCAGAGGAAAGGTCATTTGTAGCATTCTGTGAAGTTTGTCATGGCTTGAACTTAAAGTAAGTTGAACATAGTAAGCTGACTATACTAGGAATTTCCCCCAAATTTTGCTCAGATCCATGTATTTTTATTGTTCCGGAAAGCTTAATCTTTCCCTTTTAGGTCATTGGATCATTAATTACATTTAAAGAAAAAGCTTTGTGTTTGGTTGTATTTATTTATTTTTCTGAAAATTAAATTATGAAGTTGGCTGAACACTTTTTTTTATAATTGGAATGTTATAACTAGAAGATTTCTGTAGAAATGCATGGGAAGACTGAAGCATAGGGACATCCCTATTTGCCTTTAAATAAGCCTAGTTTAAATGGTCTTTCTTGGAGTGTAGCTGAATTTACATTGTCTGTGATCTTCTGTGATAGAGTGAATCCATATGAACCAAAACCTCCAGGTCCAAACAACTTTAATAATGTTAGTTTTTCCCATTTATATATTTTCTTGTCATAATAACCAGCATAGAGCAAACATTTTTTACTTTCCTTTTTCTCCTTCTCAAGTTGAACTGCTAATTGGCACCTTGGAGGCCAACGGGGGTCACCGAAGGGAGGAAAAGGGCTGGATAATGAATCAGGAAATAGGGTTCAAAGGGAATTCCCATTCCAGTGCTGGAAATAACCATAGAGATCACACAATCCAGCCTTTTCACATCAGAGGCCTCTGAGAGCTTAAATGAGTTGCCTAGGGTCACATTGTAATGTAGGAGCTGGAAACAGAAACCATGTTTCCCAACTCCTTGCTGAGTGTTCTTTCTACTGCTTCATAGATAGAGGTAGACTGTATCCTCATGGGGAAACACACACACTATGTGGGTGTTGCTGTAGAACATAATGATTGATTTTTCCCTTTGCCATGTGTAAGGGGCTAGTAATAGACCAGATCTCATCCAATTTGATAGCTTTAACTATATGTAAGGTACATGGATGTTCTTTGGTCAAGGTTAGGCCAAGGCAGACATCCAGGCCTGCATGATTCAGTGGGTTTAGGGTGCAGGCTCATACTCCATTTGTTATCACCTGTTTGTGTAAGTTCATTCTTGGCTTGGAGCTGCTGTTGTCTTTAAAAGGTATAACTGCCCGGCTGACAGTATTGCATGGGGCTTGGCTCTTAGGCATGGCTCAGCATGGCTCTTGTACTGGTGCCCAGAGAAACAGAGAGAGAACCAGAGCTGTCTTTCTTGTGGATGGACAGAGGGGAGCCAGGTCATGGCTTGGCTTGTCTCTCGTGCCCAGGGAAACAGAGAAAGAGTTAAGCTGCTGACCCTGAAAGCAGGGGAGAACCGGCTGTGCAGCTGTGTGTGTGGGAGCAGTTCAGAGCAAGCAGCCGAGACAGGGAGGACAGTGCGAGAGAGACAGTGTAAGTAAGCTGCTGATGAGAAAGCTGTTGATGAGAGCTGCTGCTGAATAAAATCATCTTTCACCTGCCTAAGGCTCCCTGAGTGTTCTTTCTCTTCATCCATCTACTCTCTTTGGACCTCAACATGACAATTGGCATAGTCATGAACCTGACACTATATATTGGTTGTTATGTCCCAAATCATCTTTGAAATGAATTAAAGTGTGAATAGATAATAAAAAGCAAATAAAATCAATCAACCCAATACTGACTTCCCTACTAAGGCCAAGGTTATATATCTAATAGCCTCCTGAACAGGTGTACCTGGACATTTCATATAGGCATTAAAAAATAAACATTTCCCAAATTGCATATTTACTCACCTAAAACTTGCCCCCCACCTTTAGATTCTGTCATTGTTTACTCAGAACCTTGAGAATCATCCTCAACTCTTCCTTTTTCTCTCACTTCACATGTACACTCAATCACTAGCTTTGTCAATTTTATCTCCTGTCAACCTTAGCTCTTAAACAGTTTTCAAGTCCAATGTGTTCTCATCACTTGCACTTCCACTGCCCTAAATCAGTCCACTAATACCCCTTATCTGGTCTATTGCAATGGTCTTCATCCTGGTTTTTCCTCCTCCAGGCTTGTGGTTGAAAGTTTCTCTTTCATACTGTTTTCAGCATGATCTTTCTAAAGCGCAAAGCAGACCACACCATAGCCTATTTTACAATAACCCTCCATCACTGATAAGACAAAACTTTAGAATGGCACAGACAACTCTATAATTTGACCTCTGCTTATAACGTTATGTCCATCTCTGGTAACTCTTATCTATATACCCATGTCCATCAAGATGAGACTACTTGTAGCTACCAAAACATCTTATTCACCAACTTATTTGACTGCCTGGTGAAAGCTTGTTCATTCAGAACACAACTCAGACATCACCATTTCATTGACATTGTCTCTGACATCTCCCCACTTTCCTCCAAAGCTAGAGTGAATTGCCTTCTCTGTACCTCTGAGCCTTACACATCTTTACACTTGCATATAATTTTCTTCAACATTTTATGAGGAAAATTTTCAAGCAGAAAAGTTGAAAGAATTTTGCAGTGATCACACAATTAATGTTTTATTGTGCTTACTTTGTCACATCTCTCTCTCTATCCATCAATCCACGTTTTTAGAAAAATGCTTTTCAAAGTAAGTTGCAGATATCGATATACTTTTTTCCAAATAACTCAGAATACATATCACTCAGAGTTCCTACATAACATATAGAGTTCTATATTTGTTTGTAATTCTTATTTTAAAATTTCATGTTAAATTTATGTACAATGAAATGTGAAATGCACAAATCTTAAGTGTACCATGAGATTCACTAAATCATACATGTGAGTAACCTACACACCTATCAAGATATAGAATATGACCCTGACCCTGAAAACTGTACTCAAGCCCCTTTCCAGGAAGTCTTCTCTTCTAGAGGCAGTGACTATTCCAATTTTCTTCCAACTAGTTTTGCCTGTTATAGAACTTTATATAAATTGAACTGTACAGTATATTCTCTTTCATGTAAGACTTCTTTTACTCAGCGTAATGTTTTTGAGATACATAGGTTGTATGTATCAGTACATTTTTTTTTTTTTTTTTTTTTTAAGATTCAGGGTCTCACTCTGTCGCCCAGGCTGGGGTGCAGTGGTGATCTTAAGTGTACCATGAGATTCACTAAATCATACTGTGTCCAAAATTGGTGGGTTCTTGGTCTCACTGACTTCCAGAATGAATCCGCGGACCCTCGCGGTGAGTGTTACAGTTCTTAAAGATGGTGTGTCTGGAGTTTGTTCCTTCTGATGTTCGGACGTGTTCGGAGTTTCTTCCTTCTGGTGGGTTCGTGGTCTCACTGGCTTCAGGAGTGAAGCTGCAGACCTCCGTGGTGAGTGTTACAGTGCTTAAGGCAGTGCGTCTGGAGTTGTTCATTCCTCCCGTCTGGAGTTGTTCATTCCTCCCAGTGGGCGCGTGGTCTTGCTGGCCTCAGGAGTGAAGCTGCAGACCTTTGCAGTGAGTGTTACAGCTCATAAAGGCAGTGTGGACCCAAAGCGTGAGAAGCAGCAAGATTTATTGCAAAGAGTGAAAGAACAAAGCTTCCACAGTGTGGAAGGGGACCTGAGCGGGTTGCCACTGCTGGCTGGGGCAGCCTGCTTTTATTCCCTTATCTGGCCCCATCCACATCCTGCTGATTGGTCAGTTTTACAGAGAGCTGATCGGTCCGTTTTACAGAGAGCTGATTGGTGCGTTTACAATCCCTGAGCTAGACACACATTGCTGATTGGTGTATTTACAATCCTCTAGCTAGATGTAAAAGTTCTCCAAGGCCCCACTAGATTAGCCAGACACAGAGCACTGATTGGTGTGTTTACAAACCTTGAGCTAGACACAGAGTGCTGATTGGTGCTTTTACAAACCTTGAGCTAGACACAGAGTGCTGATTGGTATATTTAAAATCCTTCAGCTAGACATAAAAGTTCTCTAAGTCCCCACCAGATTAGCTAGATACAGAGTGCTGATTGGTGCGTTTACAAATCTTGAGCTGGACACAGAGCACTGATTGGTGCACTTACAATCCTTTAGTTAGACACAAAAGTTCTCCAAGTCCCCACCAGATTAGCTAGATACAGAGTGCTGATTGGTGCATCTACAACCCCCCCTCTCCCACTAGACACAGAGTGCTGATTGGTGCATATACAATCCTCCCCTAGACATAAAAGTTCTCTCAAGTCCCCAACTGACTCAGGAGCCCAGCTGGCTTCCCCTAGTGAATCCTGTGCTGGGGACACGCTAGCAGAGCTGCCTGCCAGTCCCGCGCAGGCACGCCCACACCCCTCAGTCCTTGGGCAGTGGATGGGACCGGGCGCCTAGGAGCAGGGGGCGGCGCCGGTCGGGTAGGGTCGGGCTGGCGGGAGCCCGGGGCGGGGCTTGGGCATGGCTGGCTGCAGGTCCCCAGCCCTGCCACACGGGGAGGCGGCTGAGGCCCAGCAAGAATTCAAGCTCCGCGGGGGCAGGCCAGCAGTGCTGGGGGACCCGGCGCACCCTCCGCAGCTGCTGGCCCGGGTGCTAAACCCCTCACTGCCCGGGCCGGCGGTGCCGGCGGGCTGCTCTCAGTGCGGGACCTCGGAGCCTGCGCCCACCCGGAACTAGCCGCGTTCAGCCCTGGTTCCCGCCCCCGCCTCTCCCGCCACACCTCTCCACAAGCAGAGGGAGCTGGCTTCAGCCTCAGCCAGCACAGAGAGGGGCCCCCATAGCGCAGTGGCGGGCTGAAGGGCTCCTTGAGCATGGCCAGAGTGGACGCCAAGGCTGAGGAGGCGCCGAGAGCCAGTGAGGGCTGCTAGCATGTTGTCACCTCTCAATACATGTGAGTAACCTACACACCTATCAAGATATAGAACATTACCCCCACCCCGAAAAGTGTACCCAAGCCCCTTCCCAGGAAATAATCTCCTTTAGAGGCAATGACTATTCTGATTTTCTTCCAACTAGTTTTGCCTGTTATAGAACTTTATATCCATTGAACTGTACTCTTTCATGTAAGACTTCTTTTACTCAGCATAATGTTTTTGAGATACATAGGTTGTATGTATCAGTAATTTTTTTTTGTTTGCTTTTAGATTCAGGATCTCACTCTGTCACCCAGGCTGGGGGGCAGTGGTGCAGTCATAGCTCACTGCAGACTTGAGCTCCTGAGCTCAAGGAATTCTCCTGCCTCAGCCTTTCAAGTAGCTAGCACTGCTGGTATGCATCACGACCTCTGGCTAATTTTTTATGTTTTTCAGTAGAGACAGGGTTATTATTATTATTATTATTATTTTGTGACAGATTCTCACTCTGTTGCCCAGGCTGGAGTGTGGTGGCACGATCTTGGCTCACTGCAACCTCCGCCTCCTGGGTTCAAGTGATTCTCCTGCCTTAGTAGCTGGGACGACAGGCGTGTGCCATCACGCCAGCTAATTTTTGTATTTTTAGTAGAGACAGGGTTTCACTATGTTGGACAGGCTAGTCTCGAACTCCTGACCTCAGGTGATCTGCCCGCCTCGGCCTCCCAGAGTGCTAGGATTATAGGCGTGAGCCACCTCATCTGGCAGGGTCATTATTTTTTAAAAGTCTTTAAATTACCAAGTAATATTCCATTGTATAGATATACTAAATTCTAAAAATCCATTCTTCAGTTGAAGCACACCTGGGCTGTTTCCAGTTTCTGGCTATTGTGAACAAAGCTACTATGAATATTCCTGTGAAGGTCTTTTTGTTGATACACACACGCACACACTCAATTATATGACTGATATTTTTGGGTCATAGAATATTTACATTTAGTTTTTGTTTTTAAAAAAACTGCTGTACTTTTCCCCAAAATGATTATACCATTTACACTCCCACCAAAAATCTGTTGCTTCATATCTTCATCAATATTTGGTATTGTGTGAGTTTTAAATTGTAGACATTCTGGTGGATGTGTAATAGTGTTTCATTATGGTCTCATAAAATTTTGGTTTACTAGTCTTTCTCTGCAGACTTTGAACTTCCTGAAGACAGACATTTTATTCATATCTTCTGTACCTAATAATGTCTGATATAGAGTAGGGCTCAACAAATATTTGTTAAATTGAACTGATCTGAATTGAATCCTTCTGTACGTAGCAAATAAAAAAACCCACTTCTTTCCTCACTTTATCCCTTTAATCAAAAGGCAGGGTGAGGTTTTTTTTTTGTATTGCTTTGTTTTGTTTTTGAGACTGGGTCTCACTATGTCGCCCAGGCTGGAGTGCAGTGGTGCAATTATGGCTTACTGCAGCTTTGACCTCCTGGGCTCAAGTAATCGTCCCACCTCAGCCTCCTGAGTAGCTGGGACTACAGGTAAGTGCCACCATGCCTGGCTAATTAAAAAAATTTTTTTTTCAAAGACATGCTCTCGCTATGTTGCCCAGGCTGGTATTGAACTCCTGATCCCAAGAAATCCCCTCACCTCATCCTCCCAAAGTGCTGGGATTACAGGCATGAGCCACCATGCCTAGCTAGAATGAGCTCTTCTGTTATAAGCAGTAACATTTAAATTAAGATTAGGGTGCTATCCACCTGGAGTGATTTGGGGCTCAAAGCATCTCTTTCCCTAAATATTTGTTCCATTGCTCCTCTTTTTATTTATTTTTAATTTTTTATTTAATTTTATTATTACTATTTTTTGAGATGGAGTTTTGCTCTTGTTGCCCAGGATGGAGTGCAATGGCGCAATCTCGGCTCACCACAACCTCTGCCTCCTGGGTTCAAGCGATTCTCCTGCCTCAGCCTCCCGAGTAGCTGGGATTACAGGCATGCACCACCACAGCCAGCTAATTTTTGTATTTTTAGTAGAGATGGGGTTTCTCCGTGTTGGTCAGGCTGTTCTCAAACTCCTGACCTCAGGTGGTCCGCCTGCCTCAGCCTTCCAAATTGCTGGGATTACAGGCATTAGCCACTGTGCCCGGCCTATTTTTTAACATTATTGCATTCTTTACACATTTTTCAAATTGACAAGTAACAATCGTTAATATTCATGGGGTACACAGTGATGTTTTGATACATATAATGTACAGTGATCAGATCAAGGTAATTAGCATCCATCATCTCAAACATTTATCATATTTTTGTGTTGGAACATTTAACATCCTCCTTTTAGCTATTTGAAACTGTGATATATTATTGTTAACTTTAGTCATCCTGCAGTGATATAGAACAATAGAATTTATTCCTGCTATCTAGCTGCAATTTTGTATCCTTTAACAAGTCTCTCCCTCTCCATCTCTTCCTCCTACACTTCCCAGTCTCCAGTATCCTCTGTTCTACTTTTCACCTCTATGAGATCAACTTTTTTTAGCTTCCGCATATGAAAGTTAAACACCTTTCTGTTTCTGGCTTATTTCACTTAACATAATGTTTTCCAGTTCCATCCATGTTGCCATGAATGACAGGATTTCTTTATGTGGCTAACTAGTACTCCACTGTGTATATATATCACATTTTCTTTCTTTCTTCTTCTTTTTTTTTTTCTTGAGACAAGAGTCTCGCTCTGTCACCCAGGCTGGAGTGCAGTGGCTTGGTCTTGGCTCGCTGCAACCTCTGCCTCTGGGGTTCAAGCGATTCTCCTGCCTCAGCCTCCCGAGTAGCTGGGATTACAGGCACCTGCCATCACGCCTGATTAATTTTTGTATTTTTAGTAGAGACAGGGTTTTGCCATGTTGGCCAGGCTGGTCTTGAACTCCTGACCTCAAGTGATTCACCTGCCTCAGCCTCACAAAGTGCTGGGATTACAGGCGTGAGCCACTGGGCCCGGCCATATACCACATTTTCTTTATCAATTTCTCTGTCGTTAGACACCTAGGTCAATTCCTTATCTTGGCTATTATGAATAATGTTGTAATAAATATGGGGGTTCAGGTGTCTCTTTGATATAATGACTTCATTTTCTTTGGGTACATTCCCAGCAGTGGGATTGCTGGATCATATGTCAGTTACATTTGTAGTTTTTCTGAGGAAACTCTATACTGTTCTCCATAGCAGTTGTACTAGTTTATATTCCCACCAATAGTATATGAGTTCCCTTTTCTTTACATTCTTGCCAGTGTTTGTTATTTTTTAGTTCCCTGTATATTCTGAATATGAATTGTCTGATGAATGAATAGTTTGCAAATATTTTCTCCCATTCTGGGGGTTGTCTTTTCATTCTGCTGATTGTTTCCTTTGCTGTGCAGAAGCTATTTAGTTTGATATAATCTCATTTGTTTATTTTTGCTTTTGTCGTCTGTGCTTTGAGGTCTTATTTATAAAATATTTTATCAGACTAATGTCCTAAAGTGTTTCCCCTATATTTTCTTCTAGTTGTTTTATTGTCCTGGGTCTTACATTTAGGTCTTTGATCCATTTTCAGTTGATTTTTGTACAGGATAAGAGGTGGAGGTCTAGTTTTATGCTTCTTCATACAGATATACAGTTTTTCTGGGATCATTTATTGAAGAGACTGTGCTTTCCCCAATGAGTGTTATTGGCACCTTTGTCAAAAATCAGTTGACTGTAGATACGTGGATCAATTTCTGGGGTCTTAATTTTATTCAATTGGTCTATGTATTTGTTTTTATATCATGTTGTTTTGATTATTTTGAGATCTGGTACTGTGATACTTTCAGCTTTGCTCTTTTTTTGTGCAGGATTATTTTAGAAACTTGGGCTCTTTTTTGGTCCCATACAAATTTTAGATTTTTTTTTTTTTCTGTAAAGAATGTCATTGGTATTTTCATAGGAATTGTGTTAAATTTGTAGATCTTTTTGGGGTAAGTATTGTCATTTTAACAATACTAATTTTTCTGGTCCATGAGCATGGCTTGTCTTTTTCATTTGTTTATGTCTTCTTCAGTTTCTTTCATCAGTGTTTTGTGGTTTTCCTTGTAGAGATCTTTCACCTCCTTGGTTAGATTTATTCCTAGGTATTTTATTTTATTTTATTTTTGGTAGCTATTGTAAATGAGATTGCCCTCCTGTTTTTTTTTTTTTCCAGATAGTTTGTTGTTTCTGAAAATAAATGATTTTTGTTTATTCTGTATCCCACAACTTTACTGAATTTGTTTACTGGTTCTAAGAGTTTTTTTGTAGAATCAATCTTTTGGTTTTTCTATATATAAGGTCTTATCATATATAAACAGGGACAATTTGACTTCTTTCTTTTCAATTTGGTTGCCCTATGTTTCTTTCTATTGCCTAATTGCTCTGGCTAAGACTTCCAGTACTATGTTGAATAAGAGTAGTGTGCATGGACAACCTTTTTTTGTTCCAGTTCTCAGAGGAAAAGTTTTCAACTTTTTTCCACTCTGTAAGGTGTTAGCTGTGGGTTTGTCATATACAACCTTTATTATGTTGAGATGCTTTTCTTCTATACTTAATTTATTAAGCAGTTTTATCATGAAGGGATATTGAATTTTTTTCAATTTTTTTCAGCATCTATTGAGATGATATGTTTTTTCTTCTTCATTCTATAGATATGATGTATAATATTTATTGATTTATATATATTAAACCATCCTTGTATTCTTATGATAAATCTCACTTGCTCATAATGTATTTATCTTTTTGATATGTTGTTGGATTCAGTTTGCTAGTATTTTGTTGAGGATTTTTATGTTTATATTCATCAGGGATATTGGCTTACAGGGAGTTGGCTTATATTTTTGTTGTGTCCTTGTCTGGTTTTGGTACCAAGGTTATGCTGGCTTTGTAGAATGAGTTAGAAAGAATTCCCTCTGCTTCAATTTTTGGAAATGCTTTGAGAATAACTGCTATTATTCTTTAAAGGTTTGGCAGAATACAGTGGTGAGGGCACCTGGTCCCGAATTTTTTTTTTTTTTTTTTTTTGAGACACAGCCTCCCTCTGTCACCCGGGAAGTGGTATGATCTCGGCTCACTGTAACCTCCACCTCCTAGGTTCAAGTGATTCTTCTGCCTCAGCCTCCTGAGTAGCTGGGATTACAGGCGTGTGCCACCACACCCCCCTAATTTCTGTTTTTTTAGTAGAGACAGGGTTTCACCATGTTGGTCAGGCTGGTCTCGATCTCCTGACCTTGTGATCCGCCTGCCTCAGCCTCCCAAAGTGCTGGGATTACAGGTATGAGCCACCGTGCCCGGCCTGAACTTTTTTTTTTTGGAAGATTTTTATTACTGATTCATTCTTGTTACTTGTTATTGGTCTTCTGTTCAGGTTTTCTATTTCTTCTTGGTTCAATCTTGGTAGATTGTATGTATCCAGTAATTTATCCATTTTTCTCTAGGTTTTCAAATTTATCTATTAGTGTGTAGTTGTTCATTGTAGTCTCTGATGATCTTTTTTTTTTCTTTCTTTCTTTTTTTTTTGAGACAGAGTCTCGCACTGTTGCCTGGGCTGGAGTGCAATGGCAAGATCTCAGCTCACTGCGACCTCCGCCTCCTGGGTTCAAGTGATTCTCCTGCCTCAGCCTCCTGAGTAGCTGGGATTACAGGCATCTGGCACCATGCCCGACTAATTTTCTGTATTTTTAGTAGAGATGGGGCTTCACTATGTTGGCCAGGCTGGTCTTGAACTCCTGACCTTGTGATCCACCCACCTCAGCCTCCCAAAGTACTGGGATTGCAGGCGTGAGCCACCATGCCCAGCCTCTGCCGATCTTTTCTTTTTCTGTAATATCCATTGTCATGTCTCCTTCTTCATTTCTAATTTTATTTATTTGAGTCTTCTCTCTTTTTTTCTTAGTCTAGCTAATGGTTTGTAAATTTTGTTTATCTTTCCCAAAAGCCAACTTTTTGTTTCATTAAACTTTTTAATTTTTTTATTTTTGTTATTCTCAATTTTGTTTATTTCTGCTTTGATCCTTATTCTTTCTATTAATTTTGGATTTGGTTTGTCCTTGCTTTTCTAGTTCCTTGAGGTGTATTGTTATGCTATTTATTTGAAATCTTTCTAGTTTTTTGATGTAGGCCTTTATTACTATAAACTTCCCCCTTAATACTGCTTTTGCTGTGAGCCCCATAGCTTTTGGTATGTTGTGTTTCTATTTTCATTTGTTTCAAGAAATTTTAAATTTTTATTCTTAATTTCTTACTTCACTCATTGGTTGTTCAGGAGCATGTTGTTTAGTTTCCATGTATTTGTATAGTTTCAAATGTTCCTCTTGTTATTGATGTCTAGTTTTATTTCATTGTAGCCAGATAAGATACTTGATATGATTTGGATTTTTAAAAATTTTCTGAGACTTGTCTCAGAATGTGTCTGCCTGTCCTAATACATGATCAATCCTGAAGAACGTTCCATGTTCTAATGAAAGAAAAAAGTGTATTATTCAGCTGTTGGGTGAAATGTTCTGTAAACGTTTGTTAGGTCCATTTGGTCAATGTTACAGTTTAAATTTTATGTTTCTTTGTTGATTTTCTGAGAGAAAATTAGAGTGTTGACATCCTCAACTATTATTGAATTGGGGTCTATCTTTCCCTTTAGATCTAATGATATTTGCCTTATAAATCTAAGTGTTCTGGTGTTGAGTGCGTATGTATCTACAGTTATTATATTTTCTTCCTGAAGTGATCCTTTAGTTATTATATAATATCCTTCTTTGTCTCTTTTTACAGCTTTTAATTTGAAGTCTGTTTTGTTTGATATAAGTATAGCTACTCCTGCTTGCTTTTGGTTTCCATTTGCATGAAATATCTTTTTCCATCTCTTCACTTTCAGACTATGTGTGTCTTTATAGGTGAGGTGAATTTCTTGTAGGCAGCATATATTTGGGTCTGTTTTTTTTTTAATCTATTCAGCCAGTCTATAGCTTTTAAGTGGGAAATTTAATCCACTTACCTTCAAGATTATTGTTGATAGGACTTATTTCTGTCATTTTATTGGTTGTTTTCTGTTTGTTTTGTATATCTTTTGTTCCCTACTTCCTCTCTGATCATTTATTTTTTTTGGTTGGGTGGTTTTCTGTAACAATAAGGTTTGATTCCTTTCTCCTTCTCCTTTGTTTATCGCTCTACAAGTGAGTTTTATAGTTTCACAGGTTTTCATTATGGTGGTTGTCATCTTTTCACTTTCAGATGTAAGGCTCTCTTGAGCATTTATTGCAAGGCCAATCTAGTGATGGTGAATTCCCTTAGTTATGCCTTGTTTGTGAAAAGTTTTATTTTTCCGTCATTTCTGAAGCATACCTTTGCTGGGTAAAATATTCTTGACTGGCAGCTTTTTTTTTTCTTTCAGTATTTTGAATATAGTAATATCATCTCATTCTCTCCTGGCCTGTAAGTTTTTTGCTGAGAAATCCACTGTTAGTCTAATGGGAATTTTTTAGTATGTGACTTGACATTTTTTTCTTGGTGCTTTTAAAATTATTTCTTTGTCTTTGACTTTCTAAAATTTGACTCAAATTTGGCTCAGATAGGAACTGTTTATGTTGAATCTATTTGGGTTTCTTTGGGCTTCCTGGAACTGGATATCCATCTCTTTCCCAAGTCTTGCAAAGGTTTTTGTTATCATTTCATTAAATATGTTGTTCTTCTGTTTTTCCTTCTCTTCTCCTTCTGGAATGCCAAATATTTGTTTGCTTAATGGTGTTCCATAAATCTTATAGGTTTTCTTCATTCTTTTTTTATTCTGTATGCCTGTGTTATTTCAAAAGACCTGCCTTCAAGTTCTGAAATTCTTTCTTCTGCTTGGTCTGGTTTGTTGTTGAAGCTCTCAATTGGTTTTTTAAATTTCATTCATTGAATTATTTGGCTCTAGAATTTCTTTTTTGTTCTTTTTTATGATATTTATTTCTTTGTTGAATTTCTCATTCAAATCATTTTTCTGATTTCATTGTTTTGTCTATTTGTATTGTCTTTTATCTCACTGAGCTTCCTTAAGATTATTAGGGCTTGAATTCTTTTTCTGGAATTTCTTATATTTCCTTATGATTGGAGTCTGTTACTGGAGAATTACTGCTTTCCCTTAGAGGTCACATTTCTTTACTTTTTCATGGTTGATATGTCCCTATGTTGATTTTCTATGCATCTGGCAGAAAAGTCACGTCTTCCAATTTTATGGAAGGTTTCATAGGGAAAGACTTAGTTGTATGAATGGGTCTTGGTGTATCAGTTCAATGGGGTGTGTTGGCCTTGGTTCTGGAGGGACATAGTGGTGTAGTCTCCATGTAGTTTCTTCAGCTATAATCTACACTAATGACACTTGTGAGTTTCTCCGTGGCCTGGACTGAGAGAATTTGTGGTGATGGTGGTGTAACTTTGCTGGCGTGGCTTGCCAGGGTGTTTCTCAGGTTAGGGGCGCATGTATGCACACAATGGATCAGCCAGATTGGGATTTTGCTTGGTGGTGTTGGGGCCACAGGGCTGTTACTCTAGCCAGGAACATGAGCATACAATTGCTTGGCTGGCCTGAGGATGTTCTTGCTAAGAGCAGCTCACACGACTGTTTCTCGGGCCTGGGATGTGGTCACACAGCTGCTTGGCAGGTCTGGTGATATGTCTGCTGGGGGCAACTCACGGGGCTGTTTCTCAGCGCTAGGAACAGCTGCACAGCTGCTTGGCTGGTCTGGGGCCACTTCTGTGGGAGGTAGCCCGGAAGCCTGTTTCATAGGCATGAGACATGGGCCTATGAAACACAGCAGTGCTCAATTGGCTGGGGGGGAGGGCATCCTACCAAGGTGGCCCATGGGGCTGTTTCTCTGTCTAGGGACATGGGTTCACAGCTGCTCAGTTGTCCTGGGGGCATATCTTCTGGGGATGGGCCATGGAGTCATTCCTCAGTCCTGGGAAGTGAATACACACCTGCTCAGCTGACCTGGGGGCATGTGTGCTGGAGAAGCCCATGGGGTAGTTTCTCAGGTCTGGGATGCTAGTGCAAGGCTGCTCAGCCAGCTGAGGGGTTGTGCCTACCAGGGGCAGCTTACAGGGCTGTTTGTCAGACTCTTATTGGGGGCACAGGCCATTGGGTAAGCCAAGAACATGTCTGTGGGAGGTGGGGGCACTGTGGGGCTGTTTCTCAGGTCCTGGCATGGGCACATAGTCACTCCACTGGCCTGGGGGCATATCGGCTGCTCAGAGACTTGGTAATCTTTTCCTCTTGGGGGAGGGTGCACAGTGGTTTGGCTGGCTGAGGGTGGGTTTGCCCCAGGGAGGACTGGCAAACTGTTACTCTGGCTAGAAGTGCAGTGATGGTGGTTGGTTTCCCTGCAGCTGGGGTTGTGGTATTCAGCCACCTGTGTGGACTCGGAATGATGAAGATGGAGCCCCACTGCTGGAGAGGTGCAGTGGCTCCTGACCCCCAGGGCAAGACACTCTTCAGAGGTGTCTCTGGCCTCAAGATGGTGCTCTGCTGCAGCAGATTGGCTCAAAGCGGGTAGACAGGGGTGGGAGTGCACACCTTGTGGTCCTTATTCAGGGCAGTGTGGCTGTATGAATTCCTGGTAGCTCTCCAAACTGGGCTCAGGGCTTGTGAGGACTGTGGGATTCTCGTGTTATATAAGGACTGTTTGTATTTGTAGTGGCAGTGGGGGCTGGTGGGAATCTTCTGCTTACCTTTTCCCTACAACAGGAATTCCCTCCTGACTCTAGGCCAATCCAATCAGGGAGGGAGCATGGTGGGAGGGGAGGCTGCAGAGACCAGTTGCATCTTGCTGTCCTCCTGAACTTCCAATGACCACAGGTGCATCTCCAGTTCCCTGCTACACTCTGGTGCTCTCCCTTCAACACTCCAGTCAAATCTTAGCTGTTCATTCATTGCCTTTGTTCTTTTCTTGTAGTGGGGGAAAATGTCAGGCATCTCTAGTCAGCCATCTTGCTGACATCTGTCATCTTTTTATTTTAATAACTTCATTACCTTGGGTCTTTCTTAATGGCTTTTCCATTTTGATAGAGCCTTTTTAAGATGGTAATATATGAAAGAAGATGAGTTAATACTTGAATTACAACCAATAAAAGACTACACTGAAGTTTTGATTTTTGTTCTAAGGCATGAAAATTGGTGATGAGTGGGTCTAGAAACAGGATAGGAACAGTTTATCATATGGGAAAGGTGCCACAGTCAAGGTAATAAGTAGTTGCTGACATAGGAACTTCTTTGAAGTCACACAGTAGACTTTTTATCAAGGCTTCCAGTTTAGGTACACCATGACCATCTATCTTCCTCCATTCCCGCTTTCCTCTCTTCTTTTACTTCTTCCCTTTATCCCATCCCCATCTGAGTTCACAACTATGGTCTTGGAATCTAGAATGTTGCCTGGGATAATCTAAGTGTTCAATAAATTTTTATTGAGTAATGTAGGCTATTTTTCTAGGGCCTTTCAACCTTCTAATAAAATAATTATTAATTTAGGGTCAGTTAATGAGCTAATGGTGATCTTCCCTACTGTAGAAACATTTGCATATAGGGTTAAAAAAAAAAGGCAATGGAGTAAGCCATATCTTTGTCCGAATCCTGGTTCTAAGTGTGTGATTTTAGACAAGTTGCTTAAGACCTTTTAATTTGTTTTCTTATGTGTAAAGTGAGGATAATATTTATTAAGTACTTTGCAAGGTGTTATAAATATTGGTATTAATGTACATTTGACAGGATATATATTTTTTTGAATGTCAGGGTTTTTTTTTGTTTGTTTGTTTGTTTTCCAGGATCACTTCTGGTTCCCCCCGCCCACCCCTCATCCCCCATCTCCCCCACAAAGCCAGTTTGATTGTGTTCATTGCTTTGTTTTATTCTTCATGTGTGGTCACAGAGGTATTTATCATTTCTGAAACCTGGCTAAACCTCTTTAAATTTTAGTTTTCTTTAAAAATTATGATAAAATACATATAGCATAAAATTTACCATTTTAGCCATTTTAAAGTGTTCAGTTCAGTGGCATTAAGTACATTCACATTGTTATACAACCATTACCACCATTCATCTTCTGAACTGTTTTAATCTTGCAAAACTGAAACTCTGTACCCATTAATCAATAACTCCCCATTCCCTGCACCTCTCTAGCTCCGTCAGCGTCATTCTACTTTCTGTCTCCATGAATTTGACTACTCTAAGTACTTCATATAATGGAATCATATAGTGTTTGTCCTTTTGTGACTGCTTTATTTCACTTAGCATAATATCTTCAAGGTCGATCCACGTTGTAATGTGATAATTTCCTTTCATTTTAAAGCTGAATAATATCCCACTATATGAACACAACACATGTTGTTTGTGTATTCATTCATAGATATTTGGGTTGTGTCACTTTTTTGGCTATTGTGAATCATGCTGTTATGAATCTGGGTATACAAATATCTTTTGGAGTCCTTGCTTTAAATTCTTCTGGGTATATAACCAAAAGTAAAATTTCTGGATCTTGTGGTAATTCTATGTTTAATTTTTTGAGAAACCTCCATACTATTTTCCACAGTGGTTGCACCATTTTAGATTGCCACCAACAGTGCACCAGGGTTCTGGGCTCCAATTTCTCTATATTCATATATGTATATATATATATATATTTTTTTTTGTTTTTGTTTTTTTGAGATGGAGTTTTGCTCTTGTTGCCCAGGCTGGAGTGCAATGGTGCAATCTCAGCTCACTGCAACCTCCACCTCCTGGGTTCAAGCGATTCTCCTGCCTCAGCCTCCTGAATAGCTGGGATTACAGGTGCCCACCACCACACCTGGCTAATATTTTGTATTTTTAGTGGAGATGGGGTTTCACTATGTTGGCCAGGCTGGCCTTGAACTCCTGGCCTCAAGTGATCTGCCTGCCTCGGCCTCCCAAAGTACTGGGATTACAAGCATGAGCCACTGCATCCCACCTGTTTTTTTTTTCTTTTTCTTTTTTTTAAATAGTGCCATCTGGCCAGGTGTGGAGGCTCACGCCTATAATCCCAGCAATTTGGGAGGCTGAGGCGGGCAGATTGCTTGAGCTCAGAAGTTCAAGGCCAGCCTGGGCAACATGGTGAAACCCTATCTCTACAAAATAATACAAAAATTAGCCAGTTGTGATGGTGCACGCCTGTAGTCCCAGCTACTTGAGAGGCTGAGGTGGGAGGATTGCTTGAACCCAGGAGGCAGAGGCTGCAATGAGCCAAGATCATACTACTGCACTCCAGCCTGAGCAACACAGTGAGACTCTGTCTCAATAAATAGTAATAATAAAATAAAAATAAATAGTAGCCATCATAATGGACGTGACATGACATCTTATTGTGATTTTGATTTTCATTTCCCTAATGTTCAGTGATATTGAGCAACTTTCCATGTGCTTTTGGCTGTTTGTATGTCTTCTTAAGATAAATGCCTATTCAAGTCAATTGCCCATTTTAAAATCAAGTTTTTTTTGTTGTTGTTGTTGAATTTTAGGTGATCCTTATATATTCTGACGTGAATCTCTTATTCGATATGATTGACTGGATAACACTTTTTAATTTTCTCTTTTTTAATATTGGATTTTTAGTTGTTTTGTGTTTAGAGCAGAGGAAAGTATATTGAAGGAGAAGTTCACTGCATCATTGTGGCCAGAGTCCTTACTACCTTTTAATTTTTAAAAAGTGGATTTGTTTTTAAAAATCAAAATATATGAATTTGCTTGTTTTATGATTACAATTATTTTAATGATAACAGCAACAAAAAAACTGTACATGAATGTAGGAAAGTATTAACTGCTGTTTTTCTTGGTAATTTACCTGTGGGTGATTTTTTTCTATTCACTTCTATTTTCACTTAAATAATAATGATAATCAATTTCTATTATGATGATATAAATAGGCATTATTTAAAACAAGTAGGTTTTGTATGAAGAAAAAATGAGAGAGACAGGACAAAAGCTAAAATTAATTTCCTGGGTTAAGCAAGTATTTTATTGGTGGTGTTTGTTTTATGTTTTGTTTTAGCTTATTATTATTTTTTGTTAGAGGAGAGATTATTGAACATGTGTGTACATATAGCGGAAGGAATTAACAGAGAAAAAAGCTGAAGAAGTAAGAGGGATAAGACAATGGTGACTGATCGCTGGAGCCAGGTCCTTTAGGAGAGAGAAGATAAGAATCCAGAGCACTCACAAGGAAATTGGCCCCCGTCAAGAGGAAAAATAGCATAAATCTAGGAGAGTGTGTAATAAATCTGTAGGCTCGAAGGCCTTGAAGCTGAGAGATGGACTGTTTTCTCTAAGCAGTAGAAGTGTCTTTTTTCAGAGAGTGTGTGGGAGGGCAAGTAGAAGCAGGGAGGTCATTTTGACATTTGCACTGTGATTAGGAGAGTGAGCTGACTGGGGCAGGCAAAAGGCATTTCTGAGTGACATTTAAGTGGCTGCAGTAGGAAATAATTCATTTATTCTGGCAGCAATCAACTGGCTGCTACATGTAGAAGAATATACAATGGATAATTGGATGATCTGTGGGTGAAAAAAAGATATCTGAAAATTTTGTCAAGAGCATAGGATTTGAAGATCCATTGGGTCTATCTTGGCTGAATATGGAAGGAAACTGCTGATAAATTAGATCGAGACAGAAGGACTGTGAGATTGGAGCTCTCTGTGCGAAGTAGAAAGTGACGAGGTCTGAATAAAGGAGTAAAAAACTGGAAAGTAGGAAGCTGTGGTCAGACAGAAATTTTGGAGGATTTTTATCAGACTTGGCTAAGAATTCTTAAATTTCAGATTTTTTCAAAGTAATACTCAGAAATGTTTGTGTCTCATTAGATTCAATTTGATTTTATTTTTGAGACAGGGTCACATGCCACTTTGTCACCCAGCATGGAGTGCAGTTACATGAACATGGCTCACTGGAGCCTCCACTTCCCAGGCTCCAGTGATCCTCCACACTCAGCCTCCAAAGTAGCTGGGACTGCAGGTGCATGCCACCATGCCTGGCTAATTTTTTTTTTGTATAGGTGGGGTTT
Organism: Homo sapiens; assembly: GCF_000001405.40. Taxonomy (NCBI): domain Eukaryota; kingdom Metazoa; phylum Chordata; class Mammalia; order Primates; family Hominidae; genus Homo; species Homo sapiens. The sequence continues at coordinate 53,232,086 of NC_000014.9, forward strand.
TACCATGTTGCCCAGGCTGGTCCCAAACTCCTGGGCTCAAGTAACCCATCCACCTCAGCCTCCCAAAATGCTGGGATTACCAGTATGAGTCAATGTGCCCAGCCTCATTACATTTTATATAAGAATTACATTCTTTTTTCCACTTTCTTTCTTTCTTTCTTTCTTTCTTTCTTTCTTTCTTTCTTTCTTTCTTTCTTTTTCTTTTTTTTTTGGCAGGGAGAGGAGAAAGGGAGGGTCAAGAATGGTTTCTTTTCTCATTTCTGCTTCTGTAGAAGACATGTTAGGTCATTTTTCCCAGAGAAATGTTTGCATTATGAATGGACAAAATCAAGAAGTTGCTATTTATTAAGTCTGGTAATGAAAATTTGAAAAAAACTAAATTGTACATTACTGAATTGAAAATGTGAAATAGGGCCAGGCATGGTGGCTCATGTCTGTAATCCCAGCACTTTGGGGGGCCAAGGCAGGTGGAACACTTGGGTCAGGAGTTCAAGACCAGCCTGGCCAACATGGTGAAACCCTGTCTCTACTAACAATACAAAAATTGAGCTGGGCGTGGTGGCACATGCCTATAATCCCAGCTACTGGGGAGGGTGAGGCAGGAGAATTGGTTGAACCCAGGAGGCGGAGGTTGCAGTGAGCGGAGTTTGCACCACTGCACTCCAGCCTGGGTGACAGAGTGAGATTCCATCTCAAGAAAATAAAAATAAAAAGCGAAATAGATTTTCACATTAAATTGCTAAGCCTGATTATACCAAATATTCTATTTGACATTTTATTATTAATACTTTATTCCTTTTCTTATTTATGGCGTTCTGGTAATAAGAATGACTTACACATTATCTTAGCACCTTGGGGGGCTAAGGTGGGCAGATTGCCTTAGCTCAGGGGTTCGAGACCAGCCTGGGCAACACAGTGAAACCCCGTCTCTACTAAAATACAAAAAATTAGCCAGGCGTGGTGGCGTATGCCTGTAGTCCCAGCTACTCAGGAGGCTGAGGCAGGAGAATTGCTTGAACCTGGGAGGTAGAGGTTGCTGTGAGCTGAGATCATGCCACTGCACTCCAGCCTGGGCTACAGAGCGAGACTCCATCTCCAAACAAACAAACAAGAAAAAGAATGACTTACACCATCTTATGATCAGTATTGTGATAATCAGAATAACTTATACCATCTATTTTCACAAACTGAATTAAATGGGGTAATATACATGTATAGAGGAAAATTTGGGCAAATATTTGGTTGTTACTAAATTATCTGAATTTGTTTGTTGGAAGGGAGGACAAAACCTTTCTCCTCTGACCTACCAGATTTAGTAACTGGGGCTCTGCAAAATAAACTGACAAAAGACAGATTAGCAGGAGAAAAGAAAACAGAGGTTATTTATGTGTGTAGTGTGCAAACATGTGGGAGGAACTCACTAATGAATAACTCAAAGGGGTGGTTAGACAGACCCCAGGGATTAGATACTATTTTAACAAAGAACGATAAATTTGTGGAAGAATGACAAGACAAAGGAAAAGGAGATTTAGGTTTTCGGAGACAGCAAACTTTGGAGAGGTAAATATATGGGGAAACTAATGGAAGATAAGTGTTGTTTAGTAAGGTTTGTTATGTAGCTTCCTCTTGGTGCCACCTCTGGGCTGATAAGAGTCTAGAGTTATGTCTGGTGATTAACTCATTTGTCTCTTCCTGGAACAAGAGAGAGGAGGGAGGACTTTTTTTTTTTTTTTTGAGACACAGTTTTGCTCTTGTTGCCCAGGCTGGAGTGCAATGGCACAATCTTGGCTCACTGCAACCTCTGCCTCCCAGTTTCAAGTGATTCTCCTGCCTCAGCCTCCCAAGTAGTTGGGATTACAGCCATGTACCCCCATGCCCAGCTAATTTTGTATTTTTAGTAGAGATAGGGTTTCTCTGTGTTGGTCAGGCTGGTCTCGAACTCCCAACCTCGGGTGATCCACCCACCTCGGCCTCCCAAAGTGCTGGGATTACAGGCCTGAGCCACCGCACCCGGCAAGGGAGGGCATTTTTACAAATGAGAATGTATGCCCAGCTTTTAGGCAAACATAGGTGGAGAGTTTTCTGGTTTGTGTGTGTGTTTTGCATCTGCTCTTTCTCTATTGCCTTCAGCTCAAAATAATAGTGCCAAAGTGGCATATTTTGGGGTAGCATTCTCTGATCCCCTTTATTGTCTATCTTTATCAAACTCGGATTGCTTTTTCTTCCTTTTCACCTCAAGGTTTTTTTTTTTTTTTCTTTTTTTTGAGATGGAGTCTTACTCTGTTGCCCAGGCTGGAGTGCAATGGCACAATCTTGGCTCACTGCGACCTCTGCCTGCTGGGTTTTAGTGATTCTCCTGCCTCACCTTCCCGAGTGGCTGGGATTACAGGTGCACAGCACCATGCCCAGCTAATTTTTTGTATCTTTAGTAGAGATGGGATTTCACCATGTTGGCCAGGCTGGTCTCGAACTCCTGACCTTGTGATCCTCCTGCCTCGGCCTCCCAAAGAGCTGGGATTACAGGACTGAGCCACCACACCCAGCCTCACCTCAAGCTTTTGATATATGGACAGGGCCACCATTCTTCAATAACGTCATCTGGGCTAAGATCCCTGATGTCTTTTGGTGGGCAGACTTCCCGTAGTTAAACCTTATCTTTTCTCCCTACCAGCAAAGAGAAGATGATTATTCCACTGGCTGCTGACCAATGCCAAACTGACCATTGGACTAGTTCAATTACTGCCTTTGAATCTTTTCCTAAGCAGTGCCACTTAGTAAACACTCTCTATTCTATTAAGTACCCAGCTATTCTTTTCTCCTTACTTAAGAAGCTCCTGAAAACAAAGCTCATCTGCGGATGCTTCACTTATGACCCTGTAAGAGATGCCCTCACCCCATTTGACCTATCTTAAGTATCTTGCTGTCCATTTAAGGGTTGGTTTAATGTTCCTGTTCTGCTTCTATTGTGACATTTTGAGTTCCATGATAATAGGGAACATGTTTATTCAACTTCTGAAAAACTACAATGCTTAAGTATGTTGATTTCTGCAAGTAGGCACTTAAAACTGTTTTATAAAGTTGATGACAACAATGATGGTATCAGAGAAACTAAGTCCTTATGTGCTTTCTAAAGCTAGTAATAGATTTCTGAGGTCTTAACATTTGTATTTAGGATGTGATATATGTTCCTATTATTATTTGCTTTTGAATGTAAGACCATCCTTTAATCTTCCCTTCAAAATGAATAAGACTGAGAGAAAAATACAGGCTGTTTTTAATCTCAATTTTAGTGGCTAACTTATGTGTATTTTTTACTTTAAGCTGCCTCAAATTCATTTTAGGAAATGTACACACTTATATATAAAAAGATTAAATAAATTCATGGAGGAAGTAAGGTAAGTTCCCCCCCCATGTCGCTGAGAGTTCTAATCCTTCGTTCCCTAACTCTTGGAAATCTTACATCTTGATTGTTTCTGTTTTTCACAATGGGTAACAAATTAGACCAGGGAAATTATAAAGCATGCTTAGTTCATTTTGTTATCTTTGTATATTGCAGAGGATGATGACGGAGGGAGAAAAACATACTTGTAATAGTGGCTGATTATGCTGCACAGTTCAAATCACTAGAGGATTTTCTTTTGAGATGATAAAAATGTGTGTAATGAAACAGTAGATGAAATAAATTATACAAAAATCCTTTAATTAAAGTATTTAAGGTATCTTTCATATGGGAGCAAGAAGAGAATGAGTTACTGGAATAAAAATAATTGTATGGCTCATAAAAATTTCTATTTGTATATCATTCAACAGATTATTCCATAGTGTCTCAACCTGTCATTTCTTGCTCTCTCGTTACATAGCTTCTTCCCCTCTTTCTGAAGGCCAGCTTATTCTCAGTTAACTTCTATGAGCTTTGTCCTAAGAATGAAATAGGTAAGAATAAGAAAATGAAAACTGATGCCCTAGTCTCTGTAGAGGTACAGAAATAATTCAATCTTACTCTCCCGGAATTTTGATTGTAGTATCACAGATTTTGAATCATGTTGGAAATCTTCCTCTCAATAGGGTTTAGTAGAAAGGCAATTGATTTTCGACTTAGAAGACCTACATGTGATTATCACCTTATAGTTTGCAGTTGTATGAACTTCAGGCAGTCATTTAACCATTCGAAGTCTTAGTTCCTCATTTCTAGACTAGCAGTAATAATAATTGTCTCATGGGTTGTTGTATCAAAGTATATAAAAGGACCTTGTAACCATGAAGTGGGGTACAACTATATCATCACTGTCATCATAATTTTATATGAGAAAACTGAAATTAGTCAGAAAGATTAACTATTTTCTCCAGGGACACACAATTTATTAGTAATAGAGCAGAAACTAAAAGCTGAGTGTCCAAATTCTTAGTTTAGATTGTTTCTCTTTGACTCTTTTCAAAGTTCTTTATTTTAATTTGTAGGAGCCTTGTTTTTCTCTCTCATTCTGTATGATTGGGTTTTACTCATCGTGAGTAAATAAGAGTAAAAATTTAAATTGTGTTTTTCTTCTTTACAATTTTAAACTTGAGCTTGAGGGATGTATCAAGCTCAAGTTTCAGAGGAAAGAAAAAGCGAATTCCTAAGGGCTCCCTTTTGCAGACCATTTCCTTGCAGGAGCTTGATTGCCCTTCACAGGAGTGGGACCTGTTTTTGTGTCTGGGAAATTGACCTTTGCTGTGGCTTCTCTGCTACAATAGGTGGTGGCAGGAGATGTGTAGAAGCTCACCACGCAGCATTTGATGGCAGAACTCCAAAATGCCTGACACAATTCCTAATCAGAAAGATCATCTCCGATGGGACCCTCCCAAGGATCTCCTTCAGTCAAGACCTTGCATTTAATCAACAGTGTCCTTTGTCCAGAGGATTAAGATAGTGTCCTCTCTACAGAGTGTTCTGACTCCTTCTGTTTTAGTTAAGAGGGAGTAGAAATTGAATAGGAACAAAAGAGACTTGCGCCAGAGGAAGGGGGTTCATTTTATGTAGTTATAAATTGAAAAAAGTGAAGCATATGTTACAAAGGCACATTTGATACTAATGTGTCTCCAGGTGACTTTAGTAATACGATTAGCGTTTCAGCTATGCTCTTCTTGTTAACATTTTCAATTTGTATCAAATTTTTCCTTTTTAAAGGAAACAGCTATCAGCAAACAGCTAGGGGATGTCCAGTGGAAAATTTAGAACTGCACTGGAGAAAGTGTAGTTTCAAAACCAAAGAACATAGTGATATAATGCATTGAATAAAGTGAGGGTTCAAGTACTCATTTTAGAGCCTGCCAAGACCAAATAATTTTACCCCAGTCAGAAACAAGGCCAGAAAAAGAGATGTTTTAGGGAATACCATTCCACCCTCAAACATTTACCTACAAGGGATATATCAAGGGACATGCCAAGAAGAAATAATAGTTACAGACATTTTGGAAATACCTGCAACAGAAAATATCTTCTGTAAAATTAGTGAGAGAAGTTGTTAAGTATCCAAGAGTAACAAGAAATGAAAGGGAAGTGGATTTTCTTGACAATGGCTGCTGAAACTGTGTGTGTTGTATAGGAAATGACTTGCAGGAAAAGCGCAAATTCTTTTTCCTTAGTGAAGGAATTATACTGCATATGCAGAGGGTGGGGGAAGGGGAGGCCTTATTTCATTGTATTGTCATAGGGGGTTTTGGGCCTTGGAGCCAGAGCAACATGGGTTTGTATCCCAGTTCTGTTTCTTACACTGCTGGCTGTAAGGCCTATTAAAAAAAGATAATGTATTATTTGGAAATATCTTCAGCTGAGAATACAGAATACCCAATTAAATGTGGCTTAAACTGTAAAGACATTAAATTATATCACTTAAAAAAAATTCTAGGGTGGCTTATGCCTATAATCCCAGCACTTTGGGAGGCTGAGGTGGGTGGATTGCTTGAGGCCAGGAGTTTGAGACCAGTCTGACCAATATGGCGAAACTCCATCTCTCCTAAAAATACAAAAAAAAATAAAAATAAAAATTAGCTAGATGTGGTGGCATACGTCTGTAGTCCCAGCTACTTGGGAGGCTGAGGCAGGAGAATTGCTTGAATCCAGAAAGCGGAGGTTGTGGTGAGCCAAGATTGCACCAGTGCACTCCAGGCTGGGCGACAGAGAGAGACTGTCTGAAAAAAGAAAAAAAAAAGTATTCTGAGGGCAAGTTATGGTGGTACTGATGGAGCAGCTCAACAATGTCATTCCGGATCCAGGCTGTGTGTGTGTGTGTGTGTGTGTGTGTGTGTGTGTGTGTGTGTGTGTGTGTGTTTTCCTTTGTTATTCTGAGAACATTGGCTTCTTATTGTTAGGCTGGTCAAGTCATGGCCCCAAGATGACCACCTTAGGTCCAAAATAATGCCTCACATAGTTATAGCCAAAGCAGAGAGTCAAGGAGTGGAGACAATAGGATTCTCTCCTCACGAGGAGGCTCTGTCTTTTATGTGGGAAGAAACCTTTTCCTAAAGTTCTCTGGCAGACTTCTCATTATGTCTCATTGGTCAAAACTAGATTACATCTGCTCCACTGGGCCACGCCCATCAACCACTGATTTAGTGTGGGGATGAGGTTGAGGCCTATCTTCTCCACAAGATCTATTAGCAACTCACTATGCCTGCAACAGGTAATATTTATCTTGCAGGGTACCAAGGTAGTAAGCATTAGGGATAATACATCTAAAGTTGTTAGTACTTCACCTAGCTTATCGCAGGCATGCATTAAATGACCATCATTATTATAACTTTTAAAATTATTTGTACTTTTTCTACAATCTTTTATTTTACTGTGAACATTTGAATATAGTCATAATCAGTGTATACAATTTTGGACTCTGCTTTTATTTCACTTCTCTTTATAGTCTAAGTGTTTCCCAATGTCTCTGTATAGACTCAATAAAACTTTTTAAATGACTGCATTGAATTCAATCTATCAAGTGGCTGCATTAGAATTTAATTTAATTATTTTTACATATATAGGATGCTTCCAGTTTTTTTTCACTATTATAAGACATCTTTGTATATGTAAAACATTTTGTATTTTGGATTGGTTATTGAGGAGAGGTCCAGGAGTGGCATTATTAGGTGAAAAGGCAAGACACAAATTGGCTAGCTGTTTACCAAACAATTTCTTTTTCTGCCTGAGCCCGCAGGTAAACCACATTTCTCAAGCTCCCTCAGGCTAGGTATGTCCAGTGACTGAATTCTTGCCAGTGGAATAAGACATATTTGATGTACTCCACTTTCGAGCCTGATTCAGAAAGACTCTGAAACCTCCATTCTCTCCCTTCTACTGGGCATCTATTTCCTGGATGACCTTAAGACAAAGATGGCAGAACCTTCAAAGTCTTGGACCCTGAATGACTGCCTGGAGTAGAAGCTCCACTCTACTCTCATGTTAGGAATTGACATGAGCAAGTAACACATTTTATTATGGTAAGCCAGGTATTTAGGGAGTTATCTTACAGCTGTTGTTACTACAACTAATATAGAAATTGGTGCTTTGAAATGGTAACTACTACAATGAGTAAGGCATTAAACTACTTTTATACATATAATCTTTTAAACTAAAAGAACAAAAAAGAATTTATTTAAATAGAAGCATTAACATAGCTGAGATAGAAAATTAATATGTACACAGGAAGAAAACAAACCTACAAATGCAAATTGCCTGAAATGATTCATAATTTATGTTAATAGAAAGCAATTAATAAAAATTATTTATCACAATAATTTCTAAGCAATGCACATATTTAATTATTTTAGTTTAAGGCCATCAAGTAATTAATAAATTATTTTTAATTAAAATTAATTACTTTTAAATCTTGTTGAGTGTTTCTTTTAAAAAACGTTATAGTACCCCTTGCTTGTGGCACGATATAGCCCTGTGAGCAGCCAATCCAGGACATACTAGGCATTTTAGTAAGCCTGGTTTGTATCCCCAAAGTTAAGACCCTGAAATTGTGTTCAGACCCATTCCAGCAGAAGAGATGGCTTTAATCTAGAACTTTGTGTAATCTGGAGGGCCCCAGGCAACTGGTTGAGCAGTAGCAGTACAGGCTGATGATTGCTTTTGTGCTCTGTGGGAGGCATAGCCCAAAAAGAGCTGGGTAACTCAGGTTTTCAGGAAAGTAATTTTGGGACAAGGGTTGCCCGAACTCTTAGCATGTAATTAGTTAACCATGCTCAATAGCTCTGAGCAAGCCAGGTATTTCCCAACTGATAAATGATAAAACATAGATCAAGGTATAATTCCATGCCTGCCCTAGAGTGAGCACAATGATGATGATAATGATGATGATGATGGTAATCAGGCTACTGGACTTATCTGGTGAGGTTGACTTTCACCTTCTAATAGCAGAGAGTCAAAACCTGAGTTTAAATTGTGTTCCCTACTAGGCCAGGTCTGGTAGACCACCTTAATCTCAATGATGACCTGAGATAGTGGCTGGGAAGACAATTAAGCACTTGAGTTTGATGCAGGAGTGGTGGTTCACAAGGGTGAGAATTACAGCACTGTTTATTTTAGGATAAACAACTGATACAACTGAACTCTTTCCCTTACAGTGCTAGTTAAATAAGTTGTTATAGTGAATGGAATAGCATATGGTAGATTAAAAGAATGAGGTAGATCTATGTGTACTGACCTAGGAACATCTCTAGAACATGGTCTTAATTAAGCGAGAAGCAAATTTCAAGCAATCTACAAAGTAAGATCATTATGAAAAAGAGTTGAATACTAGGAGAAAACCACCCAAATTTGTTCAATTCAGTCAACTTAGTTCAATCTAATTATTTAAACAGTCCTTTATTCCTTTTTTTTAAAAAAAATTACCAATCATTCAGATTTCTCCTCCGTTTCTCTTCTACTCCCCAAGGTGGTGATTGTGTATATAGGGCATTTGCCAGGTCCTTTTGCTGAGGAGGGGCAGTGGGCCTTGTGTCCCTACTGTGCTTGTGGGCCTCCCTTTAGTCCTTGCTAGTCTATGTCAAGATGATTCCCTTATATTTCTGGCCACTGCTCACTCTACTAGAATCTGTGGCTGAACTTGGCCTCTGGTGAATTCTAGATTTCTTCTTCCAGCTTAGTGAGGAACCTATGGTCTTCAGTGGTGTGTTGAGTGCTAGGTGCCCCCTAGAAGTCTGGTTGTGATCTTAATTGGTTCCCAGTGAGGGAAATCTGCCTTGTGGTTCCAAGCCACAGGGTCACCACTGGCCCTGTTGAGACAGCTACCATGGGCTTGCCAGCCTGCACCACCACTTACTCTTCGTGGGCACATGGAAACTTTTGAACTGTTAGGTAGCTTTGATTTCACATGTGAGCAGAAGGAGACGCTGAACTTAGAATTTTCTTTTGCTTAACCAGGTTGCAACCATTGAGAGTCCTGTTTGAGGAAGCAGGGAAAAGCCTCTTAAACTCTTGCAATTCCAACATAATAGGAATTGCAATCATTTACTGAATATAAATATTTGTTTCCCTTATACCAAATTTACATTCTATTGTTTTGTTTCTGTACCTTTCTGTAAATGCAATTTTTAAAAAACCCATTCACAATCTTAGTGTCATCTTTTTGAAGATAATTTAAGTTGCAATTAAATTCAACCTGGAAGAAGACAATTAAATTTGAGAAGCAGGGAGAAAATGAATTGGGTTTTGAGGTGCTGTTGATGGGGGCCACTGGCAGCAAAGGCCAGACTGAGGTATCTTACCTGACTTTGTGGGCAACAGAAGCGCTGGCAGTTAATATCTTTGAAGAAAGACTGAAAAAGAAAAGAAGAAATCCAAGGACATCTCATATGGTAGGTGCCTGGACCACTCTTACTTTCTGTCTTCCTTCAGGGTTAAGCCTGAATGTCCTGTCCCCAAGAAAACTTTACCTAACCCACTAGGAATTTGGTTAGGTCTTCTATTAGGTTCTTATCCTATCATAGCAGATAGCATAAGTTTTAAAATGGCTGTTTTAACTGTGTATCTTCTTACTAGAAAGAAAACCCCATGAGGGTCTGTCTTATTCACCATTGGATCACTCTGCCTGGAATAGTGCCTGGTCGATAGTCAGCATTTAGTATACATGTGTTGAAAAGAAGAAAGAAAGGAGGAAGAAAGAAAGGAAGGAAAGAGAGGAAACAAAGTAATATGCTTGTTGAAGGTGCCAATAAATAATTGATTGGGTTGGGGACTGATATGGTTTGGCTGTGTCCCCACCCAAATCTCATCTTGAATTCCCATGTTGTGGAAGGGATCCAGTGGGAGGTAATTGAATCATGGAGACAGGTCATTCCCATGCTTTTCTTGTAATAGTGAATAAGTCTCACGAGATCTGATGGTATTATAAGGGGGAGTTTCCCTGCACAAGCTCTTTTTTTGCCTGCTGCCATCCATGTAAGACATGACTTACTCCTCCTAACCTCTGCCATGATTGTGAGGCCTCTCCAGCCATGTGGAACTGTAAGTCCATTAAACCTCTTTTTCTTCTCAGTCTTGGGTATGTCTTTATCAGCAGCATGAAAATGGACTGATAGAGGAAATTGGTGTTGGGAGTGGGGCTTTGCTGAAAAGATACCTAAAAATGTGGAGGTGACTTTGGAACTGGGTAGCAGGCAGAGGTTGGAACTGTTTGGAGGGCTCAGAAGAAGACAGGAAAAAGTGGGAAGGTTTGAAATTCCCTAGAGATTTGTTGAATGGTTTTGACCAAAATGCTGATAATGATATGGACAATAAGGTCCAGGCTGAGGTGGTCTCAGATGGAGATGAGGAACTTGTTGGGAACTGGAGCAAAGGTAACTCTTGTTATGTTTTAGCAAAGCGACTGGTGGCATTTTGCCCCTGCCCTACAGATTTGTGGAACTTTGAACTTGGGAGAGATGTTTTAGGGTATCTGGTGGAAGAAATTTCTAAGCAGCAAAGCATTCAAGAGGTGACTTGGTGCTGTTAGAAGTATTCAGGTTTGTTTATTTATTTATTTATTTATTTATTTATTTATTTATTTATTTATTTTTGAGACAGAGTCTAGCTGTTAGAAGTATTCAGGTTTGTTTGTTTGTTTATTTATTATTTATTTATTTATTTTTGAGACAGAGTCTAGCTCTGTCTCCAGGCTGGAGTGCAGTGGCACGATCAAGGCTCACTGCAACCTCTGCCTCCCAGGTTCAAGCGATTCTTCTGCCTCAGCCTCCTGAACAGCTGAGATTACAGGCACACACTGCCATGCCGAGCTAATTTTTGTACTTTTAGTAGAGATGGGATTTCACCATGTTGGCCAGGATGGTCCTGATTTCCTGACCTCATGATCCCCCAACCTTGGCCTCCTAAAGTGCTGGAATTACAGGCATGAGCCACCAGGCCCGGCCAGAGTATTCAGTTTCAAAAGGGAAACAGAGCATGAAAGTTTGGAAAATTAGTAGCCTGACAATGTGATAGAAAAGAAAATCTCATTTTCTGAGGAGAAATTCAAGCTGGCTGCAGAAACTTGTATAAGTAACGAGGAGCCGAATGTTAATTCCCAAGACAAAGGGGAAAATGTCTCCAGGGCATGTCAGAGACCTTTGTGTCAGCCCCTCTCCTCACAGGCCTAGAGGCCTAGGAGAAAAAAATGGTTTCCTGGGCCAGACCCAGGGTCCCTCTGCTGGGTGCAGTCTAGGGACTTGGTGCCCTGTGTCCCAGCCACTCCAGCCATGGCTGAAAGGGGCCAACACAGAGCTTGAGCTGTGGCTTCAGAGGGTGCAAGCCCCAAGCCTTGGCAGCTTCCACGTGATGTTGAGCCTGTGAGTACACAGAAGTCAAGAACTGGAGTTTGGGAACCTCTGCCCAGATTTCAGAAGATGTATGGAAATGCCCAGATGTCCAGGCATAAGTTTGCTGCAGGGGCAGGGCCCTCATGGAGAACCTCTGCTAGGGCAGTGCTGAAGGGAAATGTGGGGTTGGAGCCCCCACACAGAGTCCCTACTGGAGCACCACATAGTGGAGCTGTGAGAAGAGGGCCACTGTCCTCCAGACTGCAGAATGATAGATCCACTGACAGCTTGCACTGTTCACCTGGAAAAGCTGCAGACACCCAATGCCAGCCCATGAAAGCAGCCAGGAGGGAGGCTCTACCCCACAGAGCTACAGGAGCAAAGCTGCCCAAGACCGTGGGAAACCACCTCTTGGATCAGCGTGACCCAGATGTGACATATGGCGTCAAAGGAGATCATTTTGGAGCTTTAATGTTTGACTCTCCTGCTGGATTTAAGACTTGCATGGGGCCTCTACCTCCTTTGTTTTGGCCAATTTCTCCCATTTAGAATGGCTATATTTACCCAATGCCTGTGTATTAGTCAGCATTCTCTAGAGGGACAGAGCTAATAGGATATATATATAAAAAATATATTTATATATAATATATATACAAAATATATATAATATATTTTTATATATATAAACTCTCTATATAAAGGGGAGTTTATTAAGTATTATATAAGTATTTATTAAGTATTATAAATATTATATTTGGAATGGCTGTATTTACCCAATACCTGTACCCCCATTGTATGTAGGAAGTAACTAGCTTGTTTTTGATTTTACAGGCTCATAGGTGGAAGGGACTTGCCTTGTTTCAGATAAGACTGTGGACTTTTGGGTTAATGCTGAAATGAGTTAAGACTTTGGGGGACTGTCAGGAAGGCATAATTGGTTTTGAAATGTGAAGACATGAGATTTGGAGGGGCCAGGGGTGGAATGATATGGTTTGGCTCATTGTCTCTACCCAAATCTCATCTTGAATTATACTCCCATAATTCCCACGTATTGTGGGTGGGACCCGGTGGGAGATAATTTGAATCATGGGGGCAGTTTCCCCCATACTGTTCTTGTGGTAGTGAATAAGTCTTATGAGATCTGATGGTTTTATCAGGGGTTTCCGCTGCATCTTCCTCATTTTTCTCTTGCCACCACCATGTAAGAACTGCCTTTTGCCTCCCGCCATGATTCTGAGGCCTCCCAGCCATGTGGAACTGTAAGTCCAATTAAACCTTTTTTTATTTCCAGTCTCACATATATCTTTATCAGCAGCATGAAAATGAACTAATACACAGTGTGAAAGGAAATTAAATTTTGGGACCCTAAACTCATTTAGTCAAAGGGAAAGTGAAGCTAGGAACTGTGTCATGCAAACCTGCCTCCTGCTTTGGTTCCTAAATAAGATGGCTACAAGATGAAAAGCTACCGCCTCCCTCATATTTTGCCCACAAGGAAATTCCTGGTGAGCTCTTAAAACTTCACCATGGCAATGCAAATTGGTAGCTTATCTTTACAGGTGCAGTCACCCTGGACCCACCAGACACAAATGCATATCTGATTGTTCCCCTATCCCATTTTGTCTGTGTCATCTTATGTAAAATGCAGATACTGCACATTTTTCCTCTGCCCCTTTTGTTTATGTGAAAACTATGTGCTTCTCAATATCCCGCCCTTTCCCCTTTAAATTGGAGCCCTCAAAATCATCTTTGGAGAAAGGCATAGACCTGTCTCCTGAGTGCAGCTTTAACTTTGGCAAATAAATCTCCTAAAATGATTGAGATTTGTCTTGTCATTTTCTTCAGTTGACAGCAGTAACCCTTCCCTGTTTTCCTTATTCCCAAACTTGAGATCTTGGGATCATCTTTCAAATAAATTATCTGCCCCCAAGTCCGTGTCTCATGATCTGCTTTTGGGGAAACCCAAACTAAACCACTAGGCATGCTGTTTCTTGCCCTGTTCCCTTCCAATGTCTATGTGGGAGCAAGATTTAATATAAATTAAAACGTAAGTCAGACAATGTCACTCCACCACTATAACCCTTAAAGAGATTGCCATGTCACTTAGAATCAAACCTAGACTTTTTACCATGGCCTACCAGCCCCCTCCAATAGTATCTCCCTCACTCCCTGCTATGGCCTCAAAGTTTGCGTATCCTCAAAATTCATACTGAAATCTTAATCCTTAAGATGATGGTATTAGGAGATGGGACCTTTTGGGAAGTAAGTAGATCATGGGAGCAAAGCCTTTATAAATGAAATTAGTTCCCTTATAAAAGAGGCCTGAGAGGGACTCCTTATCCTTTCCACCAGGTAAGGACATAGTAAGAATGTGCCATCTGTGAACCAGGATATGGGGTTCTTGGCAGATACTGACTCTGCCTGCGCCTTGATCTGGGACTTCCCAGCCTCCAGAACTGTGAGAAATAAATTTCTGTTGTTTTATACCAGTTTATGGTTTTTTTTAATAGCAGTCCAAGTGGACTAAGATACTCACTCCAGCTAGAGAGTAGTCTTCTATCTGTGCTTTAAACAGGCCACACTCAGACCCCTTGGTACTTCTAGATCTTCCTCTATACACAAATCTAATTATGCTTCCCCTGACTTCACTCTGCTCAAAACTTTCTGGTGGTTCCTAAATCTCTGCACCAAGGCAAAGCTGTCTCCATGTCTTGCCCTTTTCTCTCTCTCCTCTTTTGTCCCTCTCTTTGTCCCTTTGTGTGCCAGTTTCTCAGCACACTCTGCTATTTCTTCCATTGGTACCTTTGCTCATGTTCTTCACTTTAAAACCCTTTAACCTTGAATACTTACCTTCTTCTGGAAGCCATTTCCTAAACCACATATTGAGCTAAGAGTCCCTCCTCTGGACTCCCACACTGTGAATACCATTTTATTTGGTCACTTACCACACTGAGTTGAAGTAATCTTTAGATAGATATCTTTCCTACTGAGTATAAAATCCTTGAGGACAAGGAAGATCTATATTTTCTTCATCTTCGCATCCCTGGTGTTTAGCAGAATCGGGTGTATTTTTGATATCTATGTTAAGTGGAATTAAACAGAACTAAAGCGAGATTGGGAAGCCATGACAGAGGAAGAATCACACAGCAGGTTGCTACTTCCAGAAAGGCAAAATATCCCCTGGTCTAGGGAGAATCATGGGTAACCCCTGGAGAGAGGCCTTTTTGAGTAATCCCAGGGATGGTAATGCATTTGGTGCCATGTGGTGTTCAACCAAGGTCCTCAGCTACAGCATTCGCAGGCAGTACTGGCAAGCTCATGCTGTGCCCCTTTGCCTGTGAGCAGGCTGGGGTCCTGGATAGCTCCAACCCCTCCTCTCATCCTCTGGGAGTCAACTGGTAGAGAAAGGAGGAGGAAGTACCTCATTGGCAGTCAACAGTATATGCAAAAGCACGGAGGCCTACTACCACTGGGAAAAGATTCGTAGCTCTATTTGACTGAGAAGAGAATTCAGGATGAGGAGTGGGAAATGAAGCTGGAAAATTCACACTATTAATTTTCATAATAACTACAGTTTATTGAATATTTACTAGGTATAGGTACTGGGCCAAGGGCTTTAAGGTTGACTGCATTTTGTCCTCCCAGCCACACTGCCGGTGACTTGCTTTTTGCCCTGATATTAATTTCCCCCCTGCCCTCCCCTGGCCCTGCTAGGTGTCACAGGAGATTACAGTTCCCAGGCTTTGTTGTAAACTGGTTTCCAGTGGGCTTGGTCAAAGGAAGACACTGGTGGGAGACTAGAAAGAAGGAAGAGGGGAGAAGTAAGAATGTTTCTTCCTTTTCTTCAGCCTCTGGGGAGGTCTTCGACAGCAGGTGCATCCCGTCTCATGTCCCAGCTCCTGCCTGGCAGCTTGCTCCCCTGTTCTGGCTGCTGGCCCAGCTCCTGCCAGGCAGGCTCACTATGGTCCTGCTAGGTGGAGAGGGACCCCATGCTCCAGAGCTATGTTCGTCTAGTTCTAGGAATGGTAGTGGCTTTCTGTTGTTGCAAACCTCTGCGTTGCCTTGCTGTCCCCTGTTTGACTGCTCAGCCCTTCTGTCACCTGTTTAACTCATGTGCTGTATTAAATTTCTGCTCTTTGAAATACTGGAGTGGTTTCAGTTTTCCTGACTAGACTCTGACAGAATCTCTAAGGGAGGCAGACACTATTTATAATCTATTTGG